>NC_000003.12:52434242-52737272 GCF_000001405.40 Homo sapiens
CTCCTCCCCTCTGTGCTCCCCAGCCTGAGAAACTGGTGATGGCAAAAACACCTCCCCTACATGCCCAGGCAGAACGCGTCCTTGCCATCCGAGCCTTACCCCCGAGAATCAGCGGGACTTACACTTCTTCGTCCTTTTCTCTACCTTGTTTCCCCCTTAAAAGAAAAACAGTCTTCCTAAATCCATTTAGCATAAAACAGAGATTCCAGAGATGGAAACACTGGGTCTTCCAGGTGGCTTCTGAGCTAACTGATGCCATCCTGAGTTCTTGTGGACACCTGTTCCTGCCTGGGTCCCACAATCTATCCTAAGGGTCTCCTGCCCTCTATCCATCTCCATATCCTCTCAATCTTCTGCATCCCTGGCCCTGATTCTGAGGGCTGCAGGGCTCACAGAGCCTCCACATTCCCAGCCTCCAGGGCTGCGGCATGCTTGCATCACCCTGGGAAAGACAGCCCACTCTTCCCGCCTGCACCCTTCCCCAGCTCCCCCACCCTATCTCTAGTCCACAGACACAAGGGACAACAATGCCCCAGAACCCACCCCTCCCCGCTCGTGGACATGGAGAGCCTGACAATGGGGAGGGGGTCCTCTCAGGAGGGGCAGGCATCCCAGCAACCCTGGCCTGGGGAAGGGAAGTCAGGCTGTGAGATGCCCCCACCTGGTTTACAAAGTGAAGCCTGAGCCCTGACCACCCCAGATCCCTGGGGGCTCTAGCAGTCTATGCCTCTAGATTATCTACACCTCTCCGTGATTCTCAGATGGAGAAGAGGCGGTGGGCAGTGGCAGGGAGCCACCAAGATATCACGGCGCGACAGGAGGGGAGGTGCATTGTTGCTCCACCTTCCCAACACCTCTGTGTTCCCTCCCCAAGTCGGTCAGGTAGGCTCTTCTTACGGGGTGCTAGCTTAGAGGCCATTTCCACCCTCTGGCTCCCTGCAGGCCCCCTACCGGGATACCCCCTAGACGCACCCACACACCCACTCTGAGGGTCACTCAGAATGGCCATTGTTCTGTAGGCTGGGAAAGAACCACCCAACCCTCTTGCCTCTGGGCACACCCGGAAATGTGTTGCGGAAGCCAGGCCATCTCTGAGAACAAATGGCAGATCCCTTGGGGCTGCCAGCAGCCAGAGGGTGCTGGCTCCAGCTGGGTCTAAGAGCACAGAGAAGGGCAGGGAACAGGCTTCAAGAACCCAGCCCCTCCATTAGACCCCAGTAGCGGTGTGGGGGCAGAGACACCTGTCTCTAAGAGGCAAACAGACATCCTGACCCCTCTGCCCTAGCTGGGTGGGTGGGAGATGCTGGGGGCTGCTAGTGGGCCCCCCAGCCCATCCTGACCACCCCTCCTCTGCCCCCTTCTACGTGGCCTCCACCTCCCGGGGCGTCCGATTGTGCTCGGCATGCACCCGGCTCTTCATCTTCTTGCCTAGCTCCAGCCCTGCCCAGCTCTTGCCCCTGGCCTGCTTGCCCCGGCTCCGGCTCCGGAAGCAGCCTGAGCATTCCGTGGTGCCCCTGCACCACACGCGCTCACAGTACTCATCCACCCGGGGCAGGTTGGCGAAGCCAATGAGCTGCAGGATGTCCTTGTACCAGGCCTTGGGTGGGGTGGAAGCCAGGCCTCCCCGGGCTGGGGGCTCCTCTGGCTTTGGCTCCGGAGGGAACAGGTTGTCCAGCTGTGAGGCCACAATCACCACCAGAGCCAGGCGGACCACAGTCTGGGAGAAGCCATGCTCCAGAGTGGTGCAGGTGTAGGTGCCCGCATCGAAACGGCTAAGCCTGCGGAACAGCAGCCCCCGCTCCGTGTGCAAGACTCGCTCGTCCGTCTTCACCTGCCATGCGGGCGGGAGGGCGTGAGTAGGGTGCAAGGTGGGAGTTTACCATCGGCTTCTCTGCCCCAGCTTTTCTGCCATCCTTGGGGCCCAGTGCCTGGGCACTTCTTGCCCTATTCTCCCCTTCCCAGGAGGGGACCAGCAGCGTGGCAGTCTGGGCCTCCTCTAGACCACCAGCTAATTCAGGTGGGGCCTCACCTTCCCATAGCCCAGGAAGGGGCCTTCTCAAGGATTTGACTGGCTGGTTTCTCCCTTAGTCAGAGGACTCCAATCTTGGCCTCAGAGGGCCCTGGCACACATTCCCAAGGAACATAGGGGCTAAGATGTTATCCCCTTAGCCCTTCTGGAGGTACCATCCCATCTACAGGCTTTTCTCAAGGGAGGGGCTGTGCCCCCTGGCCCAGAACTGGGCTTCAGAAACTCCCTATGCTACACACATACAATGTGCGTGTGCCCACGCACACATGCACGTGCACGCACACACACACAGAGACACACACAGGGCCTTCCCATCCTGGTCTGAACCGTTCATTCCCCCAACGGTGCGAGCTGACAGCCCCAGCCCAGGGTGGGCTGATCGCCCATCACAGCGTGGGAAGTGGGAGTGCCGCCCTGATCCCAGCCCGCCTCTGGCCTGGACCCTGTGTGGGTTTTAGTC
This sequence comes from Homo sapiens, assembly GCF_000001405.40. Taxonomy (NCBI): domain Eukaryota; kingdom Metazoa; phylum Chordata; class Mammalia; order Primates; family Hominidae; genus Homo; species Homo sapiens. Next base: position 52,436,732 of record NC_000003.12, read on the forward strand.
TGCACATCTGTGTGTTGGGGGTGGATTGCTTGAGCCATTAGCTAGTGTTGTGAAACACCATCTTGTTGCTCCCCTCCTCCCCTGGGGAATCTTCTCAGTGCCCAGCCCAACAGCTGGCCCAAGGCTGGCCTCCCCCAGTTCCCAGGCTGGAGGGAGAGCCCCTCCTGTAATCAATCCACTCCTGCCCCTCCCCTTCCCTGCCCCGGCCAATGCCCATCCTCAGGCCCCAGACTTAAACCATCCCTGGGGTTGATAGACCTTTCCGGATGGGGGAGGAGAGGCCCTGAGCAGACAGCTGGACTCCAGGGAGGAAGTGTGGGGCCAGGCTTTGAGGGTGGAGGGCAAGGACCAGTGGTTAGGGACCCAGAAGGTTCTCTTCTGTTGTGTGTGTGTAGCATAGGGAGGTTCTGAAGCCTAGTCCTGGGCCCAGGGCACAGCCCCCTCCCCTGCCTGGGGCAGAAGAGAACCAAGAACCCCTGGAGAAGAGAATCCTTCAAAGATGAGCCATGTGTGTAAACATGGGAGACTTACTGGCCTGCCCAGACCCTCTTCTCTCTCTTCCATCACCCACCCCTCAGACTGGGGGAGTTCCAGCCACATCTGGCCTGGGCATTCCCAAAAGGCAAAAATAGGGCACCTCCTTCTAGGCACCCCAGGAGCCTAATACAAACTTTTTTTAGGTTAATCTTGGCAGATTCCCCCCAGAACCCCTTTCTGGGGCTCAGGTCTTGGGGTTCAGGATGGGAGGTGACCTCAGGACACACAGAGGCTAGAGGCAGGGGTCTCCTCACTCACCTGGTCAGGCCCCTCATCCCCTGGCCTCTGCAAGAGCCAGCGCACAGCAGCCTGGGGAGACTTGGGCAGGCACTCCAGGAAGGTGCTATTGTGCTCCGTGCCGTAGACCATGGTGGCTGCCACAAGTCCCACTGCCTCTTCTGGAGAGAGGCAGAGGTTGGCTCAGCTTGGGAACTATGGGACCCAGATCCCAGTGCCACCACCTGACACCACAGCTCAGGAGCCCCACTAGTATGACAAGAACTTAGGCATGCGTGGATCCCCAAGCCAGCCACTGTGTCCAAAGACCCTGCTTCCATGCACTAGCAGGAGCTACACAGAGAGGGAAACTGAGGACTATCCGTCATGACAAGACCAATCTGAGAATGCACTTCGCAGGGGTGGAGCCGGGCCACAGGGGTGAGTTCCAGCCCAGTCTGGGCCCTCCCACCTGCCACCACTCACCTTCCTGGCTCTGGCCCAGGCACTGCAGGGCAGGGTTGCCGTGCCGGATGTCCTGCCGGCGGAACCGGCGCTTGCCAAGGCTGGGGCGGTAGTGGGTACAGGAGGCACCATCCCAGGCACAGTATGGGTCCCGGGCCAGGCAGCACTCTGCACAGGCAGTGCCGTAAGTCTCACATTGGTGCAGCCGCAGCTGGGCCACACCCAGCCGAGAGCCCACGTATAGCATTTGCTGGGGAGGGACAGAAGCAGAGCCTGAGGTGAGCCCAGGCTTCGCCCACACGCAGCCAGGCTCTCAGCCCCTCAGCTTCCTGAGACCCCTGCCACTTGCAGGAAGTCTTCCAGAACCTCTTGGATTCATTCAAAAAACAAAAAGTGTTTATCACCCATCTGCTGCATACCAGATTCTGTGCCAGGACACAGAAGGGATGGAGGAGAACCAAGACCTGGGATGTTTTCTCTAAGGGGCTTCTCCAGGCCCTCCCAGGTGCTGACCTTTGCCCTCTATCCCAGGGGCCTTTATCCTGAGTTGTCCCTGACCTTAGAGGTGCACCTTGCTTTAAGCAACCCTTGCACGAAAGTTAGGATTTACACAAAGATACACTGGAGCAGATAAATATGGGGAGACGGGTTTTGCCACTTGGCAAATATAGTAGGCCTCTAAAAAGTGGCCTTGTTGGACTTAACATCTGGATTTTGTGTTTTCAGGCACACTTTTGCCTCCCTTAGGAACTGGCCTTTGTGACTATCCCCTTATCTGGACATGGCCCCACTTACTCGGTGCCTCCAGTGCCCACTGGCCACTTGTTGCAGGGGCGAATCAGGCCTGCCTCAGCACAGCTTTCCCCAGACTACAGTGGAGCTCGAGGAGGCTGCGGAGCAGGGGCAGAGGAGGAGGCTGCGGAGCAGGGGCAGAAGGGGGGTCCAAGAGGAGGGTGGCAGCTGTTCTTACCCTTTTGACAGAGATCTCCATTTCGGTGATAGGTGTTGGCACCTGGGGAAGGAGAAGGGTCTCAGTGTGGGTCGGGTGGACCAAGACCTGCCCCTGCACCCCTGCTTTCAGTCTCCTCCAACCCTGGGGTGGGAACCACCTAGCTCCCAGGCTGGGTCTTGCACTCCCTGGCAGCTAAGGCTAGACAGTCTTTCCCAGACGATGGGTTACAAGAAAGGCCCCCTGGTCATGGCTGGCCTCCAAGCAGGAGGCTTGACTGAAAGCACAGAGCTAGAGTGTCCCCTCTCTCAGCCTGTTCCCCAGCAATGAGGCAGCTGTCCCAAATTACCCAGCTCAGGTCCAGGAGGCACAACAGGCCCCCAAACACAGATGACCCCCTTCCTGAGTCTCTAGAGGGGCCAAGAGAACATCTAGGGGCCTTGGGATCTCAACCATCTCCTCCTTGCAACTTGAGTCCTACAGGGGTTTGCAGAAGGTTGCTTCCCTTGACCATCCCTCCCAGCACCCCAGGCACTTTCAGCTCACAGGCTGTAGCTCTGGGCCTCCAGTCATTCATAAGTGGCTGCGAGGCCTCTGCCACAGCGGAGGTGCGGGGTGGAGGGGGGGCATCTCTTTCTGCATCCCCTCCCCAGCATCCTGCCAGCTGCAAATTCAGTAAAGACAGGCTGGCTCCCTACTGGGCTTGCTCCTGCATCCCTGTAGCCAGGCTCAGACCCAGAGATGGGGCTTGGAGGGACCCTTCCATCAGCCCCTTGCTTACCTTAAACACCTGGAGCTCCTCCAGAACCACTTCCTCAGGTTCAGCTGAGCCCCCTGCCTGGAGAGCGATGACTTTGAGCACAGACCCTGAGTCTGGGGCCAGGGAGGAGGGGTCAGCGGGACAGGAGGGGACAGCCAGAGACCCCACACCCCTCTCCAGCCTGGCCACCCTGGCTCAGCTGTCCTACCAGTCCCCAGGAAAATGACATCGTAGGTCCCATCCTCTGCCTCCACGCGGTCCACCACGATCTGGTGTAGCTGCTGGGCCAGGTGGGTCTTGACAAGGACAGGGCGGCCATGTCGAGGCCGCACAGGCCAGAACATGAGGGGGTGGGCTCGGGCAAACTGCAGCACCTCATCTGGGTAGTCCTTGGTGCTGCCAAAAGGCCGTCCTGGCTGTGCGGTCATCTTGCTGGGGCACTGTGGGCAGCAGGGAAGGGAGTGCCTGAAGTATCCTGAGACAGCACACACCCTCCACCGCCAGTCTGTTTCCACCCCAACCAGGGGGACCTCTCTCACTGCAGGAGGGCTCTCCTCTTCCACTACACCCACCCCACCCCACCCAGGCCCTCTGGAGCCCAGGCTTGGCCAACGTCCGCTGCCGTGGGGGTGCATGGGGACATGAGGCCACTCCAAGGAGCCCTTCCCCACATCTGCTCAGGCCTCGCTTCCCTGGCCTGGCCCCAGCAGATACTCACCACGCCAGGGCGAGGGAAGGGCACCTTGCCCCCATAGGGCCCCCACTGGTGCTGAGGCCCATCTCGGTGGGCAAAGGGCCCGTTGAAAACCTCCCAGATGTCTGCCATGTGGTACACACAGACGGCGAAGCCCTGGAACACGGCACTGCCGGGGCACATGGGACAGTCAGGCCAGAGTGGCCATCAAGGACAAGAAGGGAACAGCCTGGTTCCATGGGCAGGACAGAGGGTGACAGTGCCTGCAGCAAGCAGAGACTCCGAAAAGCAAAGACCCCAAGGCAAAGGCAAAGAGAGAGTCAGAGAGTACAGTCACAGGTCACCGAATCAGGGACAAAGACAGGGGCCCATCGCAAGGCCGGGGTGCTGGGTGTGCCCACCTGACGGTGCTGAACAGCGCGTACACCTCGAGGCTCTTCCCGGCCTTGGGCCACAGCAGGAACACATCCTCTGGGGTAGAGAAAGGAGTATGAGTGTCATGGCCACCGCCAATGCCCTGACTCACCAGCTCTCAGCCCTCCCCACTCCCGAGCCCTAGGCCTGCTTGGCCAGGCCCTCACCTAGCTGGTCAAAGTGGGTCTCGGCACCACCAGGGCCGGGCACCGAGCAGACCAGCCTGGCCTTGAGGAAAGTGCTCCATTTGTTCACCAGCACCCGCTGGCCCCCAGCATCATTCTGCAGGATAAGGGGCCAGAGTCACGCTTGGGCCCCACGAGGATGGGTCCCACCATCCACTCTTCTACCCTCACCCACTCGGGGAGAGGTATGCATGTCAGCTTTGCATCCTTGCCTCAGTTTCCCTACTGCTGGCCAGGGGTGGGGGGAGAAAGGTCTGGGAATGGGAGGGTGTAGCAGGGACTTGAACCTCACCACCCCTTCCCAGCTCTTACCACGCAGACGCGGCCCACGCGGCTGACAGTGACATGGTTCGAGCCACCATCGGGCGAGGGGACCGTCTCCGAGAAGAAGAAGTACACCTTGTCATTGTCCTGGTCAGAGTTCTCAGGGATCCGGGCGGCCATCACAAACCGGGGGTCTGGAAGGGTGACAGGGTCATGCTGGGTGGAGGGGCCCCACAGGGGAGGATGGGAGTAGAACCCAGTGGGGAGAGGAATGGGGCAGGGGACTCCCACTGGAGGCTGGTGTCCTAGCTGGGAAGGTAGCCTCTTCACCCCTGCCAGTTCCAGGGGCAGGCCTCACCGTGCAAGAGACTCTGGTCAGAGTCGGAACGCAGAGCTGGCCGAGGACCTCCACTTCGGAAGATCATGGCCTCTCGCCCCAGGAAGTCAGCAGTGAGACCCGTGTACAGCTCCCCGTCTGGGGTGGGGGTTGGGGAACAGAGTCAGGGGAGGAGGCCCAGGCCCAGCAGCCGGGTCCCTCCCTTCCCAGTGACATAGGCCAGCTGCCACCCTCCCTGTTCTCACCCTGGCCTGGGCATCACCCACCTATGAAGGTGCTGGCAAAGGGACGGCTGGGCTCGTGAGGGCACCGCCCCCGGCCACTTTCCACACTGCCAGGCTCCAGGTGGAGCACATGCTAGTGGGAGGGAGAGAGGGAGGGAGGGGCGTCACCTGGGAGAGAAGCACCAGCAGCCCACACCCAAGCAGGAGCCCTCGCGTGCGGCCAGAGAGCGGGGGTGGGCGGAAGGCGTCCTCATCCAGGGCCCCTCTAATGGGGTCAGCTCCCCAACACAAAGGCGCCTTTCAGGCCCCTGCCCCTCTGTCCCTACCCAGGCTCAATGGGAATGTTCAGGCAGCAGGGAGGAAATGTCACTGCCTCCCAGTCCCTTGTGGGGCCTGGCCCAGGCTCACCTCCCCACGGTGGCCAACTGTGATGAGGGCACAGGTGGGCTGGAAGGCCCCAGTGCCACAGGCTAGCAGGTGGGTCCGGTTGTGAGGCTGTAGCACCCGCACGAAGTTGGCGCACTCTGTCTGCGGGGAGAAGGAGGGGGTGGTTGAGGGGTGAGAGGGGGTGCCCACCATCTCCTTGGGGCCCAAGGCTCAGCCCTGTCTGGCGGTCAGCTCTGGGGAGGGGGGTGGGTGTGACATTCCCAGCAGACCTTCAAAAGCCCTCAAGATCTGCTCCAAATGCCCCTGGTAGAGGTACCTGGGGCGTGGTCACGGATTGTCCTGGGGGTCAGGGCAGGGTGTCAGGTCGGGGGACCATCCCTCCCGACAGCACTCACCAAAGGATCTCTTCCCTTTCGAACACACTCCTCCCTCTGTCCTGGCTGCGGTGGCCACAGGACCTGGAACACAGCCCCGCTGACCTCAGGTCCTCCCCTGATCTCACAGGCTCAGTTTCCCCATCTGGCCTCCCATCTGGAGGTGCCCAGTTCTCAAACAGACCCTCTTCCCTGCCAGTCCAGCTCACCTCCCGGGGATCTGGCCATGCCTGGTCCAGCCGCAGAGAGTAGAGGGCGTCCAGGCCACCCAGAAAGAGGCGGTCTCGGTACTCATCTAGGTACATGGCCTGGAGGTTCAGGGAGCCCTGGGGGCCCAGAAAGATGGCAGAGCGGTTGGCAGACAGGAGGTCTAGGAGGATGTATGGGGAGGCAGATCAGGGCCACAGCTCAGCCTAGTTCCCCAGCCAAGGAGTGGAGGTGGAGGCCCCGGCTGAGCATCCACCCCTGACACACTCACATCTGGAAAATGTTTCCATCCACATGGTGCTGGAAGGCTTTCGGACCATGGCTCCTGGGGACAGGTGGGACGGGAGGCTCAGAGCCTCCCACCTGGCCCAGCCTACCCTGGGGCCTACCTCCCACCCCTCCATTCCTTAGCCCTTCATCATGCAGCTAACATCTTCCCACTGTCCCATCTGTGCCCTACCCAGTCCCCAGGGAAGAAGGCCCCAACCAGCAGAAACTAGAGCAAAGTGCTGGAAGATCCTGGAGGAAGGGCGGGAGTCTTTGCAGGCCGCCTGGCTCAGCTGGAGGGTGGGCCAGCAGGCGAAACTGTTCCCAGCAGAGGGGACCCCTGGCAATGGCCTGGGTGCAGAAAAGGGAAGGTATGGCCGGGAAGGGCTCCCACCTCCAGTCCAGGGATGCGGCCAAAGACAATTTTCTCCCCACAGATGCTGGCTATCCCACCCCAGAGATGAGAGCGGGGAGCTGTCTGGGGACATCGGTCCCAGGAGTTGAGGATCCTGAGGTAGGTCCTCCGGGCTTGGCTAGGGAGGTGGAGGTAATGGGGGCAGTAGGATGTGGCAGGAAGAGGGTGCTGGCCACCTTTGGGAAGGCCCAGAGTGTCCTATGCCTTCCCTACGGAAGCACCTCTACCCAACACCCATTCCACCCCCAAAACTCATCAACGGTCTCTTCCGGGAAGCCCTCCATGGATGACAGTACCTTGGGGAACTTTCCCTATTTGGGGCTTTTTCTAGCAGTCTGACCTCCCCGCAAAACCACAGCTCCCGGAACAAGACCACATTCCCCTCAGCCTCTCCAGGGACGAGCGCCATCTCCCCCAGCAGACTGGGCTTCCCAGGGGAAGGTGGTCACCCCTCTGGTTTCCTCAGGAAGGATCTGCCAAGAGCCTGTCTCGGGCCTTCCCTGGGCCCATCCGTGGAGGCCTGAGCCGGCTCACATGTCTAGGGTAGAACACAGGAACCCCCAGGCTGGGATGTGCAAAAAGGGGAGGTGAAACTCCCCCTGGGCTGGGGCGCTTCTTGGGTGCAGGAGCACATGAACAAGCCCACTCTGGGAAGTGGGCTGCAAGGGGGGTCCTCCCCTTCTCTGTGGCCCCAGGACCAAGGGATAGCATGCTGCCTGCTCTCCCGTTGGCCACCCTGGGCAAAAAGTGCCAGTTGAGCCCAGACAGACCCTTCAGCCCCACCCTCTCTGTCACTCTCCCCTGCCTGGTCCCTTCCTCTGTCTCCTCCCCATCTTTATTGAGCTCTCTCAGGGTCTCCATCTGTCCCTTTCTCAGCACTCCCCCTCAGGTGCCTCCCACCGCCACCCTGGTCCTGTCTCCCAGGACCTGCCTCCCTCCCACTCCCCGAGAGCTGTGCAGGGAGAGGCTCCCTCCCCTACAGCTGACCAGGCACCCAAGAGCCCAAGCCACCCAAACAGGGCACACGCACACAAACAGGGCACACGCACCCAAACAGGGCACACGCACACAAACATGGCACACGCACACAAACTCGGCACACGCACCCAAACAGGGCACACGCACACAAACTCGGCACACGCACACAAACACTGCACACGCACCCAAACAGGGCACACGCACACAAACACGGCACATGCACCCAAACAGGGCACACGCACACAAACAGGGCACACGCACACAAACACGGCACACGCAAACTCGGCACACGCACACAAACTCGGCACACGCACACAAACACGGCACACGCAAACTCGGCACACGCACACAAACTCGGCACACGCACACAAACACTGCACATGCACACAAACACGGCACACGCACCCAAACAGGGCACATGCACACAAACACGGCACATGCACCCAAACAGAGCGCACACACACAAACAGGGCACATGCACACAAACAGGGCACGCAGGGGCTGGTACCTCGGTAGGAGAGCCGCAGGCGGGGCACACTGGGGCCGGGGCTGGGGCCAGAGCTACCCCCATGGAGCAGGAGGCCCCCTAGCAGCCAGCAAATGGCCCAGGCCGAGGGGGCCATGCTGGGGAACTGAGGGCACCGCTGCCGCCTGCCTGCAGAGCCGCCCTCTGGTCCCGCTGGCCGCCGGTTGTAGTTTGCTCTGCTGCCACCAGGCCACCACTTATAAGGCAGTGGCTCCACCCAGTCCTGGGCGGGAAGAGGGGCGGAGGAGAGAAGGAGGCTGGGGCCTTGCCGTCCACCTGCCGCTTCTCCTTCCACCTTGTTGGCCCAGTGCAGGCTTTTGTGCCACACTGGCCAGCTCCCCATTGGGAAGACCTTCCCAGCTAGGGCACAGGCCATGTGTACAGAGATGTCCACAAATGCAGGTCCCCAGGCTCCAGCAAAGTGACAAGTGGGGAGAGAGCCTGGAAGGGAGGTCAGGGATCAGAGGTTAAAGTTGATGGGCTGGGTAGGGGCCTAGCTGGGCTCTGCCTTGTTCTCTGCCCCTCCACTGCCCACAGCAGAGACCTTCCAAACTGGCCCTGCCCCAATTCCAGGATATTCCAGCCCCCTGAAGCTTTGGCCAGACTCTCCAGCTCCCCTGGGTAAGGGTGGAGGGCCATTCCCAGCCCAAGGGGCGCCATGTCCTAGACAGGTGTTTGAGGTCCGGCAACACTTCATAGAGCCAGCAAGAGATGACTGCCCAGCCTCTTCCACCCAGGCCTGTCCCCATCTGGCTTCCAGGCACCCCAGCCTCTCCCCACATCTACATGCCCCATCTCAGCTCACCAGGCTTGCTTTGGGGTAGGGGACAGGGGCATCAGGGGACTCCATGCCGAGGGAACCTCCCCTTGCCCTGCCTCCCTCAGGCCTCCAGTCCTTCCAGAGACTCAGGGTCCAGAGCTTCCCCAGGTCAGTGATGGTTCTTCCCAGGGACCCCATGCCCCATAGGCCCTACAGACACCTATGATCTCTTAGAGGTCACTTCCCCCACCCTGAATACTGACTGGGTGGCGGGGGGCACAGAAAGCCACAGAAGAGGGCCAAAGGGGAAATGGGACTGAGGGCCTGAATCTGGGGTGAGTGACGGGACCTCCCCATGCTCCCTGCCCCAGAACAGTCGCCACCTCACCCCACCCCAGAACCCTACACTCAGAACCTGAGGCCCTGGGCACTAAAGAGATTTTAATTTTGAGCTGGAGTTTGAGTTCCCAGGATTCTAACAGCTCCTGCAGGTTGGGCCTCCCACATGGACCGGCCTGGGCCCTCTGATGGTGGTCAGGGAACTTGCGGGGCACTCAGAGAGGGAAGGACCTGGCCCAGGCCACAGAGCAGGCTGAGAATGGGTCCAGCTCAGCTCTGCCCCTTCCTGGGACCCTCCTTTGCTTCTGGGCGTTGTTGGGAGTATGGGGACCCCACCCTCCTCCCCTACCTCAATCCTGAAATGGAAACAGGTTGGCTTCTTGGGTCAGCATGACAGGTCTCAGAGACCTACAACTCTGCCTCCCTGTCCCCAGCTCCCTTCACTCACACATGCCTTCTTCAGCAGGGGGCTGGCCTGGAGGTGGGCAAGGGGCTGCCCACAGAGGCCAGTGATGGAGCTCAGCCCAGCCCTGCCTCTGGCCCTGCTGGAGAGCCTTGGCCAAGGCCCTTCCATCTCTGGGTCTGCCTCTTCCTCCCAGGGCCAGGGACCAGCCACCCTGGGTGTAAGCAGCCTTCATAACCTGATGAGTGGGCTTGCGCAGGGGCTGCTGTCAGGGTGACCATATCCTGGGACCTTGGAGTGGACTGCTTCTGTCTCTGTTTCCCTGGGGAGGTGTGGCCAGCACACTGCCCAAGCTGGGGCCAACTTCTAACTGGAGACTGAGCTAGGCAGCCCTTCAGCCAGCATGTGACCACCAGCGGCGGGCAGGAGGCCCAACACTCCTCAGCCTGCCAGCCCATCCTGGGGTCTCAGCTCAGCCAGACACCCAGCAGGGGCTGCAGGGAAGCCTGGGTCGACTGGGGAAGGGTGTGGGGGCAGCCTACTCCACACTGCGGAAAGAGCCTGTGGCAGGCTGGGAGTCCGAACTCTACTGTTAATGTGTGTGGCCTCAGTCAGGTCCTCTCCTTCTCTGGGCTTCAGTTTTCCAGGCCTGGGGGCAGAGGGTAGGGATCGTCTCTAAAGGCCCCCCTGCTTGCCAGCTGCAGGTGGGAAAGACCACAAGGGTGCTCCGAATTCGAGGATCAATGGGCCCAGACACGGGCATCGTGTGTCATCTAGTGGACAAAGAAGGAACTGCAGGAGGCCCCCAAACTCGCTGTGTCAGGCCCTGTGTTGGGGTAGCAGGGCCACCCAGCAGAAACAGCAGCCTCTTGAGGACGCTAGCAGTAACCAGGCAAACACAATATAAAGAAGCAGGAGCAGTGGAAGATGCTCCAGTGATTGCTCTTGATGGAGGAAATCAAGGGAGGCTTCATGGAGGAAGCACTATCCAAGCAAAAGCCCAGAAATGGAAAGGATGCAGCAAAACAGGCAAAACTAGGTGATGCATGAAGGATACAAAATGCCATGTACTGGTGGGAGATGGTGAGCTGGGCTGATACCTATGTGAAGTGCGTGTTCATGCAGCAGGTGCCACCAGGTGGATATGTGGAGGGTCACAGCCCAGCCTCTCCCAGCCAGAATTCTGGGGTGGGCATGCCTGGAAGGAATGGATGCCCCCAGTCCCCTCCCCACCAATTTCATGGATGGAACAGGGATATTAGGACAATGCCATGCCCCCTCCACCCCCACGGACCTCCAGCTGCTTGCAGAGGGTGAGCCCCCCCACTTCCCATCAGCCATCCCTCACAGCTCCTCCCGCCCCACCCCAACCCTCCTACAGTATCTTCTGGGGCTTCCATCTGCAAGCAGGGCCATTCATCTCCTCCTCCTGTCCCAGGACCTGTCCCCCTCCCCACCACAGCTGATGAAAAGAGAGCCAGGACGTGGCAGAGCCCTCCTTCCCCCACTGCCCCTTCCTGACAATCCTCACTCCCTTCAACCCGAGCACACGTGGCCCTTGTCTGAGCTTCCCTGGACCCCATATCGCTTCTCAGCTTGGGTCCCTTTCTCTGTTCCCTGGGTGTTGCCCACACCCACCATCTCCCCTGTACTTCAGCTCACTCCTGTCAGGCTCCCACCCCTCTGCTCCACGGAAACCCTCCTGCTCAGGCGGCTGAGGCCTGGGGGCCTGCAAGTTCCCAAACCCTGGGGCCACCAGACAAACCCAAAGTGAGTGAGATTCTACAGAATAACTGGCCTCAGCTCTTCAGAGGTGATGAGGAAACACTGAGGACCGTCACAGGCTGGTGGGGAGTAAGGAGACAGGAGGACGAGGTCACGTTAGTGCCATCTTGGATTGGTTCCTGCTCCAGGACAAGGACTTTAGGACAACTGACAGAACTTCAATAAGCTGTGCAGATTAATTAGCAGTGTTTATGTCAATATTCATTTCCTGTGTTTGATCCTTCTGTGGTTAAAATGTTAACATTTAGGGAAGCTAGGGTACCTGTAAATGGGAGTTCTTTGTACTATTTTTGCAAGCCTGGAATTTCAAAATGAAAAGAAAAAAAGCAAAAAACCCCACTAAAACCTAGTGTTGGGAAGTAAGCTCCACTTCCCAATACCCCACGGCTGAACCTGTGTCTCCTCCCAGCTTCCATATCTCAGGAAATGGCAGTTTGGCCAAAAAGCTAAGGGTCATTTTGGATTTTCTTATTTCTCACCCTTCACATTCAAGCCTTCAGCAAACTCTGTCCATTCTAGTTCCAAAATGTGCCTTGAATCCATGTACCCCTGCCCACTCTCCCCAGCACCCCACTGTACTGGAAGCCACCGGGCTTTCTTGCCCAAAGCCTGCCGCCACTTCAGGCCAGCTCCTAGCTCCGTCTCTCCCACCCCTTTTGCCCTCTGCAGCCATCACCCCTTACATTGACTGGGTCCTCATGGGGCCTGGCACTGCCCATGTCTCCCAAGACTGCTGGGGCTTGGTTTCCAGCCCAACACTGCCTTTCTGCTCCTGAGACCTTCCCAGTCTTTCTCCATGGCCTCCCATGGCTGGTTCCCTGTGGTTCCCCCAGATCTCATGCAGAGTCAGCTCCTCTAGGGAGCTTTCCCAGACCACTGTAACTCATGGGCCCACCATGCCTCCAGTCCCCACTCCAGCCCACGCTGGCTTTCCCACTGTACTCATCTCCTTAAAATTCCACCAGATTAGGCCGGGCACGGTGGCTCACACCTGTAATCCCAGCACTTCGGGAGGCCAAGGTGGGCGAATCACTTGAGCTCAGGAGGTCAAGTCTAGCCTGGGAAACATGGTGAAACCTTGTCTCTACTAAAAATACAAATATTAGCCGGGTGTGGTGGCAGGTGCCTGTAATCCCAGCTACTTGGGTGGCTGAGGCACGAGGATCGCTTGAACCTGGGAGGCAGGGGTTACAGTGAGCCGAGATTGTGCCACTGCGCTCCAGTCTGGTGACACAGCGAGACTCTGTCTCAAAAAAAGAAAAAGGCCGGGCGCGGTGGCTCACGCCTGTAATCCTAGCACTTTGGAAGGCCGAGGCAGGTGGATCACGAGGTCAGGAGATTGAGACCATCCTGGCTAACACGGTGAAACCCCATCTCTAGTAAAAATACAAAAAATTAGCTGGGTGTGGTGGCGGGCGCCTGTAGTCCCAGCTACTCAGGAGGCTGAGGCAGGAGAATGGCGTGAATCTGGGAGGCAGAGCTTGCAGTGAGCTGAGATCGCACCACTGCACTCCAGCCTGGGTGACAGAGTGAGACTCCGTCTCAAAAAAAAAGAAAAAAAAAATCCACCAGATTAGGGACTGGGCCTCACTGTGACATGCCCCAGGATCCAGCCCTGTGCTGTGCGCGTGGTGGGTGTGTGAGTGAACCACTGGGTGGTGCACCGGCTGCTGGTGCTGCCCGATGTGGCGCTTCCTTTTATCCTCGGATGTCACCCTTCCTGGGTCACTCTGGGTGTCTGTAGAGGTCCCCAATTCTCCAGCTCACAAGGGCAGGCCTGAAGGGACTCCTCTCTGCTCCCCTCAGGTCTCTCCAGGGACCAGAAAGCTCTTGCTAGCGCTGGCCTCCATCAGAGGCATTTTTAGAATTCCAAGACCATCTCTGGAATGCCAGGCCTGTCTGGGGAATGCCAAGGCTGGGGCACAGGTGCAGAGAGAGTGGAGTGGCTGGGCGGGGCAAGGTCAGCTGACGGCATTCTGGCTACAGCCTGGGTGCTGCTGGCAGCTGTCCCTCCTGCGAACACCTCTGCTGACACTTCCACTTCCTTGCAGCCCCCAACGCCCACGCCTCCAAGACAGCATCACTGTCTGGCGGCAGCTCTGGACTGGGTGCTCCCACTAAGCTGAGAGCTGCCAGGCCTTGGGCCTCCATCCCTGCCAGGGAGAGAGACTGGGCCACAAGAGATGAGCCTCTGAGGTTCACGGGAACTGGAAATCATGTCCATTTGGATGTGGCCCATCCGACAGGGCCCTTGGCTGGAAGCCAGTTGGCTCTGCTCTCCCCCACACTCACTGGATGACCTTGACAGGTCCCTGCACCTCTCTGGGCCAAACAGGTGAGGGGAGATAGAGCCGACTCCATGCCCCTCTGTCCCTGGGAGTCAATGTTGCTGGCAGGAAATACAAGCAAGTGGGCGGGTGGACTAGCACTGTGAGCCTGCAGGGACCCCACAGGCTCAGCTCCATTCCAGCCACGGCTGAGAGGTAACAGGGGTTGCTGTGCCAGGGAGCATCCAAGGGCCTGGCTGTGTACCACAGTGAACCACTCTCTCCAAGTAGAGGACCCCTAGGCTGCCACAGTGGTTGACCAAAGTGATGGCCCCCAGGAACTTGTGGGGGTTCTAGGCCCCCACAGACTCCAGATGCTGAATCCCTAGAGATGGTGCCTGGGCCTGAGGAGTGATAGAGGGCAGCAAGCAGGGCAGGCCACACGGCAGTCTCCGATCTCATCTCACCCCCCTGCAGAAGGCAGTGTGGAGCGGTGGTCAGGCGCCAGGCTCTGCAGCCAGCCTGCCTAGGACAGGGAAGGAAGCGGCCATTGGGTAAGAGTGGGTCCTGGGGATGAGTCCACGGCCCAGGGACACCAGAGCCAGATAGCAGACCTTGGGAGAGCAGGCTTTATTTGCATCCCCCAGGACAGATCTGGGGAGGGAGTCGGGGGATTTGGGGTTGAGGACATGGCCAGGCTCAGGTCCTGGGACCCCGACCCCCTCCCCAACCCCAGGACTCAGCTGGAGTTGGAGGCTGGGCATAGGCAGCTCTGGGTGAAGGTCAGCATCTACTCCACACCCTTCATGAACTCCAGGAACTCTGTGGAAAGAGGGGCAGGTGTGGGTTGAGGGTAGGGGCTGGGCAGGGCATGGAGGCAGGAGATCAGCCCACCCACCCGCTTACCATCATAGTCGATGCGGCCGTCGTTGTTCTTGTCTCCGTCCTTCATGAGCTCCTCGATGTCGTCCTCCGTGATGGTCTCGCCTGTAGCCTGCAGCATTATCTTCAGCTCATCCAGGTCGATGTAGCCATCAGCATTTCTGTGGGGAGGGGGCTCAGGGTAGGGCTGTGGGGAGGGCATGAGGCAGCCCCACCCATGCCCCAGGAGGCAGAGCAGGGACACTGGGAGATGGGGCATCCCTCTCCCCTATCAGGCAGAGGCCACAGGGTCCCTAGGCCTGGAATCTGAGACTGCCCTCCTGTACAGCTCGGCTTGAGTGTGGGTCAGGGTCAGAGGTCAAGGGTCACGTGCTCACTTGTCAAACATGCGGAAGAGGTCAGACAGCTCCTCCTCAGATTTCCCTTTGCTGTCGTCCTTCATGCACCGAACCATCATGACCAGGAACTCATCAAAGTCCACCGTGCCGCTGCCTGGGGGTGGGCAGCATGGCCGTTACAGAGGCCAGGGTAGGTACTGCAGGCAGCACCTTCGACACGAACCCCCATGTTCTCACCGCATCCTCACACCAAACGCCAGGCTTGTGTAGCCCTTATGCCCATTTTATAGATGAGGCAACCAAGGCTCGGATAGGCTAAATTGCTCCCAGCTAAACAGAGCCAGCATTCCAGCCCCCAGCCAGCTGGGGTTCTTCTGGAGCCTGGGGAGGAGGGGGCTCACCGTCCTCGTCCACCTCATCGATCATCTCCTGCAGCTCCTCAGGGGTGGGGTTCTGGCCCAGCATCCTCATCACCTTGCCCAGCTCCTTGGTGCTGATGCAGCCATCCTCAGCGCCCAGCACGAAGATGTCGAAGGCTGCCTTGAACTCTGTGTTCAGGGGTTGGGGGGCACAGTAGTCAGGGCTCAGCAGCCAGGACCACGGAGGGCCAGAACCCTGGGGCCACCTGCCAACCTGCCCACCTCCCTCGGAGACCTCTCTGAGGGCAGAGCAAGAGGGACCAAGCCTCTGGTCTCTGGCCTGGGGTCCTCTTCTGATAAGGGGTCCCCATGCCAGCCTGGACCCGCTGGTCTCCCACATGTGTGATAGGGATTCTCACCATTTTTCTGCTCTTCTGTCAGCTGCTCTACCTAGAAAGGAAAGGGAATCTCAAGGCTCAGACTCAGGTATAGCTGCTGCTGAGGAAACCAACCCATTCCACAGGTGAGAAGGCTGGAGCTGGAGGAGGCAGGCTATTTCCAGGCCACAGAGTGGAGGTCTCAGTCCTCCCTCCCTGCCCCCAAAGCCCTGACGTGACCCAGCTGGCCTCACTGCGACTGGGCTCAGGGCCAGGGTGACAGGTGGGCACCCCCTTCAGGACCAAGGTGACCCTCAGTAACAATAGTCAGTGACCACTCAATGCCCTTTCGGCCCCTGATGAAACTCAAGCTGGGTGGCCCGAAGGACAGCTGTCCCTCAAGTTGGGATAATAAAACCAGTGTGGAGGCAGGCAAGCCACCCACGGTAACCTGACCAGGGTGGCCACTGGGCTATTTTTAACGAGGAACAAAGTTAAACCTGGTGATTGTTCTGGGGACTTTGGCATGCAGGGGGTGGGGCAGCGTTATCTGGCCCCCTGGCCTGCTAGTGCCGCCTCAGAAGCCAAAATTAGTCCCCAACTCCGCCAGGCCTTGTATGGGCACTGGGTGGAGGGCTGTCCCAACCCCGGCTCCATGGACTCCCACAGGATAAGCAGGCGTGCCCCCAGAGCTGGCTATAGCACTTCCCTGCCCAGGAGTGAGGGAGGCTGAGGGAGGGGTTCCCCTGGGGACAGCTGGCCATGCCAGGATGTCCTTGCTCTGGGGTTGGGGGAGGTCACCACCACCCAGGATAGAATAGCATCTGAAGACCCTCAGTGACCCAGGAGGTTGCAGGGGCTTGGGGTGACCACTCTCCAGCCCTCATTCCCTCGCTCTCACCCCTAGCTAAGCCACTGAGCCCTGAGCCTGCCAGGCATGATGGGAGCTGGGGCCCCAGTTCTCTGTTCCTTCTTCCTTGGTTCTCCCTCATGTCCAGAACTTCCCTGCCTCAAACTTCAAAGCCCCATCTCCAGCCCAGGACTCAGGCTCTACAGACCCCTCCTCTCACACCCTCCACCCTCCAAAGCATCTTCGGCCCGCCAAGGGGCTGGAGTGGGGTGGCAGATTTTGAGCATGTGAGAAGCAGAATGTGAGGGGCAGAAATGGGGGTTGGGGACAGGGAGACAGTAATGGGGACTCAGACAGCTCAGGAGGAAGAGATGAAAAGAGAAAGGCAAAAACGTCCAGAGACAAATGCAGAGACATGTGGCTGAGCGACAGTGCCACAGACCACAGACACTTGGAAACAGAGAGTGAGACACGATGCTGAAAGCTGCAACCTCCTCCACCACCCTTCAGACCCGGAACCCCCTACCCCTTCTGCATCCTCAAACACCAGAATCACTGTCCCTGTGAGGGCCTGGGTTGAAGGCACGTAGGCCTTCTCCTTGGTCCCCACCACTTCCCTGGGGCTACTAACCCCGCACTCTCAGCTGAGTGAGCCCCCAGTGGGCCTGCCCACCCCAGCCCTACCCAGCCCTGTCCCTCACCGCAGCCTTGTAGATGTCATCCATGCTGGCGGCTCACAGGACAGCTTGCTGGGGTTGCCAGCCGGCCCTTGACTTAAATAGCCCTGCCCCGCTGCATTCCTGGCCCAGCCCAGCCCAGCCCAGCCCACCCCTGCGTGTAGTATCCTCCAGCCCCTCCTCTGGTCCCAGTGATCTCAGGCTGGCCTGAGTCCCCACGTCCTCTGCCCAGGGCAGGGAGCAGACGAACGGCTACAAGGACCAGGTTTCTTTCCCTCCTGTCCCCCACACTCCCCAAAGGGACTCTCTGAAAAGGTTTCTGGAATGAATGAAAACATAAGCCCAGTGCAGGACAGGAGCTACAAAGTCGTGGGCCCCAGGCAAGGTGCAACACAACAGCTCAGGCTCCCATCCAACCAGGTTGGCGGGTTGCCATGACCTCCACTTTCCAGATAAGGAAACTGAGGCTCTGGAGGAGTGGTGACTTGCCCAAGATCTGACTGACTTGGTAACCCCCGCCTTTAACTAAACCTCTCTGGAATGGGGGTGCAATGTGCAAGGAGAGGCTAGGAGTGCAGGGCCCTGCCAAGAGAAGCCTCGAATGCCAAGCTCATAGTAAGATGCTGTGGAACTGGTGAAGGAGGAAGTGACTGACCCACCTTAGGACAGGGTGGCCAGGAGCCCTTCTGCCAGAGGAGCCTGTCCCAGACCTCCCATCTGCCCAGGGAGAAGTACCCACTTCGGGCTTAAGTCAGCTGCTCTCAGTTATTCAACAGCACCCCTATAGATGCCCCATCTGTGGCAGGCTCTTTCCCTCCTCACCCTCCAATTAGGTTACCACCTCCCTCTTCTAGGTCTCATCTTTCCCCGGTTTAGGATTCAGCACTGTAGTTCCTGGGTCCAGATCAACCTGTCTCCCTCGTTTTGAACTTTGGCAGGCCACCCCGTGGGGTTCTTGTGCTCAGTGGCAGCACACACCCCTCCATCCACCTACACCTTCCTTCGTACAGAGTTCGTATCAAGTTTATCCCTCTTGATAAACACGCTCCCTGCCTCGAGCACTACTGCGTGCTGGGCCGCGCATCAATCAACCCACTCAGTTGTCCAGAAGCCCCACTGACAAGAGATCTCCGAATCTCAGAGAGGTTCAGAACTGGCCCAGAATCACTCTCGCCCTGCTCCGGCGGTAAGCACAGGTCCTATTTTCCCCTCCAACCTGCCTTGCCCTAAAGAGAAAGAGCCCAACAGCCAGGTGAGGCACTATTATGGCCTCCTTTATCAGGAGGAGTAAACTGAGGCCAGGAAGAGCAGTGACTTGCTTCGTGTGGCCTGGGAGACTCGGGACCTTCTGTCCCCTCTTCCCGAGGACCCAGGGGCGATGCCCAGAGCTGTCACCACCCGGGGTCTCAGTTTCTAGCAGGCTGTGCAGGGTACCGCCGGCGGCGCCACGCAGGTAGATTACGCAAGCGAGCACCTCGCACGCGCGCCCTGAGTGGCCCCTGTCAGTCACGCGCGGGGGCGGGGCGAGGGCGCAGGAAGAAGGCGGGGCCAAGATGGCGGCGCAGCGCGCGGCGGGGGCGACGGGCGGCGGGGGCCGGGGGGCGGTGGGACGTTGACCCCGCCCCCTGCTGCTGCTAGTCTGCGCCGGGCGGCGGTGGCGGCGGAGACCCGAACATGGCGACCGCGCGCACCTTCGGGCCCGAGCGGGAAGCCGAGCCGGCCAAGGAAGCGCGCGTCGTGGGCTCGGAGCTTGTGGACACTTATACGGTGTGTTGGGGGCGCGGGCACCCGAAGCGGGGGTGGTGGCTGGAACCGGGAGTCCGACTCGGGGGCTTGGGGAGGGGTCCGGGATCTGCAGCCCCGAGGAGCGGGTAGAAGGGTCTGCGATTGCGAGGAGGGGGCTGGGACGGGGGATCTAGGAAAGGGATCTGGGCCCCGCAGGTCCGGGAGAAGGGTTGCTCGGGGCCCGGGGAGGCGGTTTGGAAAAGGGTACGCGATCAGAAAGGGAGGCTCGGGTTGGGGGCGGCATCTGGGGATAAAGGGGGCTTGGGGAGGGGGGTGTCTAGATGAGGCGGAACCCCTCTAGATCCTCTAGGACTGGAGGGGCCCCGGCCTGGAAGACCGTTACAGGGGTCCAGGAGGAAGGCGATGGGGAGAGGGTCTCTGATGGATGGAATCAGGGAAAAGGGTCAGGCTTCGCAGGCCTTGAAGAAAGAGAAGGCGTCAGGACCCTGATCTGGGGAGCCTGAGGTGGTGGTTGAGATTTTCTCTGAGAAGTGCAGGAGAGACCTGGGGAGCAGATGCCTTGGGGGTCGGGCGGAGACAAGACCGGAGGAGGGGTGGAGCCCATCTATGGAGAAATGGGGGTGGTCTCAGTGCTAAAGCGCAGGCCCTATAAGCCTTAGGAATCTTCGTGACTTTGGGCTGTGGGAGCGAGATGGGGCAACAAGCTGCCCACACACACTTCTAAGCTATGGGGGAGACAGAGGACAAATAGCGGGTAGTTCCCGACTTTGACGGGGTTGGATGCCAGGCCTGTGAGCCTGGTGGGCTGCCTGGCAAAAACCGGCCCTGGACTAGGCATAGAGCACCTCCCTGCCTCCTCCCCTTTGTTCCCGCAGGGTAGGGAGTGGGTGGGGGCCTTGGGCCTGCCTGCACCTCCCCTCCCTGGCCCTCATCCTAACCTTCCGCTCTGAGGGCCATTCTTCTGGCTCTTTTCTCCTTTCCTGAAGGCAAGGGGAAGGAATCAGGCAGGATGGGAAGAGGAGAGGGGTGGATCTTGAAGCAACAGGCCAGCCTGGAGAAATGGCTGCTCCTCAGGGCTGGAGGAGGCTTCAGCTCCATGCTGCAGAGAGGAGGGGGAAACTAGGTGCAGGAGGCGGGTGAGGTCTCTAAGCTGATGGCTGACTGGCCATCAGCTATGGGCACATTCAGCCAGAGGGCCATCTTCAAAAAGCTCACCCTATTCTGGACTGCGCCCCTCCTCTGCATGTATGTCGGGGGAGGTGGTGATCTAGTTTGGACCCTACCATCCTCTGTCTCCGGGTGTGCCGAGTTGGACATTATTAACACACCTACCTTTTGAACACTTGCCATGGGTCAGGCCCATGTACAAAGCATTTTACATGCATTGCCTTACTTGGTCCTTGATTCTAAGATGGAGGAACTAAGGCTCAGAGAGAACTTAGGCTCCAAGTTACTTATATAAGTGACACATAAGCTGCAGCCAGGAAATGGCAGAACCAGGTTTTTAACCCAGGCCTTCCTTAACCTCTAGGCCATATTGCCTCCTGATAGAGCTTAGTTGCTACCACTCCCTCCCCACATCAGCTGCTTGTGCCTTGATTCCTGGCTCAGCAGCAGAAATCACAGCCATGAACCAGTTGAAAGGGTTGGAAAATGACTTGCTTCCAGGAGGTAGTCAGGGCACCTGGAAAGAAGTACAACAGAGAAGATGCTCAGGCTAGAACTGGCCCTGCTCTGCCTCCCTTGGAAGAAATGGCCTTGCCTGCAGCTCCGGTTGGGTTTTGAGTTACCTAGAGGCAGGAGGTAAAAAACTAAAGAGGTGACTTGTGGTAATCACCTTTTTCATTCCTTACTGATGGATGGAGCCACATGCTTGTCTCATGTGCCTCCCAGCCCTAGTGCTTGGGCCATGGAGGAAGCTGAGAGGGGCCCTGCTGGTCAGCAAGGGTCAGGTGCAGAGGCTGGTGGGCAAGGGCAGCCTGACTTTGGCCTTGGGGTGGGTCTGAGTTGCAGAGAGAAAGACTGATAAAAGATAATTGGGAAAGATAATTGCAGCTTTTGCTGCTGGGGGAGGAGACTCCTTGTTGCTGGGCTCCCTTGCCACAAGGGCTGTTGGTTTCCCCTTTTAGGTTTACATCATCCAGGTCACTGATGGCAGCCATGAGTGGACAGTAAAGCACCGCTACAGCGACTTCCATGACCTGCATGAAAAGGTAACTGTTAAGAGCTGGGAGCACGTATCTCAGGGCTGGGGGACCCGTAGGCCAACTTTCCATTGTGCCACATATTAGTTTTAGGGCAAAACAGGTTCCATCTCTATAGTTCTTTAATAAACCACTTTGTTAATATAACTGCGTTCATTAATATAGCATGTAAATGCTAGCCTTCAGCTCTAGCATGAGCCACTCTGCAAGGAGCATATTTGAATTTCAGTTTTAATATTTCCAGTCCTAGCTTGGGTATGAGATGCTCAGACAGTTTCCTGGGAAGGGGACAGGTTTGAACTTGTTTGATCTAGCGATAGCTATTCCAAAGCCTTACTTTAATATCTGGCTGTGATTCCATCTCTTTTTTTTGCTTTTGGAGATGCTGTCTTTCTCTGGGTCATTTGCAGCATAACTGTTTTAAAGACACACCGCTGCCCTGATTGGTTTTTACTCTGGCTTGGAAAAGATGGCAATTTTAGGGGCAAAAGGTGTTACTTTTCTGAATGTCTCTAAAGTCTCCAGATGGAATTCCTTGTCTAGAATTGTATTGGTATTTCTAATGCTAATTGGATTTAAAGAGGCCAAATCCCAGGTGCACTAGTTTGGTCACTGATTTTGGTACTACTGCAGGGAGGGGCTGTGCAAGTGCTGACAAGCGCCTGCCCTCAAGCTTCTTGCCTTGGTCTTACATAGGCACAGAGCCTCTTAGTCTGTGGTTGATGTGCTTATGTTTTTTTACAGCTCGTTGCAGAGAGAAAGATTGATAAAAATCTGCTTCCGCCCAAAAAGATAATTGGGAAAAACTCAAGAAGCTTGGTGGAGAAGAGGGAGAAGGATCTGGAGGTCTACCTCCAGAAGCTCCTGGCTGCCTTCCCTGGCGTGACCCCCAGAGTACTGGCCCACTTCTTGCATTTTCACTTCTATGTAAGTTCCTCATCGGGTTTTCACCTGTGCCTGCAAACCCACAACTGCCAAACTTGAGGCAGCAAACCAGGGGAGACCTCAGCTTTGAGGTGGGCTGGGGTTTGACCCTAGGTTAGAAGATGGAGGAACGTCACCCTGGTTAGGAATGCATTGTGGCCAGAAGCATGTTAGTTGACAGATTTGCCGTAAATTAGACTAAATGTGGCCACAGAGATGCTTTCCTCCACCACAAGGCATTTTGTTTAGCAAAAATGGCCTGTGGGTGTTTAAGCTAGGTTTCCATCCAGATGGATGAGGCTGGATTAGAAATAGCTGACACCTGGGATAGACTATTGTTGAGTTGTTGGTGCATAGCCCAAAACTAATTAAGGGATTAGTCTGTGATGGTGGAATATCACCATCTTGGGGCGTGTCATCAGGGTCCGCGCTGCCAGGGTGCTAAGGTTGAGGGTGGACACCTTCCTGTGATGGGAGAGTGTGTCATAGAACAGCTCTGTACTCCGTCCTTGAAAGAGGAACAACTTTCATAGGTTGCCGGTGACAGAATGCGTTGTCAGACTTTAAGAAGGGCACTTAGGCAGTGTGAAACCACAATATTTGTGCTTTTGAGACGGAGTCTTGCTCTGTCACCTAGGCTGGAGTGCAGTGGTGCGATCTCGGCTCACTACAACCTCCGCCTCTTGGGTTCAAGCAATTCTCCTGCCTCAGCCTCCCGAGTAGCTGGGACTACAGACTTGCACCACCACACCCAGCTAATTTTTGTATTTTTAGTAGAGATGGGGTTTCACCATGTTGGCCAGACTGGTCTGGAACTCCTGACCTCAAGTGATCTGCCTGCCTCAGCCTCCCAAAGTGCTGGGATTACAGGCGTGTGCCACCGCACCTGGCCAAAACCACAATATTAAATAGCAGTTCTATTTATGAGAATTTCTTCTAAGGAAAAATCAGGCAGCCGCAAAAAGGATATATGAACAAAGGTAGTCATTCCAGGATTGTAACAAAATAGTAAGGACAACCCTAAAGTCTAGTAGAAGAGGTTAAAAAAAAAAAATCAGGCCAGGTGCAGTGGCTCATGCCTGTAATCCCAGCACTTTGAGAGGCTGAGGTGGGCAGATCACTTGAGGTCAGGAGTTCAAGACCATCCTGGCTAACATGGTGAAACCCTGTCTCTACTAAGAATACAAAAATTAGCTGGGTATGGTGGCAGATGCCTGTAATCCCAGCTATTTGGGAGGCTGAGGCAGGAGAATCGCTTGAACCCAAGAAGCAGAGGTTGCAGTAAGTCGAGATCATGTCACTGCACTCCAGCCTGGGCAACAGAGTGAGAGTAAGACTTCATCTCAAAAAAAAAAAAAAAAAAAAAAAAAATCAAAGGGTACAGCCAGGCTGAGCACAGTGGCTCATGCCTGTGATCCCAGCTCTTTGGGAAAATAAAACAAAAAAGAAATCTGCAGCTCCACCATCATTATCCCAGCAGCACACCAGTCTTCCCAGCAGACACTGTCTCAAAAAAAATGCAACTTTCTTAAGCAGTATCCAACTGTATGGCTGTACTATTTTTTTTTTTTTTTTTTTGAGACAGGGTCTCACTCCATTGCTCAGGCTGGAGGACAGTGGCCTGATCATGGGTCACTGCAACCTCAAACTCCTGGGCTCAAGGGATCTTCCTGCCTCAACTTCCCAAGTAGCTGGAACTACAGGTGCATGCCACCACACCCAGCTAATTTTAAAAATTTTTTTGTAGAGATGGGGTCTTGCAGTATTGCTCAGGTTGGCCTCAAACTCGAACTCAAGCCATCCTCCCACCTCTGCCTCTCAAAGTGCTTAGACTGTAGGTGTGAGCCACTGCACCTGGCTGACTATGGTCTCATTTTTACAAAAAACAAGTTGATATGGACATATTTGTCTAGGAAAATTCTAGAAGGTTTACGTATACCAAAATGCTAAGAGTAGTTTTCTCTGAGTGATAGATTTTCAGATAATTTATATTTACTTGTTTTCCTTTTATATGATGAAGACAGGGAAGAATCCACTCCCTTTTCAGGCTCACCTTGAAGTAACCTGTGGATTATGGTCCTAAAAGCCCAGCTGTATTTAAAATACAACTTTCTTGGCCAGGTGCAGTGGCTCACGCCTGTAATCCCAGCACTTTGGGAAGGCCCAGACAGGCAGATCACTTGAGGCCAGGAGTTCGAGACCAGCCTGGCCAACATAGCGAAACCCTGTCGCTACTAAAAATACAAAAATTAGCTGCGCGTGGTGACTCATGCCTGTAGTCCCAGCTACTCAGGAGAGAGGCATGAGAGTCGCTTGAACCTGGGAAGGGGAGGTTGCAGTGAGCCGAGGTTATGCCACTGCACTTCAGCATGGGCCACAGAGACTCTGTCTCAAAGAAAAAAACAAAAACAGAAGAAACAACTTCCTTAAACTCTTTTCAGAGTAAGACAGTTGAACCTTTCTTGGATCACTAAAGAGCCTAGAAATTTGGTGGCGAGTGCTAACCTGGGGCCACTGAGCTTGGCAGGGACAGGTGGAAAAGTAGATAGCATTCACAGATGGGACCTGTGTATATGCTTTGGATTTTATTTAGCATATACCAGCAAGTATAGGGTTAGCAACATACCCTTTCGTAAACATATTTTTATACTTTCTTATGTGAGAAAAAATTTGCATTCCTTATGCAAGTCTTTCAGATAAACTTTACTGGTTAGTATTTTAAGAAATAATGTACTTTAAAGGCCGGGCGCAGTGGCTCACGCCTGTAATCCCAGCACTTTGGGAGGCCGAGGCGGGTGGATCACGAGGTCAGGAGATCGAGACCATCCTGGCTAACACGGTGAAACCCCGTCTCTACTAAAAATACAAAAAATTAGCCAGGCATGGTGGTGGGCTCCTGTAGTCCTAGCTACTCGGGAGGCTGAGGCAGGAGAATGGCGTGAACCCGGGAGGCAGAGCTTGCAGTGAGCCAAGATCGTGTCACTGCACTCTAGCCTGGGCGACAGAGCAAGACTCCGTCACAAAAAAAAAAAAAAAAGAAATATTGTATTTTAAGAAAGCTTTGGTTAGCCATTTAGGGATGAAACCTGACATGCAGTCCTTTGACGGTATTAATTCCTTGCTTGAGACCTATGCCTTTGAGGAGAGGAGGTCTCGCTGGCTGCCTCACGTGTGCCTGGCTCTGAGGGTGGAAAGGCCTGGACTGCTCTTTTGAAACTGGTTTGCCTGAGATGTGCCTGGGGCCGGCTACATCTGGTTCTGGTTTGAGGCAGGCTCCGCTACTTGTAGAAGTTTTGACATATTTGGAATTAGTATTATCAAACAGGTCCCTAGGTTATATAAATCCTAGGATTTAAAAAAGCAATTGAACCCATCGTTGGATTAAACCCACAGTTGATCAGCCATAGCACTGTTGACATTTTGGACTGGATAATTTGTTTCTGTAAGGAGCTGTCCCATGCATTGTTTAGCAGCACCCTGGCTTCTACCCACTGGATGCCAGTAGCACTTCCCCACCCAGCTATGGCAACTAAAGATGTCTCCAGACATTGCCAAATGTCCCACTGGGGGGCAAAATTGCCCCCCACTTGAAAACCACTGGATTAGATCTTCATTTGGGGCCTAAAGATTTGTCAGCCTTTTCTCCAGGCTGGGAGCTCTCTGGGGAATGTTTCTCTTAACTTTTATACTGTCTGTATCCTCTCTGAAATTGTTCCACATGTGTTCTGCCTCTTGTGTTGCTGACATTGGATAGGGTGGACCCAGGGAACCCTATTTGGCTATGGTGTGAATTTTTTTATTTTTATTTTTTGAGACGGAGTTTCGTTCTTACTGGCCAGGCTGGAGTGCAGTGGTACGATCTCGGCTCACTGCAACCTCCACCTCCCAGGTTCAAGTGATTCTCCTGCCTCAGCCTCCCGAGTAGCTGGGATTACAGATGGCCCGCCACCACACCCAGCTAATTTTTTGTATTTTTAGTAGAGACGGGGTTTCACTATGTTGGTGAGGCTGGTCTCAAACGCTTGACCTCGTGATCCACCTGCCTCAGCCTCCCAAAGTGCTGGGATTACAGGCATGAGCCACCACGCCTGGCCATGGTGTGGATTTTTAAAAATTGAGATATAATTTACATACCATAAAATTAACTTTTTAATGTGTACAATTCAGTAGTTTTTAGTATATTCACAAAGTTGAGCGACCATCACCACTATCTAATTCCAGAACATTTCATCAGCCCAAAAAGGAACCTGTACCTGTTAGCAGGAGCTTCCCATCCCTCTGTCCCCCAGCCCCTGGCAGTCACTAATCTACTTTCTGTCCTTATGGATTTGCCTGTTCTGGACATTTCATATAAATAGAATCATACAGTGTGTGGCCTTTTGTGACTGGCTTCTTTCATTTAGCCTTATCTTTTCAAGGTCCGTTCATATTGTAGCATGAATCCATTGGTCCTTTTATGACGGAGTAATAGTGTATTATTTGGATATGCCACATTATGTTTATTTATTAGCAGTTGATGGATGTTAGGTTTGTTTCCATTTTTGGCCATTGCAAATGATGCTGCTATGAGCATTTGTATGTTAATTTTTGTGTGAACTTATGTTTTCATTTTTGTTGGATATATAGCCAAAAGTGGAACCTGAGTTATATGGTAACTATGTTTGACTTTTTGAGAAACTAACAAATTGTTCTCCACAGTTGTTGCACCATTTGACGTTTCCATCGGCAGTGTATAGGTTCTAATTTCCCCACATTCTTGCTTAACACTTCTTGTCCATTTTTTTTTAAATCTTAGTTGTTCTGGTGGGTGTGAAGTGGTATCTCATTGTGGTTTTAATTTACATTTCCCTAATGACTAATGTTATTGAACCTCTTTTTTTTTTTTTTTTTTTTTTTTTCTGAGACAGAGTCTCGCTCTGTCGCACAGGCTGGGGTGCAGGCATGTGATCCCGGCTCACTGCAACCTCTGTCTCCTGGGTTCAAGCGATTCTCGTGCCTCAGCCTCCCGAGTAGCTGGGACTACAGGCGTGCACCACCACGCCTGGCTAATTTTTGTATTTTTTTCATTAGAGACGGGGTTTCACCATGTCGGCCAGGATGGTCTCGAACTTCTGGCCTCAAGTGATTCGCCCACCTTGGCCTCCCAAAGTGCTGAGATTACAGGTGTGAGCCACCACACCTGGCCTGAGCCTCTTTTCATATGATATTTGGCCATTTGTGTATTTTCTTTGGAGAAAAGTATCCAATTCTTTGTCTTTTTAAAAATCAGATTGGGCCGGGCGCGGGTGGCTCATGCCTGTAATCCCAGCACTTTGGAAGGCTGAGGTGGGCGGATCACTTGAGGCCTGGAGTTCGAGACCAGCCTGGCCAACATGGAGAAACCCTGTCTCTACTAAAAATACAGAAATTAGCCGGGCATGGTGGTGTGTGCCTGTAATCTCAGCTCCTCGGGAGGCTGACGCACAAGAATGGCTTAAATCTGAGAGGCGAAGATTGCAATGAGTGAGACCACACCACTGCACTCCAGCCTGGGTGACAGAGTAAGACTGTCTAAAAAAACAAAAAAAACAAAAAAAACAGATTATCTTTGTTGTTGAGTTGTAAGAGTTCTTTATATATTCTGGCTACTAGACTTTTAGAAACATGCAAATACTTTTTCACATTCTGTGAGTTGTCTTTTTTTTTTTTTTTTTTTTTTTTTGAGACAGATTCTTGCTCTGTTGCCCAAGCTGGAGTATAGTGGCGTGATCTCGACTCACTGCAACCTCCACCCCTGGGGTTCAAGCGATTCTCGTGCCTCGGCCTCCCAAGTAGCTGGGACTACAGGCGTACGCAACCACGTCTGGCTGATTTTTGTATTTTTAGTAGAGATGGGGTTTTACCATGTTGGCCAGGCTGGTCTTGAACTCCTGACCTTAGGTGATACACCTGTCTCAGCCTCCCAAAGTGCCGGCATTACAGCCTGAGCCACCACATCCGGCCTGCCCAGCTAATTTTTCTATTTTTAGTAGAGACAGGGTTTTACTATGTTGGCCAGGCTGGTCTCGAACTCCTGACCTTAGGTGATCCACCTGCCTCAGCCTCCCAAATTGATGGGATAACAGGCGTAAGCCACCATGCCCGGCCATCTTTTCATTTTCTTGATGGTCTTCATTGAAGCACAAAAGATTTAGATTTTGATTAAGTTCAATTTATCAATTTCTTTGGTCACTTGTGTTTTGGTATCATACATGAGAAACCATTGCCCAATCCAAGGTCACAAAGATTTATAACAATATATTCCTGTATGGATTTTGTTTGTTTTTTGAGACAGGGTCTTGCTCTATTGCCTAGGCTGGAGTGCAGTGGCACCATCTCGGCTCACTGCAGCCTCAACCTCCCAGGCTCAAGCACTCCTCCCACCTCAACCCCCCAAGTAGCTGGGACTACAGGCATATGCCACCGTACTTGGCTAATTTTTGTACTTTTTGTGGAGATGGGGTTTCTCCATGTTGCCCAGGCTGGTCTCGAACTCCTGGGCTCAAGTGATCCACCCACCTCGGCCTCCCAAAGCGCTCGGTTTACAGGCGTGAGCCACCACACCCAGCCTGCAGTGTGGATTTTAATAACAAGGAAAGAAAGCACTACTTGTTTACCAGCCCACTTTAGGTGGGAGCGCAGGGGTTGCCGCCTGTATGAGTGAGGGGCACACTGTGGCACTGGCCTGTTGCTATGCTGCTCTTCAGATTGCTGTGTCCTGACCCTCCTGGACGCGTGGTGACAGGCCTCATCCCAGAACCCCTGGAACAGAGGTTTCCAAACTCAGTGAAATGGAATCCCATCCGGAATTCTAGCACACCATGTGGGCCGGGACCTCCAACTGTGGTGGACTTGGAGGCAGGCAGAGGCGAGTTTATCTCCCACCCCTACTTCCCAACGGTTTAGTCCAAGTCAGTCATTTAACCTGCCTGTGAGCTGGAGGCTGGTGAGCTGGGGTCCTTGTGAGGCCTGCAAGAGACTGTGCAGTGAAGGTCAATGGCTTAGAAGAGTGTTGGGCCTGAGGTTAGGGCTGACCATGTGCTAGCCATTACTAGGTGGTTCGGGAAAGAAAAGGAATTCATTTCTCTTGAAAGGTGTTTATATTGTTGTCTTCTTTTAAAGTTAGTTGGCTAGAACAAAGATCCTTTTCAAAATTTGGAATCAGGGGCTATGTTGAACTGTTACAATCTTAGCATTGGCTTTAGCATCCAATTTATTTCCATAATTTGTTTTAGTTGCAAAGTACTGAGGCTGTGAATTACAACAGATTTTCTTTTGAACTTACAGTCTTGCAACTCTCTTCAGTTAAAGCTGAGGTTTGAATCCATCAATGGGGAATTTTAGCTTAAAGTTGAATCACACATATTATGCCTGACTCCTGCTAGAATGCCTCATACCAACATAAATTAAAGTGAGACGAGGAGGGCCGGGCATGGTGACTCACGCCTGTAATCCCAGCACTTTGGGAGGCTGAGGCAGATGGATCACAAGGTCAGGAGTTCAAGACCAGCCTGGCCAACATGGTGAAACCCCTTCTTCACTAAAGATACAAAAAATTAGCCAGGCATGGTGGCACCCACCTGTAATCCCAGCTACTCCAGAGACTCAGGCAGGAGAATTGCTTGAACCCAGGAGGCGGAGGTTGTAGTGAGCCGAGATCGCGCCATTGCACTCAGCATGGGTGACAGGGCAAGACTCCATCTCAAAAAAAAAAAAAAAAAATAGTGAGACAAGGATTCCAGCTCTTAGCATGTGTGTCTCAGCCACACTTGGGGATGGCCTCAGTGACATGTAATTCACTCGCTGGTTAGTGCCCCACAGATAAGCACGCTGCCTGGGTGTGTGCCAAGCCGAAGCATCTAGGCCTGGCCTGGGGTTTGCATTGAGTGTAGGTGTATGTGTTTTGAAGTATACTTGGTTGCAGGGCATGTGCGCAGGCATTCTTAGTGAGAATTTAAGTTGCAGGACCACAGCCCAGCTAGTGTTTACATGAAGCTCAAACCTTTGCCCACGGCTACACACCAACACAGAATCCCGGCAGGTGGTGGGCAGGTGGTGCGGCTGATCTCTTGGTCAGTAACACACTGGGAGGGTGAGTGTTAACAGTTTGTAAACATAGCTGACACTAAGTTTCTTTTTCTTTTTTTTTTTTTTTTTTGAGACAGAGTCTCACTCTTGTTGCCCAGGCTGGAGTGCAATGATGCAATCTCGGCTCACTGCAACCTCCACCTCCTGGGTTCAAGTGATTCTCCTGCCTCAGACTCCAGAGTAGCTGGTAGTACAGGCATGTGCCACCATGCCTGGCTAATTTTTGTATTTTTAGTAGAGACGGGGTTTCACCATGTTGGCCAGGCTGGTCTTGAACTCCTGACCTCAAGTGATCCGCCCGCCTCGGCCTCCCAAAGGGCTGGGATGATGGGTGAGCCATGGTGCCCAGCCGAGAATGTCCTTCAAAAAAATACATTTCAATTCAGACATTTATGGCACCCCAAAGCAATTCAAGTCCCTTCAGCACAGATGGGGTAGGGCATGTGGGCTCGGGCCACTCACACCCCACCCCGCCTCCTCCTGGCGTGGGGAGGCCTGACTCTGCCCACCTTTACTCATGAGCCCACCGTTTGACCAGCGAACTCTCTGAGGAGGCCCATGTGCTAGGTTTGGGGGCTGAGGCATTTCTGTGCTCTTCTCTGGTTCAGTCTCCCTCCCAAGGTGAAAAACAGCCTGGAAAACCAAGTAGAAAGTGTTGCAGCAGTATGTACTTCTGTGCCCTAAAGAGCAAAATTGTTACACAAATTGCTTTGAGATTCCTTAGAAGTGAAAGCTTTCTCTTTGCTTAGCAGGAGCCGGTGGCCCTTACTTTCTCTCAACTTTCCATGTGTTCCAGAAATTCCAGCCCTATCCCCTTAGAGGGGCTGTCATCCAGGAAGGTGATTTCATTTTTCTTTTAGAGAGACAGGGTCTTGCTGTGTTGCCCAGGCTCGACTCTGAACTTAGGGGCTCAAGTGATCCTTCTGCCTCAGCCTCCCAAGTAGCTGGGACTACATGCCTAGCCCAGGGTGATTTTTTTTCTCTGTGTTCTTTCTGAGCTGACACCAGCTACTTGAAGAAATGTGCCATTGGCCGAGCGTGGTGGCTCACGCCTGTAATCCCAGCACTTTGGGAGGCCAAGGTAGGCGGATCACTTGAGGTCAAGAGTTCAAGACCAGCCTGGCTAACATGGTGAAACCCATCTCTACTAAAAATACAAAAATTAGCCGGGTGTGGTGGTGCAGGCCTGTGATCCTAGCTACTCAGGAGGCTGAGGCAGGAGAATCACTTGAACCCAGGAGGTGGAGGGTGCAGTGAGCCAGGATCACGCCACTGCACTCCAGCCTGGGAGACAGAGCGAGACCCCGTCTCAAAAAAAAGAAGTGTGCCGTTGAAAATGAGGTTTGTTCAGTACTGATCGTGGGGAACCCTTTCTCCTGAGATAACTGTAAGAGCCTTGTGTCCTGAGAGGCCCTGGAGCTATTCTTGGGGAATTGAGGTGGGCAGAGATTGGCAGCCCCTGGGACCTGCTTGGCTCCAGGCGATCTGACAGCAGGGAGGATTGCGAAGTACAGATCTGTAGACGGGGCGTGGTTTTCAAAACCATCCGTGGAGGCTCTTCCTAATCTTCAGTTCTTCACAGCTGCCAAGGAAAATGTCATTTAGCTTATGTGGTTGCAAGAGACTGAAGTTGAACTTCAGAGCACACCCACCACCTCTGCCCTCACTTCCAGCCGGAGCCCTGTCCTGCTCTGTGCCTGCCGTGCCCCTCTCCTTGCCCTTTTCCATTCGGCCCTGCACCCTGCCGGTCCCTTAAAGCTGTGGCTCTGTGTGCTCATTTTGCTCCCTTTGCTTTTTGTCCACGGGATACAGGGAGGAGTTATTCTCGTGCTGTATATAAACTGAATTTCAAGCAGATTAAATGAATAAACACATTTTTTAAAGAACCAAAAGAAAATTAAGAGAATATTTTTATAATTGTGGAGTGAGAGAAGAGGCCCAAGAAGTCATGAAGGATAAAAAAAAATTAGAGGTTAAACAATGTAAAAATGAAAAACCTCTGTCAGAAAAAGCACCATGAACAAAGGTAAAAGGTATATGCAGACTGGGAGGAAATGTTTACAACATATAAACCACCATTAAAATGGCCACAGTGTATAAAAGATAAGAAAGAGACAAACAACCCAAGAGAAAAACAGGAAAAGGACACCCTGTCTCCTGTGTCTTTAGAATCCCATAAACACGTGAATTGCTTGTCCTGGTGGAAGCGATGTTCCCAATGTTCCTGTGAGTTATGAGGATTATGCAGCCTCCATCTGGAGCTGTTTACGAAAAGGCCTGTTGGCTGCCATCTGTCGATGAGTTAAAATTCCTACCTGTGGGATGTGGGGGTGGGGGGCTGAGGGCCTTGGGGGCACTGCCAACCCCACAGTTATTACACTGAACTGCTGAGGCAACGGGTTTCATATGCAGAGGCCCAAGGCCAAGGGCTTGAGTGTGGCTTTGCTGGTTTTTAGCCATGTAAAATTGAGGGTGTCGGCGCTTGTCCACCTCAGGTTGTTCATTTGTGAAACGGAGCTCAAGATAGAAGCTTCCGTTGCTGGGTGCAGTGGTTCACACCTGCAATCCCAACAACTTGGGAGGCCGAGGTGGGGGGATCTCTTGAGGCCAGAAGTTCAAGACCACCCTGGGCAACATAGTGAGACCCTGTCTCTACAAAATATTTTCTTAAAAATTAGTTGGTTGGCTAGGGGCAGTGGCTCATGCCTGTAATCCTGGCACTTTGGGTGGCTGAGGCAGGGTGGATAACTTGAGGACAGGAGTTTGAGATCAGCCTGGCCAACATGGTGAAACCCTGTCTCTACTAAAAATGCAGGAATTAGCTGGGCATCTTGGCACATGCCTGTACTACCAACTACTTGGGAGGCTGAGGCAGGAGAATCTCTTGAACCTGGGAGGCAGAGGTGGCGGTGAGCCGAGATTACACCACTGCACTCTAGCCTGGGCAACAGAGCAAGACTCCGTCTCAAAAAAGAAAAAAAAAAAAAAAAGCAGGTTGTGCTGATGCACACCTATAGTCCCAGCTACTTGGGAGGTTGAGGCAGGAGGATTACTTGGGCCCAGGAGTTCCAAGCTGCAGTGAGCTATGGTCATACCATTGCACTCCAGCCTGAGTGACAGAGCAAGACCCTGTCTCTATTTAAAAAAAAAAAAAAAAAAAGCAGTTATCGCTTTTCCTCTTGTAGGATGTTGGGAGGATTCAGGAGCCTTCAGTGGCTCAGGGCATGACCCAGTATGAATTAGGATCCAAGCGTGTTGTTTGTATGACTGGGGGCTTGGCCTTGTCCTGCCCTTCATCACATCATTTAAAAAGGAAATCCTTCCCGCTTCTTTCTTGGGACCCTGGGGCTGAGTGTTACTGTTGTGAATCTGGAAGGGATGAACACAAGAAGAAAACAAGTGTTCACTCTTTTCCTGAGACACATTTGAAACGTGAGAGGAAGTGGAAATGGTCATTCCCAGGGAGGGTTAGCTCTGGGTGGTCCTTCATCCCACCAGGGTGATAAGAGCCTCTCTTCCAGAAAAAACAGGACTTTTCTCTCTGCCACACCCTCTCCTAGGAACACCCAGAGCCAGTTTTGGGAGCTGCTGGCTTCCCAAAAGCCCTTAGAGTAATGCAGCTCTGCTGGCCTCCTGGGCTACAGTGCCCTTGGCCCTATGGACTGGAGTCGCAGCATTAGGCTGATTTCCCTTCTGCTTTGGAGGAGACATTTCAGGTATCCACATAACTAGAATACTTAGTTTCCCTTTCTAAGCTTCTTGCTTCATTGTAGGTTTATGCCCTCCTTTCTTTAGTTTAACTTCCTAGAGAGATGGCACTGGCACAACAGAGGGGATAGATAGCGGGGAATGTGACCCCAGGGACTGGGGTCAGGTGGACTTTCTAAGGGCAAATTTTGTGTTCTCTGCAGGAGATAAATGGCATCACCGCGGCACTGGCTGAAGAGCTCTTTGAGAAAGGTATGTGGCCACATGTCCCTGAAATACTGAGCATAAGTTGTGTAGTTTTATGAGGCGGCCAGAGGCACAGGATGGCATAGAAGTCACTCTGGAGCCCACCTACCTCCCCTGTAGGTGGCCAGGTCTGAGGAGCTGTGGTCCTTCAGTACTCTTGAGTACCATGTCAGGGGCTCAGCCCAGACTTGGGCTGTGTTCCAAAGCGCTGTGGTGGGTGCTGGAAGGTGGGTAGCACACTGCTCCCTCGCACCTGGTTTGTGCTTACCTGAAAGGGCTCAGATGGCAGATAGAAGCTGACCCTGGGTCCCATCCCTGCCAGAGAGCACAGTTATAGTAGCTCATGTGTGATGAATGCTTCCTGTTTGCATCTTACTGCCTTCCCCCAGGAGCCACAGGTATAGGGAAGGATACGGGGTCAGCGGCCCAGTCACCAGCCTGAGGGCACATGGCTGGGAGGAGTGGAGCGAGGACCAAGCAGCAGTCAGTTGGGCTCAGAACCCATCCTGCTTCCAGGCTCTGCACCACGCTGGCACCATAGGCCTGCGCCTGACCTGGGTGTTTGCATTTCGGAGGTTGCAGCATAGGTGTGTCACCCAGAATGCTGTCCCTCTCCGCAGCCTCACTCTGGCCCAGTGCCTTTGGTCTCGACTCGGCCTCACTCCTCCCTCAGTGGCTCCCCAGCCTCACAGCCCCACAGCCCTGCCCTCCTCTGTCATCACATGTCTAGGGTTGCCCTGTGCCTAGCAGGCACCCAGGAGGGCAGCAGCTCCTGCATGCCCAGGGCGCTGGCTTTGCCCTGACACAGTGGGTGCTTGCCAACTGCTTGTTGACAGAAAAGGTGGAAATCCTGGCTGCACGAGGGCTGGGGCTGCGGCTGGACACTTATCCTTCAGGGCATGGCTCTTGCAGGAGAACAGCTCCTGGGGGCCGGCGAGGTCTTTGCCATTGGACCCCTGCAGCTGTATGCCGTCACGGAGCAGCTGCAGCAGGGAAAGCCCACGTGCGCCAGTGGGGATGCCAAGACCGACCTCGGGCACATCCTGGACTTCACCTGTCGCCTTAAGTACCTTAAGGTAAAGCTGCAGCAGCTCAGTCATGGAGAGCCCCGCAGTCGGTGGGGGTGCAACCTGCGGGGGACTGGCTGGCAGTTTGTGTGAAGGAGACCATGGGGGACTGTTGGTGGAAGGAAGGCCGCCCGGTTATTCTTGGCACTATGCTTCTGGCTGTGGGCACCAGGGGGCGGTCGTGACCCAGTGTCCCGTTAAATTAAGTCCTGGCCTGAGCCTGCTTTGTTGAAGACAGAAGTGGTCAAAGTTGTCTTCAACTTGTCAGCTGCTGCAGCACTCCCCGATGGGCATGCGACACTGTTCCCAATTTAAGCCTTATCTTTGGCTTCAGGTTTCTGGCACAGAAGGACCTTTTGGGACCAGCAACATTCAGGAGCAGCTCCTGCCGTTCGACCTATCAATATTCAAGTCCCTGCATCAGGTGGAGGTAAGGCCCAGCGCTGCACAGCATCCTCTCGCTCCCAACTCAGAGGCTAGAGAGTGTTTGTGATGTTGGGTGTCCTAATTTAATCATAAGGTGCTGTGCTTTCGTGTTTGGCAGTATGTGACAGGTTCTGCGTAGGTGACCAGGCCCTCTGAAGGCGGAGAAAGAGAGGCCTCTCCTGTCCCTGGCTGGTCTGCACACACCTTCCCTGGCGTGAGCTGCAGGGGCGGTTAGCCAGGGTGGAGCACCAGCACCTGGCTCATTCTAGGACTCCTCATAGGGGCAGGGGGCATGTGTACCTCAAGTTCAAGTCCTGGGAAGTCATCCTGGGGGTCAGACAGAACTAAATACAAGTCTGTATTTCCCAAGGCCGATTGGCAAAGAGCTTTGAAGATGCCCTGCCCTCTGGGGCACCCACACAAGAAACACTCTGCATCTGTCACTACTGGACTCTTTGGTTTGCGATGCCAATTTTAGCATTTTTGAAAAGAAAAGTCAGTAATGAATACAAAAAAAGTTTTAAAGCATAATTTTTTGAGCATGGCTTTTGTGTTCTGCCCTGTGGCCCCATGTCTCCTTGATTGAATCTTCCCAACAGCCCCGTGAAGAGGGCACTTTTATTTCCATTTTACAGTTGGGGAAACTGAGGCTTGGGCAGATAAGGAAGTTTGGCCAGGGCCACACAGTTAATGAGCGGAAACCTGGGATTTGAATTCAGCTGAGACTGCCTCCAGAGCCTCTGCTGTGCACTGGGCTGTTCCGTCTACAGTGGTCTAGGGAAACTTGTGGTGTGCCCTGCTGCCGATTGAGGACAGGGAAGTGAAGGGGAAACCCGACCCAGCCCTGCCAAGCAGGCTGAGGCTCTGGATCTGGGTCTTGGGTGTGCTTGGGCAGGTGGCTTGGGGAGTGTGCTTTGACCTGTGGCCTGCCCCTCCTCACCACAAGACAGCTCAGTTCCATGGAGTGGGGGCTGGGTGAACAGGAGGATCCACCCCACTCGCTGTGCTGTGGAGGCCCCTTGTTCTCCCCAGCAGTTTCCATGACCCACACTTTATGTTCACCTGCCAAGCCCCAGGCAGCCCTTACAGAGGAAATGGAATTTGTGGTCCATTGTGAGTCTGAGGGGCCAGGCACCTTTCTTACTAGATACTTCAGGGAATGTTTGGTCGGCACTGACACTGGGAAAAAGAGACACTTTGGTCTTGAGTGGCCTCCCATCTCTGAGGATTTGGGTTGCCTGTCATTGTGCTTTTGTATGGGGGTAGGAAACACCTGCATCTGGGGACTTCTGACGGAGCAAGGATTCTGTTTCTGAGATGCAGCTGTTCTTTGTTCCAGATAAGTCACTGTGATGCTAAGCACATCAGAGGGCTGGTCGCATCGAAGCCCACCTTAGCCACGCTGAGTGTCCGCTTCTCAGCAACCTCGATGAAGGTAAGCTTCACCTATATCCTGCCTGGGGCAATGTCTGTGGATCAGGGTCCTGGGCTGTGGTCTCCACCACTAAGGATGGGTGAGGACACTGCTATGTCTATCAGTATTCAGAGGCTGGACCTTCTGTGGGGTAGGCAGACACTCATGGGGGGCCTCCCAGCACTTGACAGCCCCTGGGACACTTTAGTTCACATCTGCATAAAAAGTTCGTGTTGTTAACAGGACATTTTAAGGAACTTGGCTTCTTTCCCCAAAAAATAAAAAATGTCATTGGTGTTTTTGTGTTGTTTTGTTTTTGTTTTGAGCTAGAGTCTTGCTCTGTGGCCCAGACTGGAGTACAGTGGTATGATCTCAGCTCCCTGCAACCTCTACCTCCTGGGGTCAAGCGATTCTCCTACCTCAGCCTCCCAAGTAGCTGGGATTACAGGTGCCTGCCACCATGCCCCGCTAAGTTTTGTTTTTTGTTGTTGTTGTTGTTGTTTTTTGAGACAGAGTTTTGCTCTGTCACCCAGGCTGGAGTGCAGTGGCGCGATCTTGGCTCACTGCAAGCTCTGCCTCCCGGGTTCACGCCATTCTCCTGCCTCAGCCTCCCAAGTAGCTGGGACTACAGGTGCCCGCCACCACACCCAGCTAATTTTTTGTATTTTTAGTAGAGACGGGGTTTCACCATGTTAGCCAGGATGGTCTCGATCTCCTGACCTCGTGATCCACCCGCCTCGGCCTCCCAAAGTGCTGGGATTACAGGCGTGAGCCACCGCGCCCGGCCTAGGTTTTGTATTTTTAGTAGAGACAGGGTTTTACCACGTTGGCCAGGCTGATCTCGAACTCCTGACCTCAAGTGATCCACCAGCCTCAGCCTCCCAAAGTGCTGGGATTACAGGCATGAGCCACTTCAGCCGGCCGTCATTGGTTTTTTAATGAACAAATTGCTAAGCTGTGGCAAGTGGCGGGACCTTTATTAATTAGATTGATAACTAAGCTTAGATTGCTCCTCTAAGCTTTAGCAATCCCTGGCTAAGCACTCATTTGTATCTTTTTCCCCACGGCTTGATTAGAAGGTGAGGTTGTGGAAATGCTAGGCCATGTTGTTTATATGTGAGCAGCAGAAACATTCAAATTGGGAATGTTTCTGTTTACCTTTTTATGGATTACATCTTGCTAATGTTAAAATCTTTCCCTGGGTATAGAAAAGGCATGTAGTGGCTAATATTATGACTTAAGGTTCCTGATCAAGACTTAGGTTTGGGCCAGGTGTGGTGGCTCATGCCTGTAATCCCGGCATTTTGGGAGGCCAAGGCAGGAGGATTCCTTGAGCCTAGGAGTTGGAGACCAACCTGGGCAACATAGGGAGACCTTGTCTCTTAAAAAAAAAAAAAAAAAATTGGATTTGGTGAAAAATTTTCCTCTTGAGGCTTGCAGAGAGTGTGTTGGGCCACCTGGTCCCTCTCCGAGCACTTCTCACTGTCTTGCTGAAGGAGCCCAGGGCGACCCATTGTGAGAAGAAAGGTCTTGTCAAAACAAATAGGCCTGCCTTTCTCCATTTTGATGGTCTCTGGGCTTTGTGCTACTCCCCTTATCTTAGCATTGTCTGACTTTATTCCTGTGAAATAATGGTTTTAAAGGCCTGGTGTCCACAGTGAGGACCACATCATCAGCTTGGAAAGCACAGCTGCCTGGAAACTGAATTCTCACCTTCAGCCTCTGAGAAGCTAGAAAAGACGGTTGGCTGGCCAGTAGCAGTGGCTTGCACCTATAATCCCAGCACTTTGGGAGGCCAAGGCAGGAGGATCACTTGAGCCCAGGAGTTTGAGACCAGTCTGGGCTATGTAGGGAGACCTCGTTTCTACAGAAAAAAATTTTTTAATTAGCTGGGCAAGGTGGTGTACGCCTGTAGTCCCAGCTACTCAAGAGGCTGAGATGGGAGGATTTGCTTGTGCCTGCGAGTTTGAGGCTGCAGTGAGCCATGATGGCGCCACTGTACTCCAGCCTGGGTGACAGAGTGAGACTGTGTCTCAAAGAAAAAACGGCTAGGCGCTGTGGCTCACGTCTGTAATCCCAGCACTTTGGGAGGCTGAGGTGGGTGGATCACCTGAAGTCAGGAGTTTGAGACCAGCCTTGCCAACATGGTGAAGCCCCCATCTCTATTAAAAATGCAAAAATTAGCCAGGCATGGTGGTACACACCTCTAGTCCCAGCTACTGGGGAGGCTAAGACAGAAGGATGGCTTGAGCCTGCGAGGCAGAGGTGGCAGTGAACTGAGATTGCGCCACTGCACTCCAGCCTGGGTGACAGAGCGAGACTCCATCTCAAAAAAGAGAAAAGGCTAGAAAAGGCATCACCAGGTCACCAGGGCAAAGGCCCTTTGGGCTTGAAAAGCATTGCTCCTAAAGCAGGGCCAGGACTTAATTCTAAGTGGCTGTTATGTGGTAAATTGTTCAGCTTTGAACGATTTCACAATCGTTTAAAGACATAGGAACCAAAGGCATGCTTTAATGCAAGTTTACTTCCACATGCTAAATATGCTCCAGCCCTTCCTTAAATTCTGCAACGACTGTGTTCCCAGTGAGTGTTGCGTGAGGGCCCGAGTGTGGTGCTCCACACAGATGTTTTTATGCAGGAAGTCCTTGTTCCTGAAGCCTCAGAATTTGATGAGTGGGAGCCTGAAGGCACAACCCTAGAAGGCCCTGTGACTGCCGTCATCCCCACTTGGCAGGCATTGACCACGCTTGACCTGAGCCACAACAGCGTCTCCGAGATCGACGAGTCTGTGGTATGCTCTCAGCAGCAGGTGCCAGGGGTTTCTCTGGCCCCACCAAACCCTGAGTTTGAGTATTTAACTCAGCTTTTTTAGGAAGGACCACGGAAAACCTATATCTAGTGCTCTGTGCATTGCCTGCCATTTTAAGTTAATTACAAAATGGGGGCTGGGCGTGGTGGGTCACACCTGTAATCCCAGCACTTTGGGAGGCCGAGGCGGGAGGATCACTTGAGGTCAGGAGTTCGAGACCAGCCTGACCAATGTGGTGAAACCCCATCTCTACTAAAAATACAAAAATTAGCTGGGTGTGGTGGTGCACACCTGTAATCCCAGCTACTTTGGGAGGCTTAGGCAGGAGAATCGCTTGAACCCGGGAGGCGGATGTTGCAGTGAGCTGAGATAGGGCCACTGCATTCCAGCCTGGGCGACAGAGTGAGACTCCGTCTCAAAAGAAGAAAAAAAAATGGGATCATTTAAAATTGGTGAGGTAGTACTTAGAACCAAATAAAACATAATAATTTCATGTAAATTTGGTAAACTATAACACACTAAATGATGACATTTGCTCCAAAGAGTGGAGCAGAAAAATCACTCCTTAGATGACAGATGTGCCCATGAAAGAATGACACCCAGAGGGCATTTGGGCAGTAAGAGTGTCGTTCCCGTGTTTGCGCTGCTCAGGGAGTGTGGGCAGGGTTGAAGAAGAACAGACTCTCTTCTCTGTCTGGGACCTTGCTGTGTGTCATTTTCACAAGCCAAGTGTTCCATGAAAACTGAGTAGTGCCCAGCACTGGGGGCCCTGTGTGTGCCTTTGGATGTGCTACTGGCTGGGCAGCGGGAGATGTCCCACCAGTGGTCCTGCAGGGACGGCCCGTGGGAGTCCATGGTCGGGAGGAAGCGTCCTGGGGTGCCCGTCCACTGTGTCGGGGACCGTGTTTGGGGTCCAGCCCCCTACAGTAACATCGGGTGTTCTTTTCTTTCACAAGAAACTGATCCCAAAGATTGAGTTCCTGGACCTGAGTCACAATGGATTGCTGGTTGTGGACAATCTGCAGGTAGTGCCTTTGGAGACCAGTGCTGCCCGCACACACTCCCAAGGCCCCGCCCTGAGATTTCAGGAGACTGACGCAGCCTTGGGAATTGGCCAGGGGTTGTAAGGGCAGGGGTTGCTGTCTTCGCTTTAGGATCCCAGCAATGCACTGAGTGATTGTTGCTCTAGTTCCAAAGAATTAGGAAGCATGAGTAAATACAAACCAGGCATGATGATGCACCTCCGTCCTGAAGGTGGACAGCCATGTTTTCAACGCCCACCCCAACTGTCTGCAGGGGTGCCACTGTGCTGTGGCATGTGCGGCAGAGAAGAGGGACTTCCCTTCCTAAAATAACTGTCAGAGTGACTTGCAGAACTGGGTAGTTTGGGTTGGAAGGCCCATCCT
Source organism: Homo sapiens (assembly GCF_000001405.40). Taxonomy (NCBI): domain Eukaryota; kingdom Metazoa; phylum Chordata; class Mammalia; order Primates; family Hominidae; genus Homo; species Homo sapiens. The sequence goes on from NC_000003.12 coordinate 52,478,024, forward strand.
GCCATTAGTGTCAGGCCCCTATCTTTGGAGACTTGACCTGAGCCACTTTACGCTGTTCTCCACGCCGCTGCAGCACCTGTATAACCTTGTGCATCTGGACCTGTCCTACAACAAGCTCTCCTCCTTGGAAGGGCTTCACACCAAGCTGGGGAACATCAAGACCTTAAACCTGGCAGGCAACCTCCTAGAGAGTCTGAGTGGCCTGCACAAGCTCTACTCACTGGTCAACCTGGATCTCCGGGACAACAGGATCGAACAGGTGAGCCCAAGGACCTCACAGTTTTGGGATTTCTGTGCCTTGGTGTGTATCATGTTAAAGAAGAATGTTAAGATTCCTTTCATTTAAAAGAGACCATGAAACGTGTTGGCGTGTTGCTGAAGTGTTAAGAGAAGGGACCAAAGGGGATGGAACTCATACCTTGCAGATGGAGGAGGTCCGGAGCATAGGCAGCCTCCCGTGTCTGGAGCACGTGTCTCTGCTGAACAACCCTCTGAGCATCATCCCCGACTACCGGACCAAGGTGCTGGCTCAGTTCGGAGAGAGGGCCTCAGAGGTGAGCCCCAGCACAGTCAGAAGAGCCCAGGGAGACCTTCGGGATGCAGTCAAGTCTGCATGGGCGGTAGGGGGATATATGTCCATTGTTCTACCCTTGCCTGCTTCAGAAAGAGGTCCTGTCCCTTAGGGGCTTTTCAGTTCTGGGAAGTCCACTATCTCCCCAGGAAAAAGCTCCCTTGCATCTCCTGCCCCTACTGTCTGGGATAACATTGTTTATTCTAGGAAAGGGTCAGAAATAAGATCCTTAAAATATTCATATCTCCTGGACAACCTGTGGCCATAGTGCCTGACTGTAAACCCAAAGGGTTTGCCTTTGCCAGTGTAGCCCAGCCTGGTGTCTGCTGCCCCTCGCGGTGTCTGTGCACCTGCCACGATGCTGACCAGACACCCTTAACCAGGTTCACCCATCGCCTGGGCCTGGAGCAGTCCCCGTGATGCTCTGATTGGTCCTTGGACCTTCTGTTCTCCCAAAATCCCAGGTCAGAAAATACCTGGAAGTCTATTTGTGTCCCACCTCCCTCTTTGTGGCCGCAAGTGCCCCTTCCTCCACACAGTCACAAGACCATGAGATGCCATCTCCTCCCCTCCTGGGCTGCAGACTTTGGGAAGCTCCCAGGCCACAGAGTGTCAGCTCCTGTCCAGGCCCTTGGGACCTTCCCTCATTCAACCACCCTACCCAACCCCCCACTGCCTGCCAGCCACCACTCCCTCCCACATTTGCAGGCGGGGGCCCTGCCCTCTCCTGCCGCTGGTTCCCCTACCCAGGAGGCTCTCCCATCGCTCTTTTGAGAGTCTGCCTCCCACCTCTAACTGGGGGCTTAGTTCAAGTTGCCCCCTTACCCTAGTCCCAGCTGCCCAAGAGCTTGCTGCCTCCTGTTCTTGGTGAGGGACTCCAGAGACAGATGTGAGACCTCCCTGGACCCCTCCAAGGCATTCCCAGGTCACTTCCATGAGTAGTGAAGAGCCGCCTCTGAGCAGGCTGAGCCTCCCTCAGCCTATGGTGTCCTCACGTGGCCTGGCCCACAGCAGGTGCTCACGCCTCCTCCTCAGCAGAGCCCTACCATCCTCCTGCCATGCTCACCAGTCCCCATGCTGATAGCCATCACCAGTCCCCATGCTGATAGCCATCACCAGTCCCCATGCTGATAGCCACTTTCTGGATGCTCTAGGTCTGTCTGGATGACACAGTGACCACAGAGAAGGAGCTGGACACTGTGGAAGTGCTGAAAGCAATTCAGAAAGCCAAGGAGGTCAAGTCCAAACTGAGCAACCCAGAGAAGAAGGTGGGTTTGTGTGGCAGGTGGGAGGGCAGTGGTGCAGAGCCAGCCGGGATAGGAGCCAGTTTGGGGGGCTTGGGCCATGGGACTGCTCAGGGCTGCCGAGTCCCAGCTGCGCCCCTCCCTGGCTGCATGACCTCGGGCAAGTCGCGGCCTCTCTGTTCTCTGTGGGGTGGGGACAGTGGTAGTTCCTGCTCTAAGGATATGATGAGACCATCTTTACCACCCAGTTGGTGGGAACCGTTGCGCTCCCTCCTCACACCCCTGGCCTTGGGGAGCTCTGTGCTTCCTCTTCTCTCCCGGGCTGACTCAAGCACTCGTCCTCAGGGTGGTGAAGACTCCCGGCTCTCAGCTGCCCCCTGCATCAGACCCAGCAGCTCCCCTCCCACTGTGGCTCCCGCATCTGCCTCCCTGCCCCAGCCCATCCTCTCTAACCAAGGTAATCGTGTATGTATCTTGCTTCTAGTGGAGCCACACAGCCCTGCCTGGGCCCCCTGGCTGGGCTGGGGTTGGGGGAGAGGTGCCAGCACCTGCTTCCAACAGGGTCAGACACAGGGAGGGCAGTGCCTTCTGCAGGCTGGTCCTCGCGGGGGGACACATGGCAGGGGTGCCTGGCCTGATGCCAGCTGTTGCTTGCTTGGTGAGGACTCCCAATTGCTCTGATGCCCACATCCAGCTCCTCTAGGAGACCGCAGGGTGTCTGACAGGCCCTGAGGCTGCCCTCTGAACAGGCTCGGGGCTGTTGGCTCATGGGACCCATTCCCTCACCGGCAGCACAAGCAGGTTGGCTCCTGGTTACAGGAAGCCGGGCTTGTGACTTTACTGTCTGGAGCCCGAATCCCTGTGCAGGGAAAAGCTTGCTTTTATCACTGCCTCATCTCTGTGGGGTGACCCAGCCCCAGAACACCATGTTTGTGGGGCCAAGATGGGCCATCTCTGTCCCTGTGGACCCATGGAAGACCAGGCCCATTCGTCTGCCCACTATCTTAGCGTTTTCAAAGGGCTTTCACCTCTGAACCCAGGCATCCTCGGAGATGAGTGAGTGAAGCAGGTCTCATGAGCGTGTCTGCTGGCCCGGCCCCCACGGAAGAGGGGAGGGTGTGCCGTCCCGAGTGGAGCCGAGGCTCGGGACACGCAGGAAAGGACGCCGCCTGCCCGGGCTCCTGGAGACGCAGAACTTGGTGTGAGGTCTTGGGAAAACAGTTCAACCCGATGTTTTAAGAGCCAGAAAAACATTCCCACCCCTTGACCTGGTAACCCCACTGGTGGGGATTTTCTCTTAGAGGGATAAGATACCGGGAAGGGGAGGTGAAATGCTCACCACTGCCAAAACACGGGCTGCAACTGCAACATCGGAGGATGAGAGGGAGAGTCGGCTGTGGTGCAGAATGCTCAGCAGCCCTCCCAGCAGGGACAGGAAGACTGGGCAGGAAGAGGGGAGAAGCATTCAAGTTAAGGCAAAAGGCCCAACGCAGAGCAGCACACTGAGGTCACACCTGTGAGATGTGGAAGAGAATTCCTGAGCGTGGAGCGATGGGGTTAGGTGCCAGGATGATTGCCCATTTTGCTTCTGTCAGACTCTTGACTAAGGATTTCTGGTTGCATTTTATTACATAAAAGCCAGGGAGGTTATATCACGGTGAGAAAGCTTCCCTGACGCTGCCTCCTGTAGCGCAGCCAAGCGAGCCTGTGGAGGTACCATATGACTGTAGGCCTCTGGGGACAGGGAGCTGCATCTGCTTCTCAAGGCCAGGGACACAGCCATTTCTGCCAGCATCTGTTGATCAGTGAGTGAGTGAGTGGGCAGGTAGAGCAGGAGCCAGTGAAGAGCAGGCCCTGGATGGGTGGGGATGCACCATGTCCCCAGGCTGCAGCTGCAGGCAGCCCCCCACATTGTCGGAGAAGCCTCTGCACCAGCTCAGCCCCCTCCTCACTCCCCTTGTGCCCTGGGGACACTCTGCAGAGGGGCACTCTGCAGTCTGTCCCCGCCATCGCTGGACTTCTGGACATGGCCTCCAGATTTGCACCTCTTAAATAAAACTGCAGTGGATGTCTTTGTGTGCACCTCTCTTTCCTTTTGGTGAGAAACAGCAAAGATCGGACCCCTAAGGACTCTCCTGATGTCTCCGCTCTATCCGCTGAGTGCCCTTTCTGACCACTTGTTTGTACAGGCCACGGTCCAGGACGGGAGCAGATAGACTGTCCCTGTCCCTGTCCACATTTCCTTGGTCCAAACAGGGCTTGTGGGAGGTAGTGGCAAAAGGTGTTGGTCTTTTTCTCACTGATTTGGAGGCCTCCCCGTGTGTTTTTTCAGCCGCGTGTTCCTGGGTCTTGCCTGGATGGACAGGGTTTTTTAGCGCGTGGGAGCAGCTTTGCTGACCCATGCCTGTTGCTTCCAGCCTGATTCCCGAGAAGGGAGCCTGCTTGCGAAGGAACTGGCACTCGGGCCTGCCTGAAGGGGGCGCTGTCCAGACAACACCCAGCCTCCCGTCGTGGCAGGCGCTGTCGGAGCCATGGATGATTGTGACCAATAGGGGTGGTCGCCAGAGTTGATTGTCCAGCCAGGCCCAGGGGCTGAGAGGAGGCTGTGTGGAGAGGTGGTTAGGAGCCAGGGCTCGGTCAGCTGAGTTCGCATGCCAGCTTCCTAGCTGTGGGACCTCAAGCAACTTGTAGCCCCTCTGAAGCTGTTTTCTCAACTGTGAAGTGGACGCACCCTACTTCATTGATTCTAAGAGGCACGCATTTCCACCTTGTGACTTCTCTGAAACTGAGGTGCGTCTTTCAGTCAGTGGCGTCTCATAGTCGCTGTCAGCCAGCTGGTATTCGAGATGGAGTCGTGGAAAACCCGTGGACACCTTCCGCTAGGACCAAGATGGCGCCACCTGCCGCATCTTAGATTTGATGAAATGTGGTAAATAACGAGAGGCATGCATGAGCGAATGCTGGGGAGGCGCTTGGCACTACCCAGAGCTCCACAGAGGTGGTCGATGAGGGCTGCCCTTTCCCACATCCTTAGTAGGGGGTTCAAGATGACCCAGACTGTGCCCCTGGGGAGCTTGGAGCCATGCGGGAGGATGAGCCATGTGCTGGAGGAGAACAGGGTAGGATGGTGTGGGGCTTTTGTAGACTGTCTAGAGCAGAGAAGGTCTGCAGTGGAGGTGGTGTCTGAGGTGAATCTCGAAGGTGAATAGGAGTTGAACGTTAGCAGGCAGAGGGTGGATTGCAGGAGAGCAGCGGCCTGGGCAGGTGCCCAGCGTGGCCCATCAGGGTGCTTCATGCATGGCTGTGTGCTTGCCATCCTTCCTGCCTGCCTACCCCCTGCTGCTTCGCTTCGTGGGGGCGTTTGAGCTTGGGCCCACCTGCCTGCCTCGCTTGTGGGCAGAGGACCCAGGCTGTGTGAGTTGTCCTGTCCCGGGGAGCAGCTGAGCTGGTCGGGGGTCTCGACCTGTGGGGCTCAGAGGACTCGGGGTCATTTCACTGGGCTGTGGCGATGCTGGGCTGTGGAGGTAGGCCTAGGGCTCCTGTAGGCCTCAGTGAGACTGGCGGCCGATGCCCAGTGTTCACCCTGCTGGCGGCAGTCAGGAACATGTTCACAAAGGCTTTACCTTCAAGTGGTCTAGAGGTGATCTGAGGTGGAGTAACAGGTCCAGATAGGCTACGTTCATAAAACAGCTTCAGCGGGGTTTAGGAACACTGTGCATTTACGGGACGCAGTGGGTCAGAGTGCTGCTGTCCGTGGGAGGTGGCCCCAGGGCAGGTCAGTGGGCACGTCCTGTGGTAAGTGGGACTGTGGATGTGGGCTCAGGCTGGACTCAGCAGCCCTGCTGGATACCAAGGCCTGCAAGGGCTGGCCCCCTGGTGAATTGTCCCGTGCCCTGTGTATCTATGAGTCCTGCAGAGATGACAAATCAGGGGACGGGGTCATGTCTAGTCACCGTCTGGGAAAATGCTCCAGGAGTGAACACATTTCAGGCTCTTGATGGATGTACCTCCAAACTCTTCTCTGGATGGGTGGGCCAGCTTGCATGCCTGTGCCGGCCTCTGCCCAGCGAGGTCAGGGCCAGGCCACACAGTCAGTCTGACTTTGGCAGAAGTTGAGAGGCAACACTTGTCTCTTGTTTCAGCTTGCCTTTCTTTGTGTACTTCTGAGAGCGAGCATTCTTTTCATGTTCTATCCGCTGGCCGTTCTTCTGCGGAATGTCTGTTCACGTCCTTTGCAGTCTGTTAATGAGGTTTCCAACCTTCCCTCATTTTTGTAATCTGTAAGAACTTTTTACAGACTAGCGATATAAATCCTTGTCAAATATTGCAAACACTTTTCTCATTTCATCTGGTTTTAATCTATCCTGGTTTTTAAAAAATGTGTCTGTGGAAGTTTAATTTTTATGTAGTCACATCTCAGTTTTTTTCCATTGCATTTATTCTCAGAATGCTTCTCCCTGCCCTGAGATTAGATAAGCAGTCATTTGTTCTTTCTTGAGTTATTTTGAGATTTCAGTTTTAACATTTTCTTCTATAATCCATGTGGCTGGGTTTTGGGATCTGGCTAACCCCCGCCATGCCAGTAGCCTGAGGGGCCCAGCCCCACTTGTTGAACAGCCGCTCTCCCCGCCCCACCCACCCTGCCTGCCTGCCCACCCGCCCTGGTCTCTCCAGGAATCATGTTCGTTCAGGAGGAGGCCCTGGCCAGCAGCCTCTCGTCCACTGACAGTCTGACTCCCGAGCACCAGCCCATTGCCCAGGGATGTTCTGATTCCTTGGAGTCCATCCCTGCGGGACAGGTAATGCCCTCTTCCCGCTTCTGGGGACCATACATCTGTGGGTGGACTCTTCTGCTTGGGGTTGTGTGCAGTAGGAAGTGGCCTAGCTGGAGCTGAGGCAGATGCTTCCAGGGTTTGGCGTCCTCTGCTTTGTGCCACGGTCTTTCTCTTGGACCTGTCTCTGGTTGAGTGTCTTCCTGACAAACACAGTGGTTAAGGGTTTATTTTCAGCCTCCCTCCTTCCCTTCCCCACCCACCTTGGTTGATGGGAACAGGCAGTTCTCTGTCACTGGGCCCAGGGCACGAGGGGGGCAGGTGGAGAGGGTGGCCCTTGACCCTGTGAGCAGGCTTCCCTGGGGAAGGCATTTCAAAAGACCCTCGTGCAGGGGCTTGTTTGGGTTTCTTCTCTGTTTCCTGGCACCCCTGGAGCCACTCGGCGCCTTTCCGCATGTCACCCTGGTGGTCTGGGAAACAGTCTCACTCTGGCGCCTCCTCTGTGGTTGTTACTGAGAGTTCTGGGGCCCCTTCCTTTGTCCTGAGGAAAGACAGGAGGAAAGCAAGGGTGCTTGCTGTGTGCTTCGCAAATGTGCTTGGTGCCTGGGCCTCCCTCCAGCCCCATCTCTGCAGCAGCACAAGGTTATGGCCTTGTGACACTGGGACAGTTTGCAGAGTCCTTGTCTGTCCTCAGTACTCCACAGTATTCTGCCATCACCCTTTCCAGGGTCACACAGCAAGAGATTCCCAAGCCCTAGGTATTCCCCAGTGCACAGAGACCATTGGGAGGGACTTGCCAGGGCTGTGTCCACTGCTGGCCAGTTAGGGTCGGACCAAATTTGTAGACTGTCTACCTGGACCCTTGCGTGGCACAAGGAGCAGTCAGATGCTGGATCCCTGGAGAGTGGCGAGAGGCTCTGGCCCTAGGTTGCGAGTGGGAATCCCAGCCCTGCTGTGTGCTGGTGGGATAACCAAGTGGGTCTCTGCCCTTGGGTCCCAGAGTGGGCCCCAGGGTCCCAGAGTGGGCTCCAGGGTACAGCGTGGGGATGGGGAGCCTCCTCAGGGCGGTGATGGAGGGCAGAATGCCCAGCTCAGGGTCTGGCAACCAGTAAATGGCTGGGGCTGGCTGCAGTAGGTGGGGACTGACTGTGTTTCTTTCTCCATCAGGCAGCTTCCGATGATTTAAGGGACGTGCCAGGAGCTGTTGGTGGTGCAAGGTAAGGAAGAGGTTGGAAAGGGACCTGGGCCTGGCCACACAGCCTTATGCACACACACTGCTGTGGGCCAGGGGTGGCCAGTCAGGTTTTTTTAAAAATCCGTTCACAGAAGGCCTATAGAACTATTTCTTCCTCTAAAGAGACACAGATGAGATGGACTTTTCAATCTGTTTCCAAATTCTAATACCTAAACTCTGCTCAGCACATGTTGCCCTACACCAGGGGTTGGCAAATCAAGGCCTGTGTGTGGCCCACAGCCTGGGAGCTAAGAATGACAGTTACATTCTTTTTTCTTTTTTTGAGACTGAGTCTCGCTCTGTCGCCCAGGCTGGAGTGCAGTGGCGTGTTCTTGGCTCACTGCAACCCCCGCCTCCCAGATTAATGCAATTTTCCTGTCTCAGCCTCAGCCTTCTGAGTAGCCCGGACCACAGGCGCACGCCACCACGCCCAACTAATTTTTTATATTTTTAGTAGAGACAGAGATTCACCATGTTGCCTAGCTGGTCTCGAACTCCTGAACTCCAGTGATCCACCAACCTCGGCCTCCTAAAGTACTGGAATTACAGGCATGAGCCACCGCGCCTGGCTAGAATAACAGTTACTTTTTTTTTCTTTGAGACTGAGTCTTGCTTTGTCACCCAGGCTGGAGTGCAGTGGCCCGATCTCAGCTCGCTGCAACCTCCGCCTCCCGGGTTCAAGCGATTCTTCTGCCTCAGCCACCCAAGGTGCCCGCCACCACACCTGGCTAATTTTTCTGTTTTTAGTAGGGACAGGATTTCGCCATGTTGGACAGTTACATTCTTAAAGGGCTGCTGAAGATCGTATGGACATGGTAGCCCATAAATCCCAAAATGTGTACTCTGACCCTTTACAGAAGCTTACTAACTCCCACTCTACATGTGAGGGCTGCGGTGGCCAAGAAGAGCTGGAATTTAAGTGTGAAGGTCCTAAGACCTGCCCCAGCCCACTTCCCTGCCCCGGAGGCCACCAGGGGTGACAAGTAGATTCATGCCCTGGAGTGTTCCTTCTCTCCGGGGCTTATGGCAGCAACTGAATGACTTAGAAGTCCATGGGAGTGCTTCTGTTGTGGGAACTCGTGTGGTCTGGGCATAGCTGTGCCAGGCACCTATGGTCCAAGCCCCTAGAAGCATAGACTCTGACCAAACTGGCGACCCAGCCTTCCAGCAGGCAGCACTGGCTCCCACCAGGGCCCTCATCCTGGGAACTGACTTGGCCATGTGGGAGGCTTGGGAGACCCATGGGTTGGTTTCTCAGGGTCAGGGTGTAGCAGTGGGCTCCAGATGTGGCAGGTGGGAGGTGGGAGGGGCCCCTCCCAGCATGCCACTGACCTGGCCTCTCCCTGCACAGCCCAGAACATGCCGAGCCGGAGGTCCAGGTGGTGCCGGGGTCTGGCCAGATCATCTTCCTGCCCTTCACCTGCATTGGCTACACGGCCACCAATCAGGACTTCATCCAGCGCCTGAGCACACTGATCCGGCAGGCCATCGAGCGGCAGCTGCCTGCCTGGATCGAGGCTGCCAACCAGCGGGAGGAGGGCCAGGGTGAACAGGGCGAGGAGGAGGATGAGGAGGAGGAAGAAGAGGAGGACGTGGCTGAGAACCGCTACTTTGAAATGGGGCCCCCAGACGTGGAGGAGGAGGAGGGAGGAGGCCAGGGGGAGGAAGAGGAGGAGGAAGAGGAGGATGAAGAGGCCGAGGAGGAGCGCCTGGCTCTGGAATGGGCCCTGGGCGCGGACGAGGACTTCCTGCTGGAGCACATCCGCATCCTCAAGGTGCTGTGGTGCTTCCTGATCCATGTGCAGGGCAGTATCCGCCAGTTCGCCGCCTGCCTTGTGCTCACCGACTTCGGCATCGCAGTCTTCGAGATCCCGCACCAGGAGTCTCGGGGCAGCAGCCAGCACATCCTCTCCTCCCTGCGCTTTGTCTTTTGCTTCCCGCATGGCGACCTCACCGAGTTTGGCTTCCTCATGCCGGAGCTGTGTCTGGTGCTCAAGGTACGGCACAGTGAGAACACGCTCTTCATTATCTCGGACGCCGCCAACCTGCACGAGTTCCACGCGGACCTGCGCTCATGCTTTGCACCCCAGCACATGGCCATGCTGTGTAGCCCCATCCTCTACGGCAGCCACACCAGCCTGCAGGAGTTCCTGCGCCAGCTGCTCACCTTCTACAAGGTGGCTGGCGGCTGCCAGGAGCGCAGCCAGGGCTGCTTCCCCGTCTACCTGGTCTACAGTGACAAGCGCATGGTGCAGACGGCCGCCGGGGACTACTCAGGCAACATCGAGTGGGCCAGCTGCACACTCTGTTCAGCCGTGCGGCGCTCCTGCTGCGCGCCCTCTGAGGCCGTCAAGTCCGCCGCCATCCCCTACTGGCTGTTGCTCACGCCCCAGCACCTCAACGTCATCAAGGCCGACTTCAACCCCATGCCCAACCGTGGCACCCACAACTGTCGCAACCGCAACAGCTTCAAGCTCAGCCGTGTGCCGCTCTCCACCGTGCTGCTGGACCCCACACGCAGCTGTACCCAGCCTCGGGGCGCCTTTGCTGATGGCCACGTGCTAGAGCTGCTCGTGGGGTACCGCTTTGTCACTGCCATCTTCGTGCTGCCCCACGAGAAGTTCCACTTCCTGCGCGTCTACAACCAGCTGCGGGCCTCGCTGCAGGACCTGAAGACTGTGGTCATCGCCAAGACCCCCGGGACGGGAGGCAGCCCCCAGGGCTCCTTTGCGGATGGCCAGCCTGCCGAGCGCAGGGCCAGGTGAGATCAAGCACAGCTCTCAGGGGCCCCGGGGGCATGGGTCTGGCATGTGTGTGATCTCAGCATCTGCGGCTAGTGTGGGCTGGGAGTTGCTGCGAGAGCTGGGCCCCCTCCCCCCCTGCCCCTCGCCCCCCCCGGGCCTCCCTCTACATCACCACCCCAGGTTTGGTGCCAGGCTGCTCCTTATCTCAGTGCTGTAGAAGAAGCCCAGGAAAGCTGTCCTCTCACAAAATGGGTTGGCCCAGCCTCTTGCCACCCATGAAGGGCAGGCCAAGGGGGCTGCCCCACCTTTGCCTGCCCAGTGGGAGAGCAACAGGCTGCAGCACACCGAGGCCAGGAGAGCTGTCACCCTGGCTGCTGTGCTCCTCTGGGCCCAAGCATGGCCTCTGGGCACTACCTCCTCCAGGGTCACAGTCCCACGGATGGCTCTGTGGGCCAGGATCTGCCTTAGGCTTCACCCACCTCAACATCTTGCTGTGTTGTTCAGGCTGGTCTCAAACTTTGGGCTCAAACAATCCTCCGCCTCAGCCTCCCAAAGTGCTGGGATTACAGACATGAGCCACCGTGCCCGGCCGTGCTGTTCTGTTCTCCAATAGAGAAGCTGGTGGAAGTCCCCAGTAACCCAGAGGTGATGTGTGATGCACACAGTCTCCTCACTCTGAAGCTGCACATGCGATGTGAATCTTCATTTGGGGTCCGCTGTTAATATGGTGTTTTTCGGGGGATACAGCAATGACCAGCGTCCCCAGGAGGTCCCAGCAGAGGCTCTGGCCCCGGCCCCAGCGGAAGTCCCAGCTCCAGCCCCTGCAGCAGCCTCAGCCTCAGGCCCAGCGAAGACTCCGGCCCCAGCAGAGGCCTCAACTTCAGCTTTGGTCCCAGAGGAGACGCCAGTGGAAGCTCCAGCCCCACCCCCAGCCGAGGCCCCTGCCCAGTACCCGAGTGAGCACCTCATCCAGGCCACCTCGGAGGAGAATCAGATCCCCTCGCACTTGCCTGCCTGCCCGTCGCTCCGGCACGTCGCCAGCCTGCGGGGCAGCGCCATCATCGAGCTCTTCCACAGCAGCATTGCTGAGGTAGCGGCCCGGGTGTGGGTGCCAGCTATGGCACGGCCAGTCCTGAGGGCGAGGCCAAGCTTGGCTTCAGGTCAGCCTCAGGTCCCTGGACTTCCCTGATGTCGGAGTCCTCAGCTGAGCTGCTCACAGCTTTGAGGACCTGGGCAGTGAGGTCCTGAGTTGCCCTCCCCTGGCCATTTGTGCTGTGTCACCACCTCCTGTGCCACTTCCAGCCCCAGGTAGACCTCCCACCAACAGCCATCTCCCACCCCTCTCTTCCTCTCTGCCTTGAAGCATACGGATTCATTGGTGAGCCAAGAGGGGCTTCCCATGTCTCCTTGTGGAAGCTGTGGGCATGTCCCTGGTATGTGCAGGTTGCTAGGGTGGTGGAGCTGACAGGAGGCCCCCCGTCTTCAGGTTGAAAACGAGGAGCTGAGGCACCTCATGTGGTCCTCGGTGGTGTTCTACCAGACCCCAGGGCTGGAGGTGACTGCCTGCGTGCTGCTCTCCACCAAGGCTGTGTACTTTGTGCTCCACGACGGCCTCCGCCGCTACTTCTCAGAGCCACTGCAGGGTAGGCACAGGGCCTGCTGGGGCTCAGGAGCTTGGAGTGTGTGGTTGGGGCAGGCCTGGGGGGTCATTCTCTGGAGCCAGCTGTGTGGCTTCAGGCAGCAGTCAGCGACTTGGCTGCAGTGGGCTGAGAGTTCCTTGTCTGAGGAAGGGAGCTGTCATGAGGGAGGGGTCCATGGCCAGATGTGAACGCAGAATGCACTGAGCCAGGGCCTGGTGACTGCTTGGGAACAGCCAGTGATGAGAAGGGGTTAGGCAGCCTTTGCCCCTGGGGCTGCACAGGAAGCCCTAGCCAGCGACCTGGTGACTCCCCTGAGCTGGAAGAGGCTCCGACTCCAGAGGGCATTGCCTATGGGGCTTTGCACGGGTGGAAGCCAGGCCAGCCAAGAGGACCTGTTCCTGCTGGATGTGCTGCACACCTAGGAACCTTGTGCTTGCCTGCCACCGCCTCCCTCTGTCCCTTTCTCCATCACACAGATTTCTGGCATCAGAAAAACACCGACTACAACAACAGCCCTTTCCACATCTCCCAGTGCTTCGTGCTAAAGCTTAGTGACCTGCAGTCAGTCAATGTGGGGCTTTTCGACCAGCATTTCCGGCTGACGGGTGGGTGACCCTCTGTGCTTTGTCCTATTTCGGGTGAAGGCCAGCATCACCAGTGGGCTTCCACCTTCCGTACGTGGGTGGGTTATCATAGACAGTTATCTCTGTGCTCAAGAGCCACTTCTTAACCGGGGTGGGAGGAAGCAGCTTCAGGAACTGCTGAGAGAGCAGAACTCACGCTCCAGGGCTCAGAGCAGGAGGTAGGGTGTGCGGCAAGCGCTGGCCCGGACAGAAGCAGAGTGGGCCCTGGTCTCGGGCAGGATGTTTCTGACTCACATTTCCTGAGGAGAGAAAGCTAAGCTCTTTGCCTAATGTCTCTGTCTCCCCTTCCAGAAAAATGCCTCAGCTCTTCCGGCCTGAAGGAATGGCCTCCTCCCGGGCCCCATGATTCTTTCCTGTGTGGGCCCTCCTGGCCCTGGCCTCTGGGCTGAGGCTTGCTAGGGACTCGGGGTGGCTCTAAGGGGCAGGGATAGGGCTGGGGAGCGCCGGCCTGTGGCCCTGACCAGCCCCTTCTCGTGCAGGTTCCACCCCGATGCAGGTGGTCACGTGCTTGACGCGGGACAGCTACCTGACGCACTGCTTCCTCCAGCACCTCATGGTCGTGCTGTCCTCTCTGGAACGCACGCCCTCGCCGGAGCCTGTTGACAAGGACTTCTACTCCGAGTTTGGGAACAAGACCACAGGTACCCCTGTCTAGCTCAGGCTGCAGACAGGCTGCCTGGACAGACGTCATGGGCCCCAGGGTGGCTCTCTGTGCCCCAGAACCCTCTCTGCCTCTATGTCTCTCTTTTCTCACTTAGCTGGCCAGGGTTTTATGTGGGGCTTTTCGATGGCAGAGTCTCCACTCCAGCAGTCCCTCAACCATCTGGCAGACACATCTCCAGTGCCTGCTTTGGGCTCCTGGCCTGTGGGCCCCACACTTGGAGCATCCTCTCCTGCCTGTCTCATGCCGGGGTCTCTCGGTTGGCTTGGGGCCCTTGGTGCTCCCAGCCCCACCAGGGGCCGGTTCCAGGCTATAGCCCAGGTGGCATCTCTCTGCAGGGAAGATGGAGAACTACGAGCTGATCCACTCTAGTCGCGTCAAGTTTACCTACCCCAGTGAGGAGGAGATTGGGGACCTGACGTTCACTGTGGCCCAAAAGATGGCTGAGCCAGAGAAGGCCCCAGCCCTCAGCATCCTGCTGTACGTGCAGGCCTTCCAGGTGGGCATGCCACCCCCTGGGTGCTGCAGGGGCCCCCTGCGCCCCAAGACACTCCTGCTCACCAGCTCCGAGATCTTCCTCCTGGATGAGGACTGTGTCCACTACCCACTGCCCGAGTTTGCCAAAGAGCCGCCGCAGAGAGACAGGTACCGGCTGGACGATGGCCGCCGCGTCCGGGACCTGGACCGAGTGCTCATGGGCTACCAGACCTACCCGCAGGCCCTCACCCTCGTCTTCGATGACGTGCAAGGTCATGACCTCATGGGCAGTGTCACCCTGGACCACTTTGGGGAGGTGCCAGGTGGCCCGGCTAGAGCCAGCCAGGGCCGTGAAGTCCAGTGGCAGGTGTTTGTCCCCAGTGCTGAGAGCAGAGAGAAGCTCATCTCGCTGTTGGCTCGCCAGTGGGAGGCCCTGTGTGGCCGTGAGCTGCCTGTCGAGCTCACCGGCTAGCCCAGGCCACAGCCAGCCTGTCGTGTCCAGCCTGACGCCTACTGGGGCAGGGCAGCAGGCTTTTGTGTTCTCTAAAAATGTTTTATCCTCCCTTTGGTACCTTAATTTGACTGTCCTCGCAGAGAATGTGAACATGTGTGTGTGTTGTGTTAATTCTTTCTCATGTTGGGAGTGAGAATGCCGGGCCCCTCAGGGCTGTCGGTGTGCTGTCAGCCTCCCACAGGTGGTACAGCCGTGCACACCAGTGTCGTGTCTGCTGTTGTGGGACCGTTGTTAACACGTGACACTGTGGGTCTGACTTTCTCTTCTACACGTCCTTTCCTGAAGTGTCGAGTCCAGTCCTTTGTTGCTGTTGCTGTTGCTGTTGCTGTTGCTGTTGCTGTTGGCATCTTGCTGCTAATCCTGAGGCTGGTAGCAGAATGCACATTGGAAGCTCCCACCCCATATTGTTCTTCAAAGTGGAGGTCTCCCCTGATCCAGACAAGTGGGAGAGCCCGTGGGGGCAGGGGACCTGGAGCTGCCAGCACCAAGCGTGATTCCTGCTGCCTGTATTCTCTATTCCAATAAAGCAGAGTTTGACACCGTCTGCATCTTCTAAACCAAGGGTCACTGGGATCCCAGCAGGGCTTCCGTCCAGGGCGTGGTCACATGGGGGAGGGAGGGTGCCCTGGAGACAGGAGGGTGAGGGGTTGGGGGAAAGGAAGGAGCAGCCCTCCAGGAGCCAGATGCTTCTTGGAACATGGGAGGCATGACAGGGCCATGGCCTCTCTGGACAGTGCCATGCTGGGCTGTGGCTAAACCATGAGCGCAGGGCAAACAAGAAACTCCTCAGGGCACCCCTGACACACCAGCCGCTGCCCCTCTGCCTGGGTGCGGGGCATGCCACCCTCTTCAGGCTGTCCTGCAGGTCTTATGTGTCAGTCACCCCTGGGCCCAACCCCACCTGTTTCACAACCCCTGTTGAGAGTGGGGGAGGGGCGAGGAGGACAGAGAGATCCCAGAGTCTGAGGTGGCTGGTGGGGGCCGGGGCATCTCACCAAGGTGGCCCTTGAATGGCAGCAGGGGAGGTCTGTGGGGAGGTGGACCCAGGTGGTGGACAGTGGAGGGAGGGGCACATACCCATCTGTGTCTGTCTTCATGTCCCTGAAACATGAGGCTCATGGGCCCCTCCCTGAGGGTTGCTTCAGGGAGCCTGCTGAGGTAGGACCTGGGATTTTGGTAGCCAACCCCATGCCACACTCTTCCCCAACCCCATTCCTGCTGCCAGAGCAGGGCCTATGAGCCCCACATAACTCATCCTGGCCCAGCCAGGAGCCTCAGTCCCCAGGACCTTGGGGCAGCCAGGCCAGGCAGGGCTGTGGAGAGGTGGGTGGCGTGGCCAGCCTGGGTCCCAGGCCTGCTTCTGTTCCCCCGTTTCCCTTGGTGCCAGCAGAGTGGGGGTCCTGCCTGGAGGACCCTTCACCCCCAGGAAGACTGTGGGTGTGGGGAATGTGGGGAGGGTTTCCCCTTGCAACCCCCATCCCAGCCAGATCTCAGGCCTGCCTGAAGGCCCCTCCAAACTGATGGGAGTGGAGGTGTGCTGGGGAGGAGAAACTTTCCCCAACCTGGCCTTTACCAAAGCATTTACAGATGGCCACCGGGCTCTGGCCCACTCCTGTCTCCCCAACTGTTACGCCGTCTGCAGTTGGGGGTAGTGACAACTGGAGGCAAGGCCCACCACGTGCAGCCCTGGCACGCAGAGGCCCTCAGCCTGGGCCCACTGCACCTCTTGGGGGTGCTGGCTGTGCAGGCAGTGGTGGCTTCAGACAGTAGCCCTGGGATTGGATATGAAAACTGATTACCTCAGACAAGCTACCCAGCCCCTCTGAGCCTCAGTTTCCCCACCAGTAACAGAGGGATCATAAAAGTAGCCACCTCCATTCATTTATTCCTTCTGCACACGTGTATTGAGCATCCACTGTGCGAATCAGCCAGACAGCGCCCCTACTCTTCCACAGCCAATGTTCCAGGGGAGACAAATGAAACAAGCCAATGTCAGCTGGTGGCTGGTGCTGCCAGGTGAACCAGGTGCAGGGCCACCTGCAGGCTGAGACCAGGGAGGCGCTCTGAAGTGGTGGCCCTTGACCTGAGACCACCTGTGAGAAGGAGCCAGAGTGTGACAATCTAGGGTAGCAGCACATGCCGGGAGAGCTCACTGAAGGAGCAGAGAGGCCTGCGCGGCTGGAGCAGACCTGTCTGGGGAGAGTTCAGAGAGACCAGCCAGCTGGAGAGGGGTTTGGAGGTGCTGCAGCAAGCTGGCTGAGCATGGGCTGCTGAGTGGAGGGCAGATAGGGAGGCAGGGAGGGTGGATGGGGGTTGGCGGGCAGGACCAGCGGCTCAGGAGTGGCTGGGGCTAGTGAGGGGATGTGGGTCTGGTGGGCTAGCAGGGTGCCTGTAGCGAGTCAGAGCCCCATGAGCGCCCTGGAGTTGGAAAGGTGGAGGCAGGAACAGACAGACCCATTCAGGGGCTGCCCTGCCTTCCGCCGACCAGCACCCCAGGAGCCTCTGAATGAAACACACTGGGCTCGCAGGCGGGGGACTCGTTCACGTGTGCCTTTGGATTTGCTTCAGAACCTCTGATAGAGCCCAGGTCCCGGGGCTCATGGTGGCCTGGACTTCCAGGTTGTGATGCCAGGAGGGTCCCAGCCGGGAAGCCCCGAGCAGGGCTCAGGCCGCCCATGGGGGGTCAGTGGCCAGCACCTTCCCTTCCGCCTGCAGGCTGCTGATATGCAGGAGGAAATCCTGGCGGGTTCCTGTGGGGGTGAGCTGGCGGGGCCTCCGGGCTGCTTTTAAGGCCACTGCCCGCCCCGTCCCGCCTGCCTGTGCTGTGCCTGCCTCCTAGAGCTCATTCCCTACGCCCCGACTCTGTCCTGGACAGCGTGCCCACCAGCCATGGCGGGGCCCCGGGGCCTCCTCCCACTCTGCCTCCTGGCCTTCTGCCTGGCAGGCTTCAGCTTCGTCAGGGGGCAGGTAAGTGTGAGCCAGTCGCAGGGGCACACGGCGTCTGGGCCCTGCCGGCCAGCGGTGGGAACAGGGAGGGACTGACATGGAGGGGCAGGGGCCTGGGGAGAAACCGCAGCTGGCGCCTGTCTGGCCTCTTAGCAGGCCTGGGGGCTGGCTATTGTGCCCACCTCCCCAGTCTGAGGTCTGCGTCCAGCCACCCAGGGTTCAGGGGTGTGTCAGCCCACCCTCCTCTGACTATGCGGGGCCGGGGCTCCCCAGCGTGCAGCTGAAGTGTACAGAGGCAGGCCTGTCCTGCCCTTCTGGCCCAGACGGAGGCCCAGGTCTTATGTGGCCCTCACCTGGGGGTTGAAGATGTGATCACCTCCAACCCCCGAGGACTACAGATTCACGTGGGGCAAGTGTGTGCACATGTGTGTGCCTGTGTCCAGCCCCAAGAGTACCGGGAAGCAGAATGAGTCACTCACCCTTAGTGTCCGGGGTTATGAGCAGCTGGCAAGGACACACTTCAGCCTCAGAGCTGCCACAGAGCAGCCACAGCCCCGGGCAGGTCCCCTTGAATCCTCACAGCCTCGGGGCAACTCCTCCTGTCCTCCTCGTGAGGAACCCGAAGCCCTAGGATGATGGGGACAGGCCATTCCCACTCTAAAGCCATGCTCCAAACCCCTGCCTGTGATGGCCATCCGTGTGTGCTGGCGAGCAGACAGGGTCCTGGTATGCAGCCACAGCCAGCCCCTCGGTCAGGTCCCTGTGACAGGCTCCTGGCTGCAGGTCTGCTCAGGCCCCATGGTAGGGGCCTCTGGGAGCTTCTGGAAGAGCCTCCCACCCTGGTGATGGGGGTAGTCTCTCTCCTGTGAGGCTGAGCGTGTCTGCCTCCTGGAGCAGCAACCACTATCCCCATGGCACAGATGGCCAGACTAAAGTCCAGAGCGGGGAGGACTTGCCCAGGATCCCACAGGCAGTCCAGCCAGGGGCCTAGGCCCCCTGCCACCATCAGGCGCTTTCTCTTGGATGCCTGTGGTCCCTCAGAGAGGCAGCAGGGAGAAGGGCCTCACCAGCTTCAGGACCAGGCCAGGGCTGGGGACAGGAAGATATGAGGCTGAGAAGGCGACAGTGATGGGGGAAGAGCCAAGGGTTCCAGGGCTGTGCTGAGAGCCCTGCAGGTAAGCTCCTGCCCTCCCCTTAACTCAGTTTCCCCCTGTGTACCATGCAAGGGAATTTCAAAGGCCTCCGCCACCTCCTCATGCTCTGGGCAGTGAGGACAGAGGTCAGTGAGGGGCCTCAGATTCGAGTTTTTTCCTTGTCAGAGACCTATGGCTCTGACCACTCCTTGTGGATGGGGCTGCAGCAGTGCTGGCCACTCTAACACAGCTACGTGGCCTCTATCCCAGCACCCTGCATAGCCGAGAGCCACTGTAAGTGCAGTTGGCCCTCTGTATCTGTGCACCCTGTACTTGGGTTCAACCAACCCTGGATTGAAAATATTCAGGAAATAAAATGGCATCTCTACTGAACATGTTCAGACTTTTTTTCTTTTGAGGTGGAGTCTCGCTCTGTAGCCCAGGCTGGAGGGCAGTGGCGTGATCTCGGCTCAGTGAAATCTCCACCTCCCAGGTTCAAGCGATTCTCCTGCCTCAGCCTCCCGAGAACTGGGATTACAGGCGCCCGCCACCACACCCAGCTAATTTTTGAATTTTTAGTTTCACCATGTTGACCAGGCTGGTCTGTAACTCCTGACCTCAGGTAATCCACCTGCCTCAGCCTCCCAAAGTGCTGGGATTACAGGTGTGAGCCACCGTGCCCAACCCCATGTTCAGACTTTTCTATGTACATAGCATTTACATTGTATTCGGTATTATAAGTCGTCTAAGGATGACTTAAGGTATACGGGAGGATGTGCATAGATTATATGTGAATTCGATGCCTTTTTTTTTTTTTTTTTTTTTTTGAGATGGTGTCTCTCTCTGTTGTCCGGGCTGCATTACAGTGGCGCTATCTCAGCTCACTGCAACCTCTGCCTCCCAGCTTCAAGGGATTCTCCTGACTCAGCCTCCCAAGTAGCTGGGACTACAGGCGCACACCACCACACTTGGCTAATTTTTGTGTTTTTATTAGAGACAGGGTTTCTCCATGTTAGCCAGCCTGGTCTCGAACTCCTGATGTCAGGTGATCTACCCTCTTCGGCCTCCCAAAGTGCTGGGATTACAGATGTGAGCCACCACTCCCAGCCTCGATTCCATTTTATACCAGGGACTTGAGCATCCACAGATTTTGGTATCTGAGGAGGGTCCTGGAACCAGTCCCCCATAGACACCAAGGAACAACTATATTAGGAGTGGAAGCTCTGAGGGGAAAGGATATCCCGGGTAACCTGTTCAGTAAGGGCAGCAACAGGACTGGAGTGAAGATGGGTTTGGGCAGCGAGGCAGGAAGGCTTTCCTGGAAGGCCCTTAGCACTTGCCCATTCAGCAGCTTTTCACCGAGGGCACGTGGCTAGGTGTGTGCAGTGGAGCCTGTGGCGGGAGAGGAGCACGGTCCAGAACCCAGCCCTGCACCCTCCCTGATCTGACCAAAGGTAGGGGGAAGCAGTTTGGGGTTCCTTCCTCTCTGACAGGGTTTAGATTCTGGGCTCTCAGCCTTAAAAAGTCCCCATGAACCAGGTCCCAGCTTGGGAGAATTTCATCCACCTTCTCACCAAAGACTTCACACTTCGTGTCTCCTCAACTTCCCCCAGCAGCAGCTCTGTGGGAAGCAGACATTGCAAAATCAGGTCTGCGGGGGGTGTGGGGTTGGGGGGGAGACAGCACCCGCTCTGGCTCAGTCCCGAGGTGCCCCCAGGAAGGAGGGAATCTGACTCAGCACTCAGGCCGTGATCCAGCCTCACTCCACCCAGCTGGACCAACGGCAAGATGTGGGCTCAGACCGCCGATGCTCCTTCCAGGCCATGGGGCGGAGGCAGGGCCCCTCGGCTGTGGTCTCGGAGAAGCACTGATGTGGCAGCAGGCTTACCATTCATCAGCATTTCACACACGTTTACAAACACCCAGGTCCTGTGAGTGAGTGTCCACACCAGGCCCCAAAGCTCCCGCTTCCTTCTGGGCCCTAACTCACCCATCGCTCCATCTAGCCCTGACTGTCTCAGAGTGCGACCAGCACAGTCTTACTCAGCCTGAGCCCTTATCCAGAGCTGACCACCATTCCTCCAAGAGCTGGTCCACAGCCAGAATGGTGACCGCGCTGGCAGCTTTGCCCAGCTGGCCAGGTGGCTTTGAGGGGAGCCCACCTCCTGCCAAGCCTCTACCCTGAGCCAGCAGCTGCTCAGCCCTCAAGTTACCCAATTTCCTAGTCTCTCCCTGGCTCAGCAAAGGCGAGCCTCAGGATGGGGAACGAGACCACAACATCCCAGCTCCGCCGTTCAACACAGGCTGCTCTGAGCAACTTCCCTGTTTGCAGACCGCAGAGGCATGAGCGGAAAAGGCCAAATCACGGTAGCACAGAGGCTCTGGGGCCCTGGTATTTGCCATAAGAAAGTGTCAGGGGCACCATTTCTCCTTTTCTCTTGCTTTGAGAAGCCACACATCTGTAAATTATTCCAGGAAAGGGATGTTCTGGGGTCACTCCCTTTGGACCACAGTGTGGTCAGCATTTTTCAAGATGAGAACATCTCCACTTCTCTGGGCCATGCCCAAAGCCTCCCAAACACCTCCCCTCCAACCTATGCCCCTTCCCTATGCCCCTTCCTCCCACTAGAACTGGGAGTTTAGCTTCACGCCTCCTGGTTCAGTGCTGAAGGTTGCTGGGACTTTGTTGCCGTAGAAGGCTGGTGGACTTCCAGGAGCTATGGCAGGCCAGTGAATGGGACTCCAGGCCTGGGGCTTTTGTCAGCATCCTTGTGCCCATGCCGTGGTGGCAGGCTGGACTCCTCACATCTTCCACGCCCCACCCAGTTGCTGAGACCTTCTCCCAATTCATCTCACCACCCCAAGCCCTCTCAAATATCTCCCAATCCATTTCCACTGTCCCTGCCTTGGCCCAGGCCACCTTCAGGTAATGATGGCCTCTTTCCCACCACACCTGCCCCTGCGACTGTATTCTCCATGCAGCAGCCAGAGGGCCAATTTAAAACAAACTGGCCGGCCGGGCGCGGTGGCTCACGCCTGTAATCCCAGCACTTTGGGAGGCCGAGGCGGGCGGATCACGAGGTCAGGAGATCGAGACCAACCCCGCTAAAACGGTGAAACCCCGTCTCTACTAAAAATACAAAAAATTAGCCGGGCGTAGTGGCGGGCGCCTGTAGTCCCAGCTACTTGGGAGGCTGAGGCAGGAGAATGGCGTGAACCCGGGAGGCGGAGCTTGCAGTGAGCCGAGATCCCGCCACTGCACTCCAGCCTGGGCGACAGAGCGAGACTCCATCTCAAAAAAAAAAAAAAAAAAAAAAAAACTGGCCAGGCACAGTGGCACATGCCTGTAGTCCCAGCTACTCGGGAGGCTGAGGCAGGAGGATCGCCTGAGCCCAGGAGTTCAAGATTACAGTGAGCTAGGGTCACACCACTGCACTCCAGCCAGGGCGACACAGCGAGACCCTTTCTCAAAGACAAAAAACCATAAACTGAGTCATGGGGCTGCCCTGGACTCTGCCTCACCCAGGTTTACGGAGCTCCTGCACCCCAGCTGCCAGCCCCTCTCCAGCCTCCCCTCGGGCCACTGCCTGCCTTGTCACACATTTGTTTTTACTTCTTTCCACTCCCGGCCTTTGCTTCTGCTGTCCCCTAGGCCAGGAGCACTGTCCTTGACCAATTCTCATGCATCCTTCAGGTCCCAAGTCAATGACCACCTCCCTCAGGAAACCACCTGGGGCCCCAGCCAGGATGCCCTGGGTTTCCTCAGAGGCTGGCATGGCCCGTTGTCTCCTGTGACTGCCCAGCCCAAACACTTGCAGACCAGAGTCCCTGCACACAGCTGCTCACGTGAGCCCAGCCTCTCAGGGCCAGGGCCCTTAGTCTCTGATTCCTGGGCAGCGGAGAAAGCCCTTGCGCTTGGTTAGAGAGGGTCATTTGGTAGCAACGTGGGAAAATGCTCAGAGCAGAGTGGTGGCTGGAGGTCCAGCCCCACGGTGCATGGCTGGAGCCGGCATCGTGCCTGTGCCCATGAGTTGAGGATGGAGTCGCCGTGTCCTCCCAAGACAGCATCAGCTCTGTCATTTATTGTTTCTTTATCTTTAAACAAAAGGCAAAAGTGAGCACTAGGCTGGGAATCTGGGTTTAGTCCCTGGTTCACACCCTGTTCATGGATGAGATTGGGTAGCGGCCATGTCCTGGGCTTCAGTTTTCTCACCTGAAATGGGCTTGGGGGAGCAACGTGGCTAGATTCTCTAGTGTCAGAGGGTGTGGACTCAGAGCCTTCTGGGCCGGGCACATAAGGACTCGATGTGACATTAACAACTTGTAACAGACAGGTTTCACAGGGCCTTCCCCATCTGCACTGCATTCCCACTGAGCGCCCCCAGGGCATTCTGTGGACCCCCAAAGAACTCAGCTCTGTGCCCAGAACCCTCTGCTTACTCTGACCCCTGAGCAGATGGGAAGTGGCAGCTGGAGGGGTGTGAGCCCTTGCAGCACTGAGGACAGGGTCAGGACTGGGCGTGGGGTCCAGGCCCCTGACCACACCCTGCCTGTGGCCCCAGGTGCTGTTCAAAGGCTGTGATGTGAAAACCACGTTTGTCACTCATGTACCCTGCACCTCGTGCGCGGCCATCAAGAAGCAGACGTGTCCCTCAGGCTGGCTGCGGGAGCTCCCGGATCAGATAACCCAGGACTGCCGGTGCGGGCCACCCCTGTCCTTGCCTGTGTCCAGGAGCATCCTGTGGGGTGGCAGGGACTCGGGGAGCCTGACAGGCCCACAAAATGAGGAGAAGCACTCACTTATCCATGCCCCTGTGGCCCCACCTGGGTGGTGGAGATAGGCGGGGAGGAAGGGGTAAAGGCGAGGGGCAGGAGGGGTTTATGGGGCACCTGCTATGTGCTAGGCCCTGTGCTCAGCTCTGGGCCAGGCAGAGCAGGGAGGTGGGTGGGAGCCCCGGAAGCCAATGTGGGGAGGCTGGGTGGGGGCTGTGCAAGGGAGCCTTTTCCATCACCCTGCCCACCCTCTGCCCCCAGCTACGAAGTACAGCTGGGGGGCTCTATGGTGTCCATGAGCGGCTGCAGACGGAAGTGCCGGAAGCAAGTGGTGCAGAAGGCCTGCTGCCCTGGCTACTGGGGTTCCCGGTGCCATGGTATGGGAGAAAGGGGGACCCCGCCTTGCGCCTCCCACCCAGCCCCAGCTCTGGGCAAGCCCTCTGCAGGAGCCACCTGCATTCCCCTTCAACTTGTTTGTTTAATTAATACTCACCGAGCGCCTCCAAGGCTCGGCCCCCTTGCTCTTGCTTCCTTGGGGGAGGGGCCGAGTCTGGGGTTGGCCAGAGCTGCTGGGGTCAGGGTAAGCGGAGGGTTCTGGGCACAGAGCTGAGTACTGTGGGGGTCCACAGAATGCCCTGGGGGCGCTGAGACCCCATGCAATGGCCACGGGACCTGCTTGGATGGCATGGACAGGAATGGGACCTGTGTGTGCCAGGTAAGGGCTGGGCAAGGTGGGGTGGAGGCTCAGAGGGGCCACGCTGACTTGGTGCATCCACCACCAGGAAAACTTCCGCGGCTCAGCCTGCCAGGAGTGCCAAGACCCCAACCGGTTCGGGCCTGACTGCCAATCGGGTGAGTGCTTAAAAGGCAAGAGGGCACGGCCAGCGTCCACCTGGGGGCCCACGCAGATGCAGTACCTACAACCAGCTCCCACCTGTCCCTTCAGCCTCTGTCCCAGCCCCTCAGATTTGCACATCCCTTTCAGGAACATGTGCTTTGTTTTATCACACCTCCAGCCCTTTGCACATGCTACTCCCCTGAGAGGCCTTCTCCAGGAAGCCCTCTGTGAGCCCCAGGCCGGGCCAGTGCCTTCTGTGGTCTCCCACCACCCCTGTGGTCCCGCATCACAGCTCTGTACTCTTAAGGTTGTACCTGCCCGAGCTGAGTTCTAAAAATACAGAGAGCAGGGACCCGATGTCCCAGTGTGTGCCTGGGAGAGGCTGGGGCCCCATCTGTCTCTGTGTGTCCCTCCCAGTGTGCAGCTGTGTGCACGGAGTGTGCAACCATGGGCCACGTGGGGATGGAAGCTGCCTGTGCTTTGCTGGATACACTGGCCCCCACTGTGATCAAGGTGAGCAGCGCCACTGGGATAGCCTAGGGCAGCAGGTCCCTGTGGCCAGAGCAAAAGAGGCCGACTGGGTGAGGATGGGGCCTGAGCCTCAGCAGGACCTCCGCCTGGAGCCTAGTTGGGGAAGGGGTGTCATCTGAGACCTCCACTGTCCAGAGGCCCAGCAAGGTCAGGGCCCTGCTCCAAGTCACACAGAACAGGCAAGGCCCCTTTGCCCCTGTGTTCCTCCCCAGCCTGGGCTTGGGCTCATCAGTGCTCTCTCCACTCTGCGCAGAGCTGCCCGTCTGCCAGGAGCTGCGCTGTCCCCAGAACACCCAGTGCTCCGCAGAGGCTCCCAGCTGCAGGTGCCTGCCCGGCTACACACAGCAGGGCAGTGAATGCCGAGGTGAGCCTGGACTCAGAGGCCAGGGACTTCAGCTCAGGGCGGGCGGGGGCTGGGAGAGCATCCTTTAACCCAGCAAGTGCAATGTAATTCACAAGGAGGGAGAGCCATTCCTAAGGGGAGCCTATCCTCAAGGCCTAGGTCAACCTGCTGGCCCCGGCCTTCCTGGTGAAAGCTGTGGCGGAGACAGGGCTCCTGGGTGCTTGGCTCACTTGGGCTCTCTCTCTGCCCTGGCAGCCCCCAACCCCTGCTGGCCATCACCCTGCTCACTGCTGGCCCAGTGCTCGGTGAGCCCCAAGGGGCAGGCTCAGTGTCACTGCCCTGAGAACTACCATGGCGATGGGATGGTGTGTCTGCCCAAGGACCCATGCACTGACAACCTTGGTGGCTGCCCCAGCAACTCTACTTTGTGTGTGTACCAGAAGCCGGGCCAGGTGAGCCAGGGTCCCAGGCCGGAACTGTCCCCACAGTGCACCCAAACACTGGCTATGGGACCCTGGGCAAGTCACAGGCCTTCTGGTAGCCTCAGTTTCCCCACTTGTAAAGTGGGGAGAGGATAAGGGTCCTCTTCAGGGAGGGGCTGAGCAGGGCTCTATGGGTAGGGCAGACACCAGTGGTTCTTGGGGTTGGACGTGGTGTTCCCCTCCTGCCCTGTCGGGGGCCAGGCCTTCTGCACCTGCCGGCCAGGCCTGGTCAGCATCAACAGCAACGCTTCTGCGGGCTGCTTCGCCTTCTGCTCCCCCTTCTCCTGCGACCGGTCTGCCACTTGCCAGGTGACCGCTGATGGGAAGACCAGGTGAGCACAGGTGCCTGGGAGCAGAGACAGTGGGTTGGGCAAGCGTGCCCTCTGCGGGAAGGCGTGGGGGGTGCGGTGGGGGGGGCCTCAGCCTCCGCCCTGACTGGCTCTCCCTGGGAGCCCAGCTGTGTGTGCAGGGAAAGCGAGGTGGGGGATGGGCGTGCCTGCTACGGACACCTGCTCCACGAGGTGCAGAAGGCCACGCAGACAGGCCGGGTGTTCCTGCAGCTGAGGGTCGCCGTGGCCATGATGGGTGCGTGACCCCACTGCTTGCCCACGACCCGACCCCTCACCCCCAGCACAGTTGGCAGGGAGGGAGGAGCTGCCTCTGCAGATTCCAGTTTCTCTGCCCAGGGCTGTGGGAACAAACAGGTGGCTGTGGGGGGTGCATGCAGGGGGTGGGAGCTGCTCTCCAACCTCAAGGCCCCCATCTACCCTAAATCTAGGGAGAATACCCCCACCCCAACTCCCCCACACCAGGTCTGATGCCCGAACATCTTCTGAGATCCCCAGAGTCTCCCCAGCTCCCTTCTGATGCTCCCTCACCCTGCCCCCCAGACCAGGGCTGCCGGGAAATCCTTACCACAGCGGGCCCTTTCACCGTGCTGGTGCCATCCGTCTCCTCCTTCTCCTCCAGGACCATGAATGTAAGCCCCTCCCCATGGTGGAGCTGGCCACTGGCCCTCACCTCCTCCCCTGGATGCATCCCCAGTCTTCAGGGCCACCTGGAAGGCATCAGGGCCTGGGATGCATCCTGTCCCCTCCATTGCTGGGTAGAGGTGGTGTGAAGAGGACTGGCCCCCCGGCTCACTTTGCTCCCCGCCTTGCGTCTGCAGGCATCCCTTGCCCAGCAGCTCTGTAGACAGCACATCATCGCAGGGCAGCACATCCTGGAGGACACAAGGACCCAACAAACACGAAGGTGGTGGACGCTGGCCGGGCAGGAGATCACCGTCACCTTTAACCAATTCACGGTGAGGGAGGAGCCTCAGCCTGGGGACAAGAGGAGTCACAGCCTGGCAAGGGTGTGCAGGTGGGAGGGAGCCTCCGGACAGGGGGCTGGCATATGGGATCTGGCCAGACCTCTTGTGTCTCACCAGAAATACTCCTACAAGTACAAAGACCAGCCCCAGCAGACGTTCAACATCTACAAGGCCAACAACATAGCAGCTAATGGCGTCTTCCACGTGGTCACTGGCCTGCGGTGGCAGGCCCCCTCTGGGACCCCTGGGGATCCCAAGGTGAGCCAGCATCCTCCCCTCCCCTCCCCTGTGCTGCTGGGTAATCTCAGACCCCTGCAGAGAGCAGTGAGTGGGCAGGAGCCATTCTACTCAGGGCTGGAGCGCAGCTTCTCCCCGCTGGGCTGAAGCAGCCTCACCCCTTCCCTGGGGCCCTCACACTCATCCCTCCTTACAGAGAACTATCGGACAGATCCTCGCCTCTACCGAGGCCTTCAGCCGCTTTGAAACCATCCTGGAGGTAAGCTCGGGGGAGGGGTCCTAGCCCATGTGGGCTTCTGGGCTTCTGAGCCAGGACTCATTATCCCAGATTCTGCCCCACAGTGACCTGGGGTTCTGAAGTAGCATGGCCTCTGCCCATGCCCCCGTCCTCAAGCCTGAGGTTCTGTGGTAGCATGGACCCATTGCCCATGTCTCCCCCTTACTCAGTGGGAGTTTCCTGCAGGCCAAAGGTGGCAGGGCCCAGGCAGGACTCAGAGGTGGAGGCTGGCCATGCAACCCCCTGAGCCTCCCTTGCACCACCACAGAACTGTGGGCTGCCCTCCATCCTGGACGGACCTGGGCCCTTCACAGTCTTTGCCCCAAGCAATGAGGCTGTGGACAGCTTGCGTGACGGCCGCCTGATCTACCTCTTCACAGCGGTAAGCTCAGCGGGAGAAGGGGCTGCGGGTATGGGGGCACCAGGACCTCCACGCTCCCCCACAGTTCCTCCAGGAGCCAAACCCTCTCTCTCCCCTGCCAGGGTCTCTCTAAACTGCAGGAGTTGGTGCGGTACCACATCTACAACCACGGCCAGGTGCGAGGTCTTTTTCTGGGGGGCGGCCAGCTTGTACCCGGTGGGCCTGCCTGCAGGTTCTGGACTTCCCCAAGGCCCCATCTCTTCTCCATCTCCCTTCCCTTCTCATCTGTTCTGCTATAGCACAGAGCCTAGGGACCAAGGGGGTGGCTGTGAGCCTCCTGGGCAGGACTGGGCGTGGCCCCAAGGTATGGCCAGAGCCCAGCCTAAAGCCACACTGTCCCTTGCCCCAGCTGACCGTTGAGAAGCTCATCTCCAAGGGTCGGATCCTCACCATGGCGAACCAGGTCCTGGCTGTGAACATTTCTGAGGAGGTGAGGTGCACGGACACCTGGGCGGATGGTGGGGCTGGCGGTGACCAGCTGCCCACTTGGCCTCTCAGCCTTGTGTGCTCCGAGCCCCGTGGTGGGCAGGACACTGCTAGGCCATGGCGGGCTCATGGGGAAGGAAGCAGGCAGAGATCAAATTCCTCTGCTGGGGCCCAATGAGAGTTAAGGGGGAGGACTCCAAAAAGGAGCATGGAGCACACGGTAGGGCTGCCCCATGTGGCAGAAGCCATGTGGGTAAGGACCCGCAGCCTGGAGCAGTGTCGTTGGCCAGAGCTGAAGGAGAGGTGGCTGGTATGGCCAGCGGGGCCTTCAGCAGCTCACTGAGCTGCCTGTCTGCTCTAACTGGGCTGCAGGGGTGGAGGTGGGCAGCCCCACCGGGCCAAGGCCAGCCAGGCTGGGGGTTGGCTCAGTGGGTCTCTGCCGCAGGGGCGCATCCTGCTGGGACCCGAGGGGGTCCCGCTGCAGAGGGTAGACGTGATGGCCGCCAATGGTGTGATCCACATGCTGGACGGCATCCTGCTGCCCCCGACCATCCTGCCCATCCTGCCCAAGCACTGCAGCGAGGAGCAGCACAAGATTGTGGCGGTGAGCCTCGCCTGCACGGCCAGGGCCCTACTCACTAACCCCTGTCAGCGCTGGAGCGGCAATCCTCTTCCCAGGGAGAGGCGCTAAGTCAGGGCTGGGCTGACGCCGGCTCTGAGGCCCTGCTGGCAGACTCCCAAGGACCCACCTGTGCTTCCCCCACGCTCACCCTCACCAGGACTATGATTCCATCTTTGAGATTTGTTTTGTTTTTTGAGGTAGGGTCTTGCTCTGTCGCCTAGGCTGGAGTGCAGTGGCACAATCCCAACTCACTGTAGCCTCCGCATCCTGGGTTCAAGCGATTCTCCTGCCTCAGCCTCCCGAGTAGCTGGGATTACAGGTGTCCGCCAACATGCCTGGCTAATTTTTGTATTTTTAGTAGAGATGGGATTTCACCATGTTGGCCAGGCTGGTTTCAAACCTCTGACCTCAGGTGATCCGCCCACCTCGGCCTCCCAAAGTGCTGGGATTACAGGCATGAGCCACTGAGCCTGGCCTGAGATAACTCTTGCATCCTCCACCGCTCCATCCCCTTTCACTCACTCTGTGCCTGCCTCTGGCCTCTCTGCTGTTTTCCAGAGACTCTAGCTCTGCCCGGCTCGGGGCCTCTGCCCCTGCTCTCCTCTGCCTGGAATGCCAGTGCTGGGCTTCCTGTGGTTGGCTCTTCTCATCCCTTAATCCCCACTCAATGTTCCCTTCTCTGGGTTTGCCGAGTAAATAAACAATGACTAACCCCTCTCCCCATCCTGCCCCTGCCCTGCCCAGGGCTCCTGTGTGGACTGCCAAGCCCTGAACACCAGCACGTGTCCCCCCAACAGTGTGAAGCTGGTGAGCACACCTTGGCCCAGCTCTCAGGGCCTCCTGACTGCCTGTTGAGGTTTCTGCCCTGGGTCACAGGGGTGGGTGGGGGAAGCAGAGGCTGGGAGGCTAGATCACACCTGGAGGCTAAGTGCTTCGCAGCCCCACTGGACCAGGGTTAGAGTTCTGGACCCAGGGGGCAGAGGTCCCTTAACCAGGGCTGCCTAGCAAAGGGGCTGGCCCAGAACCCACACCCACTGACTGGCTTTGCATGGCCCACCCTAGGACATCTTCCCCAAGGAGTGTGTCTACATCCATGACCCAACGGGGCTCAATGTGCTAAAGAAGGGCTGTGCCAGCTACTGCAACCAAACCATCATGGTAAGCGTGGGCATGGGTGCCCACTCCCAGGTCACCTGGGCACCTGCTGTTCCTCGGGGGCCCCCAAGCTGGGGCTGAGTGGGCTCCCTCCCTCAGAGGATGCACTGCAGCCTGACGGTGGAAAAGGGGTCCCAGAGAAACCTTATCCACTCCGTCACTCTGGAGATGGGGCCAGGGAGCAGAGGCAGCCTGGGCAGGGAGGGCATGGACCCAGATGGCCTCTTGGACCTGTTCTGTCTCTTATAGGAACAAGGCTGCTGCAAAGGTTTTTTCGGGCCTGACTGCACGCAGTGTCCTGGGGGCTTCTCCAACCCCTGCTATGGCAAAGGCAATGTGAGTCCCATCCTCTCCTGGGGTGAGGTATGGGGAACACAAGGACTCCTTCACCGGTTGGCCAGTGACTGGCTGTGTGTCTGGGCCAAGCCTGCCACTCTGGCCTTGGGATTCTCATATCTATGCAGTGGAAAGTTGGATCAAATTATTTCTCATATTTTAATTAAAAATAATTAGAGAGGCCAGGTGCAATGTCTCATGCCTGTAATCCCAGCACTTTGAGACGCTGAGGCGGGCAGATCACTTGAGGTCAGGAGTTCAAGACCAGCCTGGTCAACATGGCAAAACCCTGTCTGTACTAAAAATACAAAAATTAGCCTGGTGTTATGGCACACACCTGTAATCCCAGCTACTCAGGAGGCTGAGGCAGGAAAATCACTTGAACCTGGGAGGCGGAGGTTGCAGTGAGCCAAGATTGCACCACTGCACTCCAGCCTGGGCAACAGAGTGAGATTCCATCCCAAAATAACAATAATAATAATAATAATAATAATAGATAGATAGATAGATTTTTTGGCATTTATTTCCAAAAAGGCTACTTGGTGGTTTTCTTTTGTGTTCTGTTTTTACCACTTTGTAATATCACGGTTACTTTAGCACCTGGCTATAGAAGAACACAGGAGTTATGTGTTTCTGCATCCAGCAAATGTTGCTCATAAAGCCTCCAGGGCCAGGTGCCTTTTAGGGGCTAGGTCTTTGGCGGCATCAGTGATTTTGAAGATCCCTTCCAGGATGAGCTCTCACGGGTAGCAAGAGCTCAGAGCCAGCCCATGAAAGGAGGGGGTGTTGGGAGAGGGGATGTAGAGAGTCCCTTTCCCATGACTGATCCTGCCTTCTGCTCACTCTCTAGTGCAGTGATGGGATCCAGGGCAATGGGGCCTGCCTCTGCTTCCCAGACTACAAGGGCATCGCCTGCCACATCTGCTCGAACCCAAACAAGCATGGAGAGCAATGCCAGGAAGGTGGGTGGTCCTGGCTCAGGCCACCTCCTAGGGAGAAAAAACGTCTGCCTAAAGATGGGTCTGGGGGCTCTCAAGAAGGGAAACGAAGCCCCAGGAGGAGGGACGAAGGCCAAGGGGAGTGGAGGAAGATTTGCCTAAAAATGGGTCTGGGGGCTCTCAAGAAGGGAAACGAAGCCCCAGGAGGAGGGACGAAGGCCAAGGGGAGTGGAGGAAGATTTGAGAACAGAAAGGAGATGCTGTCTGCTTCACCCAGGCCAGGAAGGGAACTGTGGCTTAAAGTATGCGGGACTTAGGTCAGACACACTGAAGAACTTCCTGATGGTGGTGTTGGGATCAGGGCAACTAGAATGGGATAATTGAAAGCTCAGAATGCCCCCCTCACATTTCATCTGCCTGCCCATTGAGTCTGAGATAACCTCTGATTTTTCCACCCTGAAGTCAAATCTGTACTGGCTGCCCCACTCCCTATATCCCCCAAACCCATCCTGGCTCCCAGCCAGCCCTGCCTCCTGCTTCTCAGTTTCCTTGCTCCCATCTACTCCATACAGACTGCGGCTGTGTCCATGGTCTCTGCGACAACCGCCCAGGCAGTGGGGGGGTGTGCCAGCAGGGCACGTGTGCCCCTGGCTTCAGTGGCCGGTTCTGCAACGAGTCCATGGGGGACTGTGGGCCCACAGGGCTGGCCCAGCACTGCCACCTGCATGCCCGCTGTGTTAGCCAGGAGGGTGTTGCCAGGTGAGGACCCACACCTTCTGTCTGCCCCACCCGTGACCTTTCATACCTGAGGCTCACTGGAGCCCCCTCCTTCACCCACCCCCAGATGTCGCTGTCTTGATGGCTTTGAGGGTGATGGCTTCTCCTGCACACCTAGCAACCCCTGCTCCCACCCGGACCGTGGAGGCTGCTCAGAGAATGTCAGTCCCCTTGCTCCTTCCCTGAAGTTCTGACCCAGAGGCAGGAGGTGGGATGCCCTGGCCCTCTGCCTACGTTCTTGTGTCCCTCAGTTATTTATCCATGGCTCTCACAGGCTGAGTGTGTCCCTGGGTCCCTGGGCACCCACCACTGCACATGCCACAAAGGCTGGAGTGGGGATGGCCGCGTCTGTGTGGCTATTGACGAGTGTGAGCTGGACATGAGAGGTGGCTGCCACACCGATGCCCTCTGCAGCTATGTGGGCCCCGGGCAGGTGAGGTGCAGCAGAGAAGGGGTGGGGGCCTTGGTTCTGGGGGACTCTCTCCCTGCCCCATCTGACTCCTGGAATGCAGAGTCAGGTGCTCAGGGTCTGGAGCCTCAGGTGCAGATGAGAACCCAGTGCTGACATGCTGAGTAGTAGCATCTGGGATTCGCTCCTTCATCCATTGGCTCATTGCTTTCCCAGGTGTTTTCAGGCACCTATTCCATGCTAGTCCGTGTTCTAGATGTAGGGAATGTGATACTGAGCAAAGCAGGAAAAGCCCCTGCCCGTGGGAGTGACCTCCCCAAAACTTTAGCCTCATGGAAATCCAGCCCCGGAGCTTTGCAGTGTCTGAATCTAGTCACGGGAGCTCGGAACCTGGAGCCTTCCATGTGGAGCATTTCAGGACTGGTGAACCAGTGTTTGGACAGGCATTGAAGACTGTCTAACGCGCCAAGTGGGAGGCCAGGCCTGGCTGGTCAGGGTCAGCCTCTGCATGGCCAGGCCTGTGGGGCTCCCTGTCCTCCCAACTCCAAGGTGGCCTCTGGGCACCAGCACGTGGGGCCTTAGCAGTAAGAACTGACAGGTGTAAGAGCTGGAGCTCCAAACCCCATTAGGGCCTTAATTCAGAACAGAGGTGTTGAATGAGCCAGTGAGATGCTCCCAACGTGCAAACAAGGGCACCTGAGAGCTGAGGGGTCTCGCTGGTCACTCACCTGCAGTGTAGACAAGCCCAGGGACACTGGCATTTGGTTGGGGGATTAGAGCAGCTGAGTAGGGTGGCAGGGGTGGAGGTGGGATCTAAGCCACTATCCTGGGGCTGGCCTTGGCAGGTACCTACACACTTGCCACAAGCTGTTGGCCTCAATGGCCCTGGCAGGGCCCCAGGCTCCAAGTGCAGGAGCACCAAGTCTCCACGGATGCTTCTCTGCAAATGCTCTCACCTCCGTGGACTCATCCTGAGAGCCAGTCTCCCCTTAGGGCCTCTGTCTCCCCATCTGGAGCACAGATCTCTGAGAGGAGGGCTGGGAGAAGTTCCTCTGGGGTCTGGGCAGACCTCCCTGGGGGCAGTGACCAGAGAGAGCCAAGTAATGGAGGAAGAAAGGGTTGGATGCTCATCATGAGACAAGGCCGTCTGTTCCTAACCTTTCCAGAGCCGATGCACCTGCAAGCTGGGCTTTGCCGGGGATGGCTACCAGTGCAGCCCCATCGACCCCTGCCGGGCAGGCAATGGCGGCTGCCACGGCCTGGTAAGGGGGTGCAAGGCTCAGAGCCCTGGGGAAGCTTTCTGGGGTGAGCCTGGGCTGCAGCTCTCTCCCTCCCTCCCCATCTCTGGGTGTCTCTCTGTACCCCCTCAGGATTAAGATCTTTCTAAACTTCAAATCCAACCATGTCACTCCTCTCCCCCTTCACCCGCCCCTGCCCAGCCTCGTCTCTCTGTTCCACTCCTGCCCCACTTCCACTGTCCTTGGCTACGCTGAGCTCCTCACCATCCCCTGCCCTTGCTCCACTGTACCACACTCCTGCTTCTGCAAGCTGCACCTGGGCCTGGCTAGCTCCTCCTGCTCTCAGCTCTGGCTCCTGGGGATACGGGCCTCCTGGGTCCTCCCACAGCCCTGAGCTCCCTCGCATCCACCTGGCATGGGTAATGCTTGTGTCAAATGCCCAGTGTCCTGGAGAGCAGGGCTAGGCACACCGAAGGAGTGCCACCAACACAGACTGGGTGGCTGCAGAGCAAGGGGCAGGGGCTGGGGCTGGGTGGCTGGACAGGCAGAAAGATGGGGGAGGGAGGGGCCCAGCTGCCATCTGGTTCTGAATGGAGGCCCTTTCTCACTCCCACCCCAGGCCACCTGCCGGGCAGTGGGGGGAGGTCAGCGGGTCTGCACGTGCCCCCCTGGCTTTGGGGGTGATGGCTTCAGCTGTTATGGAGACATCTTCCGGGTAAGGGGTGCTCAGACTCGTTTTCTGTCTTCCCCGTGCTTGGGAAGGAGCCCTCTCCAGCACCTCAGGTGGGAAAGGGGCACTGCTCAGGATCCATGGTGGGGAAGGGGCTTGAATTTGCCCCTGGTCCTGTGACCTCAGACTTTTCCCTTCCCTTAGGAGCTGGAGGCAAATGCCCACTTCTCCATCTTCTACCAATGGCTTAAGGTAGGACAGGGCAGAATGCTGGGGTTGAGGGCTCAAATCCAGGAGGCCTGCCTGGATGGAGGGGTGCCATATAACATCTCCAAGCGTGGGAGGTTGGGGGCAGGGCTGGAGCCTAGAGCAGGGGATCTGAAGATGATGGCTGCCTTCCTCGCTCCTCCCGCCCCTGCTCCCTGTGTGCGTGCAGAGTGCCGGCATCACGCTTCCTGCCGACCGCCGAGTCACAGCCCTGGTGCCCTCCGAGGCTGCAGTCCGTCAGCTGAGCCCCGAGGACCGAGCTTTCTGGCTGCAGCCAAGGACGCTGCCGAACCTGGTCAGGTGGGGCCGCCATTGCCAGGCTGTGGGAGGGGCTTCCTTGAGGGACCCAGTCCCTCCCCAGCGAGTCCTCAGCCTGGCAGGCACTCACCCCTTGGGGTGGGCCCAGCCCCAAAGGTCTCTGTAAGTTACACTAACCTGATTCCATGACCCCCCTAAACTGTGCCCTGTCAGGGCCCATTTTCTCCAGGGTGCCCTCTTCGAGGAGGAGCTGGCCCGGCTGGGTGGGCAGGAAGTGGCCACCCTGAACCCCACCACACGCTGGGAGATTCGCAACATTAGTGGGGTATGTGGTGAACTCTGGGCAGAAAAGGGGACCAGGTAGGGCATGGGAGGGAGCCTGAGTGGCTGCAGGCTCTCCCACATCAGGGGCCCCATGGGATGAGATTGGGGTCCCCTCGCCCTGCCCAGAGCCGGGCTCAAAGGATGTGCTCAGGACGCATTGCTGATGGACACTGAGTCGCTGGGCCAGGAGTGACTGCCTGCAGGGGCTCTCTGTCCATCTCAGTCTGCACATGCACACCCGCCCCTGTCACCACGGGCCCTGGGGAGGGTCTGTGTGCCCAGCTGGTGGGTCCTGAGTCTGACTCAGGATCAGAGTCAGCTCCTGGGAGGAGCTTCTGTGCAGAACCCAGCTTGTGGGCCAGCCTGCGGACCACCTGTGGGTGCCTGTGTGCCTGGCAGTCTCTCTGTTGGGGCTGCCCCACCTTTAAGGGTCTATCTGTGCCCACCTGTGGCTAAGCTCTGCTGCTGCCTTCCAGAGGGTCTGGGTGCAGAATGCCAGCGTGGATGTGGCTGACCTCCTTGCCACCAACGGTGTCCTACACATCCTCAGCCAGGTACAGCAGGAGGAGGGTGTGTGCAGGGAAACTTGCAGGCAGGCCGTGAAGCAATGACATACTGACCAGGCCCTGTGCTCTGTACCAGGTCTTACTGCCCCCCCGAGGGGATGTGCCCGGTGGGCAGGGGTTGCTGCAGCAGCTGGACTTGGTGCCTGCCTTCAGCCTCTTCCGGGAATTGCTGCAGGTACGGAAGGCTGGCAAGAGGGGATGTGCCTGCTCGGGGGACACTGTGCCCCAGGTCCAGAGGGACCTGGCTGGCTCCCAGTGTCAGGACTGACAACTAATATGCCCATCCCTGACCTCCACCCCATCCCTAGCACCATGGGTTGGTGCCCCAGATTGAGGCTGCCACTGCCTACACCATCTTTGTGCCCACCAACCGCTCCCTGGAGGCCCAGGGCAACA
Source organism: Homo sapiens (assembly GCF_000001405.40). Taxonomy (NCBI): domain Eukaryota; kingdom Metazoa; phylum Chordata; class Mammalia; order Primates; family Hominidae; genus Homo; species Homo sapiens. Next base: position 52,514,203 of record NC_000003.12, read on the forward strand.
GCAGTCACCTGGTGAGGCCGTGGGGATGGGGCAATGGCAGGGAGGGCAAAGGCATAGAGGGCGAGCCTCCAATCCCACCACGAAGGGACACAGTGGGTGTGGCGTGCTGTCCAGGGCACTTGGTTATCCTGCAGTCCCCTGGGTTCTCTCCTTCTCTTCCAGGACGCAGACACAGTGCGGCACCATGTGGTCCTGGGGGAGGCCCTCTCCATGGAAACCCTGCGGAAGGGTGGACACCGCAACTCCCTCCTGGGCCCTGCCCACTGGATCGTCTTCTACAACCACAGTGGCCAGGTTTGGGGGTCAGGGAGCAAGGAGACCCTAGCCCGGGCCCCTACCCCTGAAGATCCCTTCCCTTTGGAGTTTCCCTAGCTGTGAGCCTCCAACCTCTAACCTCTGCTCCAGGGAGCCCCCCGGCCCTGGAGTACTGCCTGACCTTACAGCCCTGCCAGGTGAGGGTGGTAGGTGGGTGGATTCAGCCTCCATCCCTCTCCCCAGCCTGAGGTGAACCATGTGCCACTGGAAGGCCCCATGCTGGAGGCCCCTGGCCGCTCGCTGATTGGTCTGTCGGGGGTCCTGACGGTGGGCTCAAGTCGCTGCCTGCATAGCCACGCTGAGGCCCTGCGGGTGAGAGGCTGGGGCCACAGGAAGGCCGGCACGGGAGTTCAGAGCTGGGAGGGCCTAGCTGACCTGACTAGTGGGGAGGGGCGCATGGTCAGTCTGTCCTGGAGGAAGGGCAGGGATCCAGGCCTGGACTGCCTGATGCCCCACCCTTTTTCCCTCTAGGAGAAATGTGTAAACTGCACCAGGAGATTCCGCTGCACTCAGGGCTTCCAGCTGCAGGTGAGACTGGGCTTAGCGCAGCTCTGTCCCTGTGTTGCCTGCCCTCACTTCTTCCAAGGTGCCCAATCCCCTCACCCTCCAGCCCAGTTTTGCTTGGCCCAGGCATCCAGGCTCAGGGAACTGGGTGGCTGACGTCCCCATAGAGGTCTGGAGGGCTGGCCTGGCTCTGCTGAGGGGAGACTCTCTCAGACTTGCGGCCCGAGGCTTGGATCCTGTCCGCCCTCTCCCATCAGTCTGCCTGTCTTGGTCCCTCTCTGACCCTTCTGCTGTTCTGCTCAGCTGCCTGACACCTGTAGTCCATCTGTCTGTCTCCCCATTCACTGCCCTGCCCCTGCCCAAGCCACTGGCTGACCCCTCCTGCCTGTCCCCGTTTCCAGGACACACCCAGGAAGAGCTGTGTCTACCGATCTGGCTTCTCCTTCTCCCGGGGCTGCTCTTACACATGTGCCAAGAAGATCCAGGTTTGCCCTGAAGCCCCCACCCCAAGCCTGTCCAGAGAGAAGGAGGTGGGAGTGGGTGGGGGCCCAGGGAGGAGCCCAGTTTGGATCTTAAGGACAGAGACTGGGCTGGGACTAGGGTGAGGCCAGAACCCAGAGGAAGGAGATGGGAGAGAGGTCTGAAGTCAGAGGGCTAGTGTTTGTCCCTGTGTCCACTCCCCCAGGGAGAGGGAGTGGAGACGGTGAGAGGAAGAAAGGGCAGTCCAGAGCTGGTTCCATCAGCGAAACCCCAGGGGCAGCAACTTGGCCTGGCTTGGCCCCTCACTGTGGGATCTGGGTGCAGCCCTTCCTTGCTTGAGCCTCAGTTTCCCCACCCTGCCAGAGGGAGGGTTTTAGGAGGTATCTCTGTGTCTCTTTCAGCTCTGAGCTGCTCATCCCTGGGACTGGGGTTCTGAGGGGTTTTGCTCCATGGCTCTGTGGCCCCGAGATGCCCCCGTTCCCCTTCCCCCTGACACCTTGCTGGGCCTCTCTCGCCCTCTCTCCCATCCCCACGCCGACAGGTGCCGGACTGCTGCCCTGGTTTCTTTGGCACGCTGTGTGAGCCATGCCCAGGGGGTCTAGGGGGGGTGTGCTCAGGCCATGGGCAGTGCCAGGACAGGTTCCTGGGCAGCGGGGAGTGCCACTGCCACGAGGGCTTCCATGGAACGGCCTGTGAGGTGTGTGAGCTGGGCCGCTACGGGCCCAACTGCACCGGAGGTGAGGACTGGGGAGGGGCGGGGGTGGGCCTCCTGGCAGCAGAGAGCAGCCTGGAGACCCCAGCCGGGACAGGATGGAGGCACTGGGCAACTCCTATCCTCCTTTATACCACTGCAGTGTGTGACTGTGCCCATGGGCTGTGCCAGGAGGGGCTGCAAGGGGACGGAAGCTGTGTCTGTAACGTGGGCTGGCAGGGCCTCCGCTGTGACCAGAGTGAGTGGGTCCCAATGGGGAGGGGGCAGGTGGCTACTGAGGAGGCTGTTCCTGGGTCTGAATGACCAGAGTCATCCTCCTGCCCCCCAGAAATCACCAGCCCTCAGTGCCCTAGGAAGTGCGACCCCAATGCCAAGTGAGTGGGCCCAGCCTGGGGCGGGTGGGTGAGTGGCGGGGAGCCTGGGGGTCAAGGCACGACTGGACAGGCATGGGCTAAGCTGCTGCTACCACCCCTCCCAGCTGCGTGCAGGACTCGGCCGGAGCCTCCACCTGCGCCTGTGCTGCGGGATACTCCGGCAATGGCATCTTCTGTTCAGGTCCAGCCACACGGATGCCCAGGGCCCTCCCTGAAATTTTGGGGTGGCTGTCCCCACAGAGCCCCCTTCACTTCCTCTAGGCCCAGCCCCCCTCACTGTCCCATCTCAGGACTCACCCTTCCCTCTGACCTTTTCCTTTCTCTCACGCCCTCCTCTCCTGTCCTGCCTCCGGCCCCGTGCCTGCTCCTGAGGACTCTCTGGCCATCTCCCCTTAGAGGTGGACCCCTGCGCCCACGGCCATGGGGGCTGCTCCCCTCATGCCAACTGTACCAAGGTGGCACCTGGGCAGCGGACATGCACCTGCCAGGATGGCTACATGGGCGACGGGGAGCTGTGCCAGGGTGAGACTAGGCCCCTAACCTGGGTTTATGTTGGGCTAGGGGTCTGGCTTCAGTGATCTGAGTCAGATTAGGAAGGGCTGAAGGGGCACATGGGACTTGTGGGGACTGGGGGCGCTGAGAGAGGAGGGGGTGGGACAGATGAAGGTACAAAGGACAGAGGAAGGGGGGGGCCACTAAGGGCCACCCCCATCCCAGTGTCTCTTCCCCCAGAAATTAACAGCTGTCTCATCCACCACGGGGGCTGCCACATTCACGCCGAGTGCATCCCCACTGGCCCCCAGCAGGTCAGCATGGCAGGGTTGGACATGGGGCATCATGCCATGCCCTCACAGGATGGGGCCTCCCTTCAGGGCAGGCCCGGGGAGGGGGGTGACCCTTTTACCCAGGGTGCTGGCCAGCTGTTGGCTCCCAGCAGCCCCACTGATCAAGACTGGGGACAGGTCTCCTGCAGCTGCCGTGAGGGTTACAGCGGGGATGGCATCCGGACCTGCGAGCTCCTGGACCCCTGCTCTAAGGTCAGGACCCTAGTCCTGTCCTCCTTCACTGACGAGAAGGAGAGGGGACTGAGGCAGGAACCAGCCCTTCTCACCTCCAGCAGGGTCCTAAGGGCCTCTGCAGGGTGGGCTATCCTCCCGTCAAGCTCGAGTTTAATCAGTAGCAAATAGGATCTGGGGGGCTGAGCAGGGGCCTTCATGGCCTCTTTCACAGGGCTGAGTGGGATAGAGAAGTAGTGAAAGCCACTGATACCTTCCTCTCCTGTCCCTGACTCAGAACAATGGAGGATGCAGCCCATATGCCACCTGCAAAAGCACAGGGGATGGCCAGAGGACATGTACCTGCGACACAGCCCACACCGTGGGGGACGGCCTCACCTGCCGTGCCCGAGTCGGCCTGGTAATGATGCCCAAGTCAGACCCCTGATCTGGTCTTGGCTGTGCCCCATGGGCCTGACCCATGGTCTTGGCAAAGATCCGATTTGATCCTGATTCTGGCCCTGACCATGACACTGAGCCTGACCCCTGATTGTACCTGGGCCTGACCCCAGCTATGACCCATGAAACTAGCCCTGACCCCAACTCAGACCCCGCGGCTTTCCTTTCCTCATGTCTGCCTTGGCTAGACCTTGGGCCGCAGGTGCTGGGACAGGCACCAGGCCCTGAATGGGGGCCGCCCCAAATCTGAGCTGACCCTCGCCCCCCCAGGAGCTCCTGAGGGATAAGCATGCCTCATTCTTCAGCCTCCGCCTCCTGGTGAGTGGCCAGCTTGGGCCTCTGTGACCTGCAAGTCCCACCCCTCTCTGGACTTCTGTCCCCATCTGGTCAGGGGGTTGGCTGGTTTGTTCTCTCTGAGTCCAGGTCTTCCCCAGGAGATCCATGGACGCCTCAGGCTTCTCCCATTCCACTCATGCTGTTGCTGCCTCCCGCAGGAATATAAGGAGCTCAAGGGCGATGGGCCTTTCACCATCTTCGTGCCGCACGCAGATCTAATGAGCAACCTGTCGCAGGTATGCAGCCCCCAGAGCGAGGCTGGGCAGGGCTGGGTGCTCTGGTGGTGGCCCTGCGTGGGCTGAGGCGGCAGTCAGGGACCCCACTCCCCTCGCGACTCTGCTCCAGGATGAGCTGGCCCGGATTCGTGCGCATCGCCAGCTGGTGTTTCGCTACCACGTGGTTGGCTGTCGGCGGCTGCGGAGCGAGGACCTGCTGGAGCAGGGGTACGCCACGGCCCTCTCAGGGCACCCACTGCGCTTCAGCGAGAGGGAGGTGAGCCCTGGCCCTGGCCTGCCCCGCTCCATCCCGCCCCGCCCCGCCCCTGCGCGCCATTGCCCCAGGCCCCACGGCCCACGCAGTCAAGAACCCCACCTCCCCTAGCCAGGGGGCGCCTCCTGCTGAGTCCAGCCCGGGACTCCGCCCTTGACCTGGGCCTCGCCCACTGCTGTGGGCCTGTCCTGCCCAGCGCCCTTGTGTCCTTCCGAGGACTGAGCCCCGCCCCCTGCCCTGACTCCGCCCCAGACCCCGCCCACCTCGTCCTGGTCCCGAAGAACCGGGACTGCCTGCACCCTGACTTGCCCAACCCAGGTTCAACCTCCACCTCAGGCCCCGATAGCTTCCGAGCACCCCACCTATCTGCTTCATCAGCCCCGTGCCCCGCCCCCAGGGCAGCATATACCTCAATGACTTCGCGCGCGTGGTGAGCAGCGACCATGAGGCCGTGAACGGCATCCTGCACTTCATTGACCGTGTCCTGCTGCCCCCCGAGGCGCTGCACTGGGAGCCTGATGATGCTCCCATCCCGAGGGTATGACAAGCACGGGCCTGGGAGCTGGAAGACAGGCAGGTGGGGGCCTGGGATCCTCCCTTCCCGCCTGGCCTAGCTGTTTATGAGAGCCTTTCCTCAGAGAAATGTCACCGCCGCCGCCCAGGGCTTCGGTTACAAGATCTTCAGCGGCCTCCTGAAGGTACTGCTCCCGTGTGGGCCTGTCATTGTGGACACACATGCACGTGTAAGTGTGTGCAAGTGTGTATGCGTACCTGTGTGTGCATACCCACCTGTGTGCACACTGTCCCGTGTGAGCCTGTGTGAACTCATGTGTGCACAAGCCACATCTGTGTGCATGTGCACCCCAGGTTGAGCACATGGGTGTGCTTATGTGTGCCCACATTCCTGACAGCAGTGTGCACAGTTGAGATGTGTGCACACACATGCCTGCCTGGGATGGTCACAGATGAGTGTGGGTGAGTGTGGAGCCCCTTCCTGCTCTGTGGCACAGCCCCCTGCCTTTGCTAACTAGTCTCTGACTGGGCAGCGACTGCCACATCTTTGCTGCACCCCACCAGGTGGCCGGCCTCCTGCCCCTGCTTCGAGAGGCATCCCATAGGCCCTTCACAATGCTGTGGCCCACAGACGCCGCCTTTCGAGCTCTGCCTCCGGATCGCCAGGCCTGGCTGTACCATGAGGACCACCGTGACAAGCTAGCAGCCATTCTGCGGGGCCACATGATTCGCAATGTCGAGGTGGGTGCAGCCCCCAACCTTGGTCTTCACTGCCTGCAGCTCAGCCTGCCTTTCCACCTCCAACCATGACTCCACTTGCTCAGGCCTTGGCATCTGACCTGCCCAACCTGGGCCCACTTCGAACCATGCATGGGACCCCCATCTCTTTCTCCTGCAGCCGAACGCGGGCCGTGAGTCTGGGGAGAGGGCTTGGATGAAGGGAGTAGGAGGCAGGGGCCCTGGCAGTAGCAGCTGGAGTGCACCTGCGACCCTTGCATACCTCATATTCTCTCCTTGCAGGGTGAGCTCATGGTGGGTGAGGATGATGCTCGCATTGTGCAGCGGCACTTGCCCTTTGAGGGTGGCCTGGCCTATGGCATCGACCAGCTGCTGGAGCCACCTGGCCTTGGTGCTCGCTGTGACCACTTTGAGACCCGGCCCCTGCGACTGGTGAGGGAGGCCAGAGGCAGACGGGCAGAAGCCCACCCCGCCTGTGGTGTCCATCCACCTGACTTTGCTGTATTGGCCTCCCTCCCTTCCAGAACACCTGCAGCATCTGTGGGCTGGAGCCACCCTGTCCTGAGGGGTCACAGGAGCAGGTACAGGGCTAGGGGCTGAGTGGGGGTGGTGGGGTGGGGGCAGGCAGAGCCCAAGGACCACCAAACTCAGAACCACCCAACTGCGGCCTGACTCCTTTGGCCCAGGGCAGCCCTGAGGCCTGCTGGCGCTTCTACCCGAAGTTCTGGACGTCCCCTCCGCTGCACTCTTTGGGATTACGCAGCGTCTGGGTCCACCCCAGCCTTTGGGGTAGGCCCCAAGGCCTGGGCAGGGGCTGCCACCGCAATTGTGTCACCACCACCTGGAAGCCCAGCTGCTGCCCTGGTCACTATGGCAGTGAGTGCCAAGGTGAGCATTGCAGACACTGTTGACTAGCTCCTCTGTTCCCCAAGAGAGCCAAGGCACAGCTCTGGCCATTGTCCTTGAGAGAGTGTTGGGGCGTCCAGGGCTGGGGAGCTCTGGGTGGTGAGTAGATTTTACTAGCGGGAGTGCTCGGGAGAGGCATGGCGGTAGTGTGGACGGTGCAGAACCTGGGGAGGAGTGCTGGGGGGTCTGGATGTTCTCCAGGACATGGGCCTGGAGGGATCTTAGCAGTGGGCGGACATAGGTCAGGGACAGATGGCAGGGCTAGGCTGGAGGTACGTATATGGGGGTCCTGGTGAGAGCCCCTGGCCCCACCTCACTTCTCCTACCCCATCCCCAGCTTGCCCTGGCGGCCCCAGCAGCCCTTGTAGTGACCGTGGCGTGTGCATGGACGGCATGAGTGGCAGTGGGCAGTGTCTGTGCCGTTCAGGTTTTGCTGGGACAGCCTGTGAACTCTGTGCTCCTGGTGCCTTTGGGCCCCATTGTCAAGGTGGGCCATCCCTGCCTGCCCCACGGCCCGATTCCTTTGGCCCTTGTGGGCCAATCTTTATCTTCCTGCCTGTCCCTCTCCCCAGCCTGCCGCTGCACTGTGCATGGCCGCTGTGATGAGGGCCTTGGGGGCTCTGGCTCCTGCTTCTGTGATGAAGGCTGGACTGGGCCACGCTGTGAGGTGCAACTGGGTGAGTAGCCCCGTGCTCGTGCCCACCCTACACACTTGTGTACATGTGCACACATCAGTAAAGGCACCAAGGGTGGGTGGAACGGGCAGAGGCCAGGAAGGCAACTACTAACCTGGTTCTGGGGGCTGGGCCCTGGGGGACAGAGCTGCAGCCTGTGTGTACCCCACCCTGTGCACCCGAGGCTGTGTGCCGTGCAGGCAACAGCTGTGAGTGCAGCCTGGGCTATGAAGGGGATGGCCGTGTGTGTACAGGTAAGCAGATGGGCGGGGACATGGAGGTGGGAGGCCCCCACTCCCCTGCAGTCACTAGGTCCAACCACTCCCTCCCTGCCCTCAGTGGCAGACCTGTGCCAGGACGGGCATGGTGGCTGCAGTGAGCACGCCAACTGTAGCCAGGTAGGAACAATGGTCACTTGTACCTGCCTGCCCGACTACGAGGGTGATGGCTGGAGCTGCCGGGCCCGCAACCCCTGCACAGATGGCCACCGCGGGGGCTGCAGCGAGCACGCCAACTGCTTGAGCACCGGCCTGGTGAGCAGGTGGGGGAACCGAGTAGCCAGGGTGGGGAGGCCTGGCAGAACTTCCGACCTCTGAAGGGTGAAGGGCGCCCACTGCTCTCTCCAACCCCAGAACACACGGCGCTGTGAGTGCCACGCAGGCTACGTAGGCGATGGACTGCAGTGTCTGGAGGAGTCGGAACCACCTGTGGACCGCTGCTTGGGCCAGCCACCGCCCTGCCACTCAGATGCCATGTGCACTGACCTGCACTTCCAGGGTGTGTCCCCCTGCCCACTCCCAGTACCCATTTCATTCCTCAGAGCCGGCCAGCTGACCATGCACCCCTCCATTCTGCAGAGAAACGGGCTGGCGTTTTCCACCTCCAGGCCACCAGCGGCCCTTATGGTCTGAACTTTTCGGAGGCTGAGGCGGCATGCGAAGCACAGGGAGCCGTCCTTGCTTCATTCCCTCAGCTCTCTGCTGCCCAGCAGGTGTGTGGGGCCCAGAAGTTGGGGCCAAGTGTTGGGGGAGGCCTTGACTGGGTCTTGGGTCTTAGTATCCCCTCCTGTTCCTACAGCTGGGCTTCCACCTGTGCCTCATGGGCTGGCTGGCCAATGGCTCCACTGCCCACCCTGTGGTTTTCCCTGTGGCGGACTGTGGCAATGGTCGGGTGGGCATAGTCAGCCTGGGTGCCCGCAAGAACCTCTCAGAACGCTGGGATGCCTACTGCTTCCGTGTGCAAGGTGTGTCCACCCGACCAAACCCTACTTCCCCTGCTCTGCCCCTTCCCACCAATCTGCTGAGCCACTGACCTGCTTTTCCTGCAGATGTGGCCTGCCGATGCCGAAATGGCTTCGTGGGTGACGGGATCAGCACGTGCAATGGGAAGCTGCTGGATGTGCTGGCTGCCACTGCCAACTTCTCCACCTTCTATGGGGTGTGTGGGGGCCACCCTTGGGGGCGGGGGGTGCTGGGATCCCCGAGGAGGGAGCCTGCTCATAGTTCTGTCTTTCCACCGTGCCAGATGCTATTGGGCTATGCCAATGCCACCCAGCGGGGTCTCGACTTCCTGGACTTCCTGGATGATGAGCTCACGTATAAGACACTCTTCGTCCCTGTCAATGAAGGCTTTGTGGACAACATGGTAACCCCCAAGGGTGTGGGCAGAGCAGAGCCTGCATTGGCCATCTCCATCTGGCCCAGGCCAACAGGCCTTGCTCTGCTCACAGACGCTGAGTGGCCCAGACTTGGAGCTGCATGCCTCCAACGCCACCCTCCTAAGTGCCAACGCCAGCCAGGGGAAGTTGCTTCCGGCCCACTCAGGCCTCAGCCTCATCATCAGTGACGCAGGCCCTGACAACAGTTCCTGGGCCCCTGTGGTGAGTCTGGCCACTGTCCCACCCTGTTGGCCCTGGCCCTCGCTCACAGTGGGCCTGACTCTGGTCTCCCTGCAGGCCCCAGGGACAGTTGTGGTTAGCCGTATCATTGTGTGGGACATCATGGCCTTCAATGGCATCATCCATGCTCTGGCCAGCCCCCTCCTGGCACCCCCACAGCCCGTGAGTTGAGGAAGGGGGAGGCAGAGCCCTTCCTGGCACCCCCACAACCTGTGAGCCCGGGGAAGGTGGTGGGACAGCTCCCGCCAGGTCAACACTCTCCCTGTTTGTTTGTAGCAGGCAGTGCTGGCGCCTGAAGCCCCACCTGTGGCGGCAGGCGTGGGGGCTGTGCTTGCCGCTGGAGCACTGCTTGGCTTGGTGGCCGGAGCTCTCTACCTCCGTGCCCGAGGCAAGCCCATGGGCTTTGGCTTCTCTGCCTTCCAGGTAGGGCTGGGTTGGGGCTGCCATGGCGGGTCCTTGGATCTCGCTTGAGGCGCCTCGCCACTCACCCCTCTGCTGCTCCCAGGCGGAAGATGATGCTGATGACGACTTCTCACCGTGGCAAGAAGGGACCAACCCCACCCTGGTCTCTGTCCCCAACCCTGTCTTTGGCAGCGACACCTTTTGTGAACCCTTCGATGTAAGCATGGAAGTGAAGAAGTGTGGCAGATGTGGGATGGGCCCAGGCCCTGGTCACACCCTCCACCACCAACCCTGCTCTTCTAGGACTCACTGCTGGAGGAGGACTTCCCTGACACCCAGAGGATCCTCACAGTCAAGTGACGAGGCTGGGGCTGAAAGCAGAAGCATGCACAGGGAGGAGACCACTTTTATTGCTTGTCTGGGTGGATGGGGCAGGAGGGGCTGAGGGCCTGTCCCAGACAATAAAGGTGCCCTCAGCGGATGTGGGCCATGTCACCAAGGAAGGGGGTCTTCATGCAGCCGGTGCAGAGCTGGTCCATCCAGAGGGGTGCCTCGTGCTGCAGCGGCGTACGGCGTGGGTAGAAGGTGAAGTCCACGCGGTAGTTGAGCAGGCAGCTGAGGGAGGCCATGTAGAGGTCAGAGAAGCGCACGAGGCGCCTTGAGAAGTAGGTGGGGTTGTGGAAGGTGCGGAAGATGCTGCCGAACTGCGCATTGAACAGGGCCTTGGTGATGCACCTGGCGAGGGAGACACGATGCGCTCAAGGGGTGGGCCTGGGGTGGTGGCTTGGCTGGGACTCCTGCCCTGGCCCCACCTGCTCACCTCAGCTCCTGCCGCTCTTTCATCCAGGCAGCCAGCACCTGCCTCGACTCCGCGTCCTGATAGGTCTGGGGACACAAAGTGTGCATTGGGTGTGTGCACCCAGGAGGCTACCGCCCTGGCCCTCCCACAGCCACCCCGGCCCACACCTGCATGCGCTCCAGCAGCCCCGTGAGCGCCTGCTGCCACGTCAGCGAGTGCATGTACTGCTCCGTGTTGATGATGCGGATCTCACGCTCCAGCTCGGGGATGATGGCGCCTGTGCGCCAGCCGTGCCGCAGCATGAGATCCTGGTGGGTGGGGCGGCAGAACTGGGCTCAGCGCCAGTTGCTGGGGGCGGGGGGGGGGGGGTTTCCTGGCCCTCCCCCACTGCAGCCCAGCCCTGCCTCCCTCACCGCCAGATCACTATAGAGGTGGTCCCCGAAGTAGAGCACGCGGGGGCCACGCCATTCCGTCAAGCGTAAGAAGTCAAACAGGTTTCCCTAGGGAGAGGAGGGGAATGCTGCTGAGCCAAGTGTGCCTTGTCCTCCACCAGTCCTCCCTCCCGAATCCCCAGAGGCAGCCCAAATCCAGCCGGATGCTGGCTGCCCTTTCCCATGGCCTTGCTGCTCCCTCCCTGGGCCCTGGTTCTTGTCACTTTCCCCTCCTACTTGGGAAGGGGATTCTGCCTGCTGCAGGAAGGTGCCCTACAGGCCTGGCATGGTGCCCATGCCTCGAGGGCCTTCTCCCTGTGGTCTCACACGTACCCCAGGTTAGGGATTAGATCCCTGTTTGTAAGGTAGAAACTGCAGGGAAGGCTCTGCAGCCCTGAAGTCCTTGCTGGCCTCCCCTGCCTCAGTGCAGAGGGACCTGGCAGACCAATGGCAGACCTCACCGGGGCCACCAGCATCTTGGAGCCAGAGAAAGATGGAGACACTCAGCCAGGCCCACATGTAACTGGGGAAGCTCACAGGGTGGCAGAAACTGAGCGGCCCAGAGCAGGAATCACCAGACTAGTGCTCAGGCAGCAGCCACCAGGGTAGGAGTCCACACCCCAAAAGCGAGAATAATTGACACCCAGCAAGCACAGTTCTTGAAGCAGTCTGTGCATTCCAAGCCTCAGAAGTGGAAGCGCTGGGGGAAACAGGTGGTGTGGGAGAAGCCAATTGCTGAACTAAGTTCAAGTGGAGGGGCAGAGGCCCAGGCAGGCCCCAGACCAAGAGAAAGAGTCTCAAAGGGCAGGAGACTGACAGACTCCTAGTGACTGACAGGCAGGATCCAACACACAGTGGAAAGCAGCTTCAGAATACTGGGCATAAAGAACTGCCTGAAAGCTGCCAGGGAAGAAAGTCATGTGTTTCTCACAAAGGTGTATGACCCTCTTTAGCTGAGGCTGGATGCCAAGGCAGGGGAGAGCAGCGCCCTCAGAGCTGAAGGGACGCACCTGGGCCCGAGGGCTGTGGAGAGTTTGGGTGCGGAAGGGTGGGAGGCAGAGAAGTGGGCAGGGCTGAGAGGGTGGGGGTGTTTCCTGCAGGCCAGGCTGGGCATTGGCCACCTCCACATTGCTCCCCTGGCCAGCTGCTGGCTTCCCCCTCCTCCAGCCCCAAGGCCTTTAGAACCCCTAGCCTGAAGAAGCCCAGCTCAGCCAGGATTTCCGCATTCCAGCCAGGGCTAAACCTTAATCACTGCCTGCTCATAGACACCTAATCCCACCTCAACACCAGTCCCTCTCATTTTCCTAGCCAGGTAGGAAGGAGGAGTTTCTCTAGATCACCCAGTGAGCTGCCCCCAACCAGACTTGTTCTGGCTGCAGCAGAGTGCTCAACCCCAAGAAATGACACCATTCATCAGGCATTTCACGATCTCTGACCATTCTTGTTTTTTGAAGACAGGGTCTTGCATTGTTGCCCAGGCTAAAGTGCAGTGGTGTGATCACAGCTCACCACAGCCTCGAACTCCTGGGCTCAAGTGATCCTCCCACCTCAGCCTCTGGAGTAGCTGGGACCACAGGTGCATGCTACCATGCCCCGCTAATTTTTTCTATTTTTAGTAGAGATGGGGTTTCGCCATGTTGGCCAGGCTGGTCTCAAACTCCTGAGCTCAACAAACTATCCTGCAGCCTCAGCCTCCCAAACTGCTGGGATTATAGGCATGAGCCACGGTGCCTGGCGCACTGGCCATTCTGAGAGCTTTATACCACAGCTTCAGTAGAGAGTATTACACCTCTTTTGCAGACAAGGGAAGCAAGGCACAGAGGTCAGGCAACCAGGCCAGGCTCCCTCTGCTGAGTAGTGGAGTTAGGAATTCAAAGCCAGGCTGCTTGACCCAGAGGTCAAGCTCTCGAGGCCACCCAGACCTGCTCCCTGCCAGCCATTGCCTGTGTGAGGCTGCTCAGGGCCAAGGAGCTGTGCTGCTTCTTCAGAGGCTGCCTCTGCACAGCCTGGGGCCCTAGCTAGGCCCCATGCCCCCACCACATGCTGCTCTCCCCAGATGGCCCTTACCTGCCGATAGATCTTGCCCTTTTCCAAGCGGGTGATCCGGTCCCACTGAAGTGAGCCCTTCTCATCGAGTTTTCTGAAAGGCCTGGGGTGCAGGTAAAGGGCATGACTTCCAGTCTGTGGCTGGGCCACGGGCCGGGCAACCCCCATCCCTCCTCCGTAAAGGCCCACCTGCTCAAGTGGACCCATGCCAGCAAGGGGGTGTTCTCACCCCAAGCACATTGGGCAGTGGGCAAGGGCCAGGTTGGCCTCCTGCTTCAGTCCCCTCATTGGGGTGGGGCCTCTATTCCCCTTCCCTGGCCCTGCAACCCCCACCATGCCCATACTTGCGCCGGTCAGTGAAGAAGCTGGGCTTGTCTGCCTGGACAATGACCACATCGAAGAGCTGGCGCCAATCGGGACCCACCATGTGCCGCATCCCCTTGTCTCTGTGTGGAGGAGTTTCAGGTGGCAAGTAGTCTGAGGGCGGCTCCGTGCCTGCCCTCCCCACCCAGAGCCCTGGCCCTGCTGTCCCTCCATCCACAGGGGCTGGACTCACACGAAGCTGAAAGGACTGTTGGTGATGAGGAACAGCTGTTTCCCATGGGCCACCAGGCGGCTCAGGACAGCAAACGTCTCATCCCCTCTCAGGATGTACTTCTCTAATGGGGCAGATGAGTCTGTGAGGGTCAGTCCTGCCACCTGCTCAGGCCGGCCACGGCAGGGCTTCTGTCCACACTTACCCATGTCCTGCTCGATCCACTGGTACATGAGGCCCTTCACATGCACGTCTCGGATGGCGTCCTGGGGGCAGTGGAGGACAATGAGGGTACAGCAGGGCCCAGGTGGGGCTGTCCCACTGTGGCTGGACTTAGTCTTTCCTGCCATCCGAGGGCAGGCCCAGCATCCTCACCGTCACGTCCTTGTAGAGATGTGCTTGGTCAAACTCCAGGCTGTGGCCCAGAAAGTAGTCCACCACACAGGACAGCAGAGCCATCTCCGGTAGCGAGAAGATGTCCATGAACTGCTTAATGGAGGGACCCTGGGGAGGGGGCCATTGTCTCAGACACCCTTTGGGACCCCAACCCCTTCAGTGCTGGAGACGAGGGCCCCAAATCTGCCTTGGGACATGGGCACATGTCCATGGGGCAGGCTGGCTGCTGGGGTATGGAGTACCTTGCCATAGAAGCCACTCATCTGGTATAGTGGGATGTGCTGGGTACCCCCATACAGCTCAATCACCTCCTCGTCTGGCACAGGCTGGAGGCCCCTGAGCAGGCCCAAGATACCATCAGTCCAAGGTAGTCCTGAGCCAGAACAGCAGTGTAGGGTGGGGCGGGGGTGGGGTTGGGGCAGAGCCGACTGACCTGTAGGCTGTCCCCAGCTGCACGTAGTGGAAGGCGTCAATCTTCATCAGAAGGCTCTGGGGGCGCCAGGGAGGCAGGACGGATGGTGAGGAGGCAGTTTCACCGTGGCCCCAAGCCAGCCTCTTTCAGCCCATGCCAGAACCCCAGCTGGATGGGACGGAGGGGTAATGACCATACCAAGAGGAGGCCAAGGAGGGAGCCCCTATACAGGTCCAGCCACTCACCTTCTGAATGTCATAGTGGAGGCCACGGATGGCAAAGCTGGGGTTGTAGTCATACTTCCGAATCCCTTCTGGGTACTGCCGGGGGAAAGGGGCCAGGCCTAAGCCAATAGCCCTGCCAGACCTGCTGGCTGGGTGGCCACCCCAGGGGGTCAATCCAGCCACCTGCCCAGGGCAGCTGCCAGGCAAGAGGGCCAGGGGAGCCCCACGACTCAGCCCTGAGCTTAGGCCAAGGTGGGTCTGGCCAGCCTCCAAGCCCTGGGTTTGTTGGTGGCAAGGACCCCCGTCTCACCTTGTAGTGCTCGATCAGGATGTCACGGGCGGTACTGAAGATCTCGGGGTGCAGTGCGTCTGCATACTGGGCCAGGGTGTAGTCGTAGTCAAAGCCGTAGACCTCAACGTCACGCAGGCTGATCTCGTTGTTGGCGTAGATGGCTGCTGGGTTCAGGAGACTGCAGACCTCGGGGGGCAGGAGGTCTAGAGGAAGGAGATGCAGGGAGGCAGTGATGGGGATGATGATCCCTGCAGCAGCTATGGCTCCTGAGCACTCTGTGGGGACCTAGCCCTGTGAGCCTCAGAAACGCCCCACAATGGCACCTCTTATTCCAGTGCTGGAGATGGTCAAACAGGCCCAGAGAGAAGTCACTTGCCCAGGGTCACGCAGTTAGGGTAAGGCAGAGCCCCTGGCTGGAGCTCCTCCTCATGGTTACACCTGCCTACATTACACTATCTCCTATAGCCCACCAGGTATACTGAGCCCGTGACTACTCCAGGCCCTCACCACTAAGCCCCATCAGACACAAGGCCATGCTAGAACCCTGGCAGCAGTCACTCAACTCCTCACCGCCTAGCCCCAGAACAGCTGCTTTTGGGATGCTCTACAAAGCAAAGCCTCCCACTTGCTCAAAACCCGTGCAGGAACACCACTGTCTGGCCCCCCACAATTCAGCGCCTCCTCTGCTCCTCTCAGCTGCCCTGCCCTGCCCCCTGGCCTCATCTCTCAGCCTCCCTGGGATTATGTGTGAGGATACCATGTGGGCACTGAGGACTCCAACCCAGAGGGGCTGGCTCTGTATGGCCAGACTAGGGGGTTGAGGCCATGGATGCTGACTTTTCTACCTTGCCCAGAGCTGGGACTGGGGCTCAGGAACATTAGTGGGAGGGGGAGCCCCTCTGCCGATCGGGCTGCCAGCTCTGTGCACTTCCCACAGCCCAGGGAGAGTGAGGCCCCTCTAATCAGATTTCAGCTGCCCGCAAGCCCATATAATGACATTTGCTGGCTCTAGCCAGGGAACATTGCTAATTACGACAGTCAGGACGTGATGTCAGGTTCTGGGCCATTATCCAGGTTGCTCCTTCTGGGGATGTGGTCGTGGCCACCCCAAGTCCCTGGCTGCTCCCAGGAGGCTGCAGTTGGCTTTGAGGCCCACAGCAGGGTGCTGAGCAGAGCACTGTGTGGCATGGGCTCTGGGGTCCCAAGGAGGCAGATGGGGCTGAGAGGCCCCATGTTACCTGCCCTGGTTTCCCTATGTGTACAATGGAGAAAGTGGAAGGGAAAGGAAAGGGAAGGAGATGTGCTAGGAAGGCCACATGCAATGAGGTCAGCCAGACAAGACCAGGCCCTCCCTCTCATGGCTATGACTTCAGGAATGTCACCTCACCTCTTGGGCCTGTTTCCTAGTTTCTAAAAGGGTACAAAAAATTGTACCAAGTGGGGCATGGTGGCACACACCTACAGTCCCTGCTACTCAGGAGGCTGAGGCGAGAGGATTGCTTGAAACCCAGTAGTTCAAGACTGGTCTAAGCCATATAGCGATACCCTGTCTCTGTGAAAACATTTTTAAAAAGAAAAAAAAAATTGTACCAACCTACAGAATTACTAAGACTGTCATATGGAAGGTGCTGCTCTGTGCAGCAATCTCACTCTGCACCTGCACATATGCAGGATTAAATGGGTGATATGTTTCCTGAGCCTATGAGCATCCTGTCCCCAATTTCCCAGTGTCCCTCCAGAAGCAGGGGCTGCAGGGAGAAGGGAGCAGGCAGGACTAGATGTACAGGGTACATCTAGTACCCCTGCCTTGCAGGGGCCCCAGCTCTAAGACTCCAGGGGATCCCTGTCTCAGCCACAACCCCAGTGCCGATGACAAAGCAGGAGCTGCCAGGCCAGAGGGCCAGGGAAGCCCCACAGTGTGCCTGGCAGCTGCTGCACTCAAGAGGCAGACATCTCGCTGATGTGCTCCGTGCCCAGAGCACTTGCCTCAGAGGCACTCTGGGGACACAGGGCTCCATTCCCACCCCTTTCCTTTGGAGCCAAGTTCAGGGTGTGGGTGGGGGATCAGGTGTGGCTGGTTCCCCAGGCCAGCACAGAGCGGCTGCTCCGAAGATCTGTGGGTGTAGACAGGAGTCTTCACTTGGATGCAAGTGAGACAGTTGACTGCAACGCTCTAGGGAGCTGCTTCTGAGCCACCCCTCAAGGCCCAGGGTTCTGGTGTGTCACTAGGACCCTGGGCCTTGCCCTTCCCATGGCCCTGAGTTCCCGGATACCAACTGTGACTGTGACTCTTGGTGCAGAAGACCTGGGAGGGTCTGCTCGGCAGTGCAGCCCCTTGCTGGCACAGAGTCCTGGTTAGGTCCAGGCCTTCACCTCTGCCCCTAAGGATGTTCCCAGGGGCCCAGGGGCAGACAGTCCTCCCAGGAACAAAGCAGGATGTGGAAACAGCCACAGGGCCTGGTGGCCTGGCCTGATTTCTAGACTAGAAGAACCTTGGCTCTGGGGCGACAGAAGCCTGTTCCCTTCCATAGGTGGTGTGGGTGGGGGGTGGGGGTGGGGCAGCTGAGGGTGTGTCCCACTCAGCATGTCCAGCAATTGCCCTCCTTTCTCCTCAGCCCTAGCTCCCACACCTGCCCATGGTGCCAGGTCCCAGGGCCAACTGCTCCCTAGCAGCCGTGACACTTGTGGATGCCTTAGAGGCTTGTCTTGTTCAATCCTCACTCCCATCCTGTGAGGCAGTCCCACTTATTCCCCCATCGTCCGGAGGAAGAAACTGGGGCTCAGGGAGGTGAAGTCACTTGCTCCAAACCACCCAGTAACAGGCACCGGGGTTGAGATCACCATTCAAGTCACCCCACCTGCATTAATCACTCTGCCTCTCAGCCTAGCCTCCCAATGTCACCACACTGAGGCCAGGTGGGTGGGGGCTGGGGGACTGAGGGACCTGTTGCACTGCTCTCAGCCCGTGGGCATTAGCCCAAAGCGGACCTCGGCGCCCAGAGGTGTGAAGCTGGCTCCTGCTGGTGCTCACCATGGGATCTTGGTGGGAATGACTTTGCTCCTTGTATGACAAGAGGAGCTTAGAGGGCTGTGAGGCTCCAAAGATGCAGGCAGGCCCAGGAGGACAATGTCCAGTAGATCCCCGTAGTCCTCCCTGAAACCTCCAAGGCAGGCTTCTCAGGATACTCTGAGGGTCTTCTCCGGGCCCAGAGCAAAGACTTCTTAAATAACGCTGGGCCGCCCCTCCACAGACACAAACTCAACCTGGGACCTCGAGGGTGGACAGATGCCCAAGGCTTCAAAATGACCATTCCTCAGGGGCCTTTACCATCCTGCCTTTACTGGTCAAGAAGTGATTCTCCGCCACCCCACAAAGCCGGAGTGAAAACCCCTGTCTAGCCAGTTAGAATCTTCCAGACAGGGCTACTTTGTTTTATCAGACAACAAAAGCCACGTCACCCCTGGGGGTTCCTCCGGAAGCTCTCCTGCCCTGCTTGGCCTGGTTCCAGTCATCACCCAACCCTGGGACAGAGAGGCCCCAGGACTGCGTTTCATGCTTGAGAGAGGGTGAGACTTGCTGGGGGACCACCCAACTGGTCAGTGATAGGGTCACGACCCAAACCATATCTGTCTGCTGCAGAAGCAGGGCCCCACTAGACCCACGGAGACAAGCAGGCAGATGTCCAGCACTCTCAGCTCTGGGGCCTCACTAGTGCGCCCCAGCCGGCCCCCTCCAAGAAGGGGCCTCAGCCTCCTCACGCCATTTCTCAGAGGGAGAGAGCAGGGACAGGGAGGTTAAGTGCCCTTTGCAGCCCTAGTCTGGGCTCCAGGGGGCGGGGGTGACTTGGCTTCTCCCAGCCTTCGCTGCCCGGGCTGAGAGGGGGCCGGACCTCCAGGGCGACATCGAGGTGTGTCTGGGAAGTCCAACCGGTGTCCCCTTTGGTCCGGCCGTCCCTAGGAGCCCGTTCCGCCCGGCGCCGCTCGCTGGCTTTGTCCACAGCACTCTCCCGCCCCAACTAAGGGTTGGCCGAGAACAAGGGGTTGGGGGCGTTTCCACCGCGGCTTCACGGCAGGCGGGACCCCGAAGGAAGTCGGCGGGGGCCCAGCACTCCGGCAGCCGCTCGAGGAGCCCCGAGCTCCTGCAGACCGAGCCGGGGAACAAACCTCCCGCCCGCCCCCGGGCGTCGGGGCGCCCCAGAGGCCCCCGGGATGAACGGCCGGAGCTTCTCGCGAAAAGCCGCCCGGCCCTTGCGCTCCGGGGCCCTGGCGAGCCCCACTGGGTGTTTCCCCGGAGGAGCGGCACCCTGGGGCTCGGTCCGTCCATCAGTCCACGCGGAAGACACCCCGGCGCACGTCCCGCCCCGGCTCACCCACCGTGCACCAGTCTCCGCATGTCCTGGTAGCGAGCCCATAGGTGCGCGCTGAGGTCGGCGCCGCTGGTGGGTGCCTGGGCGGGCGCGGAGCGCGGGACGCCGGGGCAGTGGGCGCCGGGACCCGGGGGGCCGCACCCAGGGCAGGAGGGCGAGGACGAGGCGGCTCGCGGCCCGCCGTGGCCTCCGCACAGCAGCCAGCGCCGAGCGGCCGCCCGCAGCCCCGCACCCGCCATGCCCACCGCGCGCCGCCCGCCGCCCGCGCTGCCCTCGGCCAGCCCGCCGCCCGCCGCCCGCCGCCCTCCGACTGCGCGCCCGCCACGGTGGCCTCGTGCTCCTCACGGCGGCCGGCCAATGGGTGCGGCGCGCGGAGCCCGGCCTGCCAATGGGCGCGCCCCTCGGCCCGGGGGGCGGGAGGCCCCGGACCCGGCGGGGCGGGGCGGGGCGGGGAGGGCTCCCCAGCCCCCTCCCCCAGCCAGTCTCCGGCGCGGTCCGGGAGGACTCTGCGCCCCCCTTCGGCCGTCACGCCGGCGATGGCGGCGCCTTTCCCTGGCCCCAGCCCTGGAAGTCAGCGGGCCTAAGAGCGGCCGTCCCTGAGAGGCTCCGGACGGCCGAGGCGCCGAGAGGAGACAGCCGGAGCGCGACGGGTACCCCCCGGGCCCCCGGGTCCTCTGCCGCCCTCTCCGCTCCCGGGTCCGCCCGCCCTACCCTGCGCCTCTGGATGCTTCTGACCCCAGATCCTCCGCTCCTCCCCCTAGTCCTGGTGCTCTCCTTTCCCGGGGTCCTGGTCCCCGGTCTCTGGGCTCGGACTGACTGCCCACTGACCAGAGCCCGGGCCAGTCCACTCACTGGTCTAACAAATAAAGAGCCCTTCCCGCGCTTCCCGGTGCCAGGCCCACGCTGGGGGAGGCCGAGGGGCCTGCAGGGCAGCCGACGTCCGCTAACCAGGTGACTGGGCCGTGCGCTGCAGGGTTGTGGGCCACGGTCACTGCGCCCGCTTGGTTCGGACCTCGGCAACTGGCCGCACTGACCCGTCAACTCCCGGTTTCCCGGCGCACGCCCCTCGTGAGATGCTGTGGTCTTTTCTAGCAACGTCGACAGGCTTTCCAACAAAATTCCTCTTTCCTGCGCAGAACCGCTCTCCACTCGCATTTCTTCTGCTCAGATCCGTATTCCGAGCCCGCACGCATACCAGGCTGTGCTCAGGGTCCGGAGGAGGCCGACCCAGTAGCCGTGGGCCCTGTCGGAGGGGAGCCAGCTGGGCGCGCGTTGTTTTCTGAGGTGGCCGCGCTGTCTTTCAGGGTGTGTGTACATTCGAAACTCCACTGAACCTTGATTGAAGACCTACAGTGTGGCAGTCCATGGCCTGGGGACTGGTAAGGATTGAGGCCGTAGGATGGGCTCGAGTGTGGCGGTGTCCCCAGGGCCCCAGTGAGCAAGTGGGTGTGCTGGGAACCTGGCCACAAGTGAACCTCCTCCAGGCGAGGGGATGCCCTGCAGCATCCAGCCGTCAAAACCTCCTGTAGAAACGGGAGCGAGCATCAAGCCTGTGTGTGTGCATGCTTGGGCGGAGTCTACCCGGAGGAGAAAGAGGCTTCCGGGCTGGCCCTCCAAAGCCGGTTGTACAGGCGGCAGCTCAGGCTGCTCACTGCGGGCCCTATGACCCTTTCTGGGGCCCTGCTTGCTCTCTCCAGTCTGCTTTTGTATATTTTGTGTCCATATCACCAAATCGTCTCATTGGTTCTAAGCTTTCATTTACCTTCCTTAGATTGTCTAATAGTTGTCTCCTTTCTCAAAGCTGTTCCTGCAGTTTTTACTTTAGTCCTAGGTAATGGGGTGACAGCCCCTTTCAGTTATCTTCAGCAAGCACAGCAGCATGAGAAGACGCAATTACAAGTGAAGTCTCTTAAGTCAGAGCCCTGCTTCTACCTGGCATAGTCTCTTAAACTGTCAGTTAAGAGACTACATATAAACAATACACGTTCAGACTCGGCGCGGTGGCTCACGCCTGTAATCACAGCACTTTGGGAGGCCAAGGCAGGAGGATCTCTTGAGCCCAGGAGTTTGAGACTAGCCTGGCCAATATAGTGGGACCCCCATCTCTACAAAAAATTAAAAAATTAGCCGGGCGTGGTGGTGCACGCCTGTAGTGGTGGGAGGATGGCTTGAGCCGGGGAGGAGGGGGTTGCAGTGAGCCGAGATTGCGCCACTGCACTTCAGCCTGGATGACAGAGCGAGGTCCTGTCTCAAGAAACAAACAAAAACCATGTTTGGGAATACATGTGAAGAGCGAGGGCTCTGCCAATCATTATCATCATAATGAATATTCTAACTAATATTAATCAGTTACTATGCTCCAGGGTTGTGTTCAGTGCATCATTCCTATTACCGCACTAAATTATCACAGCGTCAGAACAAGGCCTCCGTTTTACGGCTTAGGGAATTGAGGCACAGATGGGCTAAGGGAGCACCTGTAGAGCAGGGATGTGGTTTGGTAACAGAGTGCATGCTCTTTATACTGCTCTTCTGCGATTATTGTGAATAAAGCGCCTACAAGTGCCTGTGGAACTGTAAGTGCCCCATACAAGATAGCTTTTATTAATTTTAGGGTTCTCACGGGGCGCTTACTTAGATTTTTGCTGTGATAATTGATAAAGTTCAGCTTTCAACACTCCATATCAAATTCTGTTACTTTAGAAGTCTAGGCACCAATCACGTCTCCGAAATAAACGCAAGGCATTGCATAATTGCATTTTGGAATGTGGTGCTGTACATAGTCCATCAGAGAGGGTCATCACTTCTATCTGGGTATTAGGAATAAAAATGGCGGTGGCAGAGTAGGGGGCGCGGCTGCCAACTGCGAGCTCAGACCTGCACTGGGGAGGCAGGGGGCGGGGCCGGGCCGGCGCCACGTGGGCTGTCCTTCCCTTTTGGGCCGTCCCACCTCCAGAGCTGAGGCGCCTGCGCCAGCTCCTTCGAGGCCCTGCTCGGCTTCAGGGAGCACGCGCGCCCTGCCGTGCTCTGATTGGCGGAGCTGCACGCCCCCGCTGCAGTCTGATTGGCGGATCCGCCTCGCTTTAGAAGGTCGGCGCCCAGTTCCGGCACTCGTGCGCCTACCAGACAGTGGCGGAGGACGGCGCTCGCTAGTCTCCCAGGTCGCGGTACACGGCGAGAACGGGCGGGGCGGTCTCGGCTGCGTCCGGGCGATCCAGTGCTTAGTTCCGTCATATCCCTCTCCACGACCTCGGTCGAGCATGTTCACCAGGGCCCAGGTGAGACGGATTCTGCAGCGGGTGCCCGGGAAGCAGCGATTTGGCATCTACCGGTTCCTGCCCTTCTTTTTTGTCCTGGGAGGAACGATGGAGTGGATCATGATTAAAGTGCGCGTGGGCCAGGAGACCTTCTGTAAGTGAGGGGGTAGCAGTCTCTGTTTCCTTTCAGGAAGGCACGAGGCGGTAGGGATCCGTTTTTCTGGGGAGTATTCTCAGATTGCAGACCGCGCATTCCACTCAGAGCGCTGGGCGAGTGCAGTTCCATTCGCTTGGCAGTCAGGGCGGCCTGGCTCTCCTGTAGGCCGGGCACATTGGCGTCCAGCCTTGTGACCTTCCCTGCACTTACAGGCGAGATCACGTGCTTCTTCCAGCCCTCTCATGCCTGCCCTTCACCCCTGCCGGTGACATCGTTTGGGCTTAAGGAACAGACTTGCTCACAACAATCGTAGAAGGGGGTGGATATGAGGGGTCAGGGAAACTCCTGCTAACTAGCCATTTCTCTTTGGATTCTTCTGTCCAAACTCTGGAGGGAGCTGATCTGCCTGGCTTTGCTAATTACCACTACCTTTACAGGACAGTCATTGGCACCAGGTCTTTGGTCTGGGTCCAGATGATCAGCACTGTAAAGATAGTGGTAACGCCTGGCACTGCATTACTGAGCATTAACTCTGGACAGGCCAGTTCCTTTCAGGAGGACTTCCCCAACCCCTCGGCCCTTTCTGCTTTGCCCCTCTCCTGAAACGCTATCACTTGTGACTTGCCAACCCACATTTTAAAGAATTGTTACATTAGTGATTCCTAAAGATCCTTAGTCCTTCTGTTCATCCATTCATTGATACTTAATGAGCATTCTTGAGGGGCTATAATGAACAAGGCAGAGGTGTCCCTTACCCCAGAAGAGCTCTAATGGGAAAGAAGATGATAAAGACAATTAGCATACAAAGTGATCAGTGCTGTGAGAAGGAAGTGGGAGGAACATAGGACTCTCGGGTGGGCGCCTCAACTGGACTAGATGGTGCAGGGAAGGCTTCCGGAAGCAGCTACCAAGTAAAGTAGGACCTGAAGACTGAGTAGGTGTCAGTCAGATGAGGGGAAGGTGTGTGGAATTGAAAGCATCTCCATGGCAGTGGTAGGAGCACTTGTGTGAGAGTATGCTGTGTGTTTGAGGGATTGAAGCAGATCAACAAAGTGGGGATGGCTAGAAGGGTGCCTGGGCAGGGTGGCAAAGGGACTGGAGAACCAAGAATGGATCCCAAGGATTGAGTCATTTTAGGGAGAGGCTTTAACATGTGGAGAATGGCTCCTTGTGGACAGATTGGTAGGAACAGTTACGCTGTATGGCTGTCCAGAGTTGAGACAGTGGCCTGGTCTAGGTTGGGGCAGAAAGGATACCAAGAAGGGATGGAAGTAAAAGACAGCCCAGAGGTAGTACTGACAGGGCATGGTGATTAAGTGGACTCAGGAGATGAGGAGTGGAGGCTTCTGGTGGGACACCTGGGGCAGGGGGTAGTGCATTTCCTGAAGGTGCCGAACACAGGCAGGGCCATCCTGGGCACCATCTGGGACGTGACGAGGTAGATATGGTTATACAGAGCTGAAGCTCAGGAGGCAAATCTGGGCCAGAAATTGGGATTTGTGAACCATTCAGAAGCAAATTATGATGGAAGTCAAATCCCAACATTTTAATTTAATTTATTTATTTTTTGAGACTGAGTTTCGCTCTTGTTGCCCAGGCTGGAGTGCAGTGGTGCGATCTTGGCTCACCGCAACCTCTGCCTCCCAAGTTCAAGTGATTCTCCTGCCTCAGCCTCTGGAGTAGCTGGGATTACAGGCATGCACCACCACGCCCGGCTAATTTTGTATTTTTAGTAGACATGGGGTGTCTCCATGTTGGTCAGGCTGGTCTAGAACTCCTGACCTCAGGTGATCTGCCCACCTTGGCCTCCCAAAGTGCTGGGATTACAGGCGTGAGCCACTGCGCCTGGCCCAAATCCCAACATTTTAAGGGTAACTGAGAATGGCCAGAAAGGCAAGGAGGGAAACCAGGAGGATTTGTTATCACAGAAGACAGGAGGTTAAATACATCTGGCTCTGTGAAGGGGAGGTAACCCCCCTTCCTCTAGGAGAGACTGCAGGATATGCAAATAATGATCTAGAAGGAGAGGGTGGAGAGAGGCTGGAGATACTGGACCCTTGAGAGGGTGGGACCAGAGCTGGGTGACAGGAGTAAGCCCTTGGAAGTTAGCTGGAAGAGTTCCTTATGATGACTTTCCTCTGTGAAGGAAGAGAGGAAATGGCCATTTGGGGGTGGGTGAAAAAGAGTCAGGATGATGGCTGAGGAAACAGGATTGTCAGACACCTCAGTGGACCCAGTTAGAGGCATCAGTTGGCCCCTCAGGACACAGCAAGCAGGGTGAAGCATGGGGAAGGGAGGAAGTTGGATTAATCTGTGGTTGGGGTTTTGAGGGTGTGTCAGGAAGTTAAGATATTGACAAGAGTATGAAGGAATTTTAGCTGATTTGCCAGGAGAGAGAACAAGAAGCGGCTGAGCGGGTAAGACGGGGCCAAGGACCTGGGGAAGAAACGTGAGGTCCAAGGACAGGAGGGCTGGAAAGGTAACGGGGGTTGTGGTATGAACAGAAATCCTTCAGAGGAGCCCTGCAAGTGACTGGAAGATGTTGAAGGTGAAGGGTACTGGAGCTTCATCCCCATGGGTAATGGTGGTATCTGGGGAGAAGGCACAGGACAGGGTCAAGGAACCTGAGCCAGAGGCCAGCACTTTTGGTGACTGAAGGGGCATGATGGAGAGCAGGTGCCAAAGAAAGATGGTGGCAGACAAATGGCATGAGCCATGAAGGAAGAAGATTTTTTTTTTTTTTTTTTGAGACAGAGTCTTGGTCTGTCACCCAGGCTGGAGTGTGGTGGCACGATCTTGGCTCACTGCAGCCTCTGCCTCCTGGGTTCAAGCGACTCTCCTGCCTAAGCCTCCTGAGTAGCTGGGACTACAGGTGCCTGCCACCACACCCGGTTAATTTTTGTATTTTTAGTAGTGACGGGGTTTCACCATACTGGCCAGGCTGGTCTCAAACTCCTGACCTTGTGATCCGCCTGCCTCGGCCTCCCAAAGTGCTGGGATTACAGGCGTGAGCCACTGTGCCCGGCCTGGAAAGAAGATTCTTTACATGAAGGTGGCGAGTCAAAGGTCTGGCAAAGCAGCAGCTGGAACAAGGAAACTGATCTCCTCTCCCCACCTGAAGGTTTCTGGATATGGGAGAGGGAGCATCAGAGAGCCAAGAGGCAAGAAGTGCCTTTGAGGAGCCAGGTTTTAGTTAAGAAGGATGACTTCAGAGCACAGAATAGAAATTATGGGGGAGAAGGAAGTGAGGGACATCTTAAAACACTAAGAGATGTGCTAAGACATGATTCTATCTTTCAAGACACTGACTTTTACCCTATTTAAGTCTAGAACTCCATTATCATAGTCCTCATCTAACTCAAGTTTTGTTTTAAGTTTATTTTGGCATTGAGTTAAATATTAATGCCAAGATTCAGAAGTAGGTGACAGACCTAGACTATTGGTTAAATTATTCAGATTGTTTTAATTTTAAATATGTTTCTTAAACATCTGAGCAACTTTTTGTTTGATACAGATGATGTCTACCGTAGAAAAGCCTCAGAAAGACAGTATCAGAGAAGGCTGGAAGATGAATGAGACTGAACTTCAGCAGTCAATAAAGTCAATATGAATTTTTACTATTGGTTTCAGTGCCTTTTAAAATATACTTTTCAGATCTCTTGTTCTGACACAGCTTGTCCTTTATCAGCTGCACAATATTCCAATAACTGTTTTTGCAAAGAATTTTTATAGTTCTGTCTCTGCTTGAGTACTTCCCAAGTCACTGCTGGACAGCACTTGTGGGAAAATTATTTCCTCCTAAAACACTCACTCGATGAATCTAGTCCATGAAATATTTCTTAAACAATTCAAGGATCAATCAGGATGCTTTTCAGTGAAGCCCGAATTGTTTTCGGCAATCTTTGTTTTTAGGCAACTAATTATAACCTTATTTACTTTTTTGCAGAATTCAAATTAAATTATGGACACATTCTCTATTGCCAGATCATTTAAACCAGGATAATTATGCAGGTTGTATTTCTGCCAGCTACTAGACTATAAACTTTTTGCTAGGGTGGTGGAAATTCTTGATTGACTACGCATTTCTCATGCTAGTGTTCTTGTGAACAGAAATATGCTCCTCCCTTGCTTGGCTCCCCTAAACTGCAAGGGCTGGATCTTCATGAGGACTGTGGGCAACAGGTTTCACACTACTCTAGGATGAAGATGTTGCTGTTCGATTCAGCTGCTAGAAACAGTTGCTCCTTCCATGAGAAAGTGAACCTACACAGTATAAAGCATCCCAGACTTGAGCTAAATCAGAGGCTCAGTCTATTGAGTGATTTGGCAATCTGACCCAGTGTAAGTTTGGATCAGCCTGGTAGAAAAAGCAGATACCTTTCCATGCTTGCATAGCCACATCTAACATCGTTTCAAGCAAAAAAAAATCTACATACTAAAGACTAAGTTTCAGAATAGTTTCTAACTATTGCATGAGAATAAAGCTGATGCTTAAGGCCATAGGGTATCCTCAAGTTAATGATCTCTGCCACAAACATGTCTCCTAATTTTTTCTAGATTTTTCTTCTAATTTTAGTCCACTTATCTTAGAACCAATTCAGTAAAGAACCATTAACTAACTACTCCCATCTCCTTAAAGCACTACCTACACTACAGTGCAGCAAGCCCAGAGTCACAGCTGGGAGATGGCTTGAATGTGAAAGGCCAGTAATGACCTCTGCCATCAGGGAGAGGACGGTGGTTCATCGTATTCTCATGCCCAGTTGTGTCATCTAGGATTCCTGGTAAACCTAACCTGATAAACCATTTTTAGTGACTTGACTGCTGTATAAAAACTATAGTATGATTCTCAATTATATGGCCATACTCCATGTTTGCCCTAACCCACCTTGTTTTAGGAGTTTAGTATTTGATACATATAGAAAATACGTCATACCTTTTACAAAGAATAATAGTAAACACTAATAAAACCATTGGCTAACTTTTGTGTCTGCTGTGGGTTCATTCCCTGGCCCATCCCCCTGCTTCCACCCCACAGAGAACCATTAGACTGAATTTTGTGTTGGCCTTCTCTAGAGCTTTCCTCTCCATTTCTTTTTCTTCTTTCCATTAGAATGTTAATTTATTTAAGGACAACAGACTTTGAAAATGATGGCCAGGGTTGGTGGCTCAAGCCTGTAATCCAAGCACTTTGGGAGGCTCAGGCAGGAGGATTGCTTGAGGCAAGGAGTTCAAGGCCAGCCTGGGCAACATACACTCCGTCTCTATTAAAAGAAAAAAGAAGGCTGGGTGCAGTGGCTCACACCTGTACTTTCAGCACTTTGGGTGGCCGAGGCAGGTGGATCACCTGAAGTCAGGAGTTCGAGACCAGCCTGACCAACACGGAAAAAGCCCGTCTCTACTAAAAATATAAAATTAGCTGGGTGTATGGCTGGGCATGGTGGCTTACGCCTGTAATCCCAGCACTTTGGGAGGCTGAGGTGGGCAAATCACGAGGTCAGGAGATCGAGACTATCCTGGCTAATACGATGAAACCCCGTCTCTACTAAAAATACAAAAAATTAGCCAGGCGTGGTGGCGGGCACCTGTGGTCCCAGCTACTCGGGAGGCTGAGGCAGGAGAATGGCGTGAACCCGGGAGGCAGAGCTTGCAGAGAGCCGAGATCGCGCCACTGCACGCCAGCCTGGGCGACAAAGCGAGACTCCGTCTCAAAAAAAAAAAAAAAAAAAAAAAAATTAGCCGGGTGTGGTGGCAGGCACCTATAATCCCAGCTACTCAGGAGGCTGAAGCAGGAGAATCGCTTGAACCTGGGAGGCGGAGGTTGCGGTGAGCCGAGATCGCGCCATTGCACTCCAGCCTGGGCAACAAGAGTGAAACTCCGTCTCAAAAAAAAAAAAAAAAGATTGGACAACTTCTGACTTTTAGGCAGGTAGACTACCAAAGCAATTATTGTATTCAATGGAAGATAGGTTTTCAGAGCACATTAGTTTGGATGCTGTGAGTGAGAACTCATTTGTTAGGGTGCAAGCTTTTTTTGAGATGAGTTTCACTGTCACCCAGGCTGGAGTGCAGTGGCATGATTATAGTTCACTGCAGCCTTGAACTCTTGGGCTCAAGCGATCCTCCTGCCTCAGCCTCCCAGGTAGCTGGGACTAGCTAGCTACCATGCTTGGCTAATTTTTAAATTTTTTGTAGACACAGGGTCTTGCTGTGTTGACCAGGCTGGTCTCAAAATCCTGGGCTCAAGCAGTGCTCCCACCTCAGCCTCCCAAAGTGTTGGGATTACAGGCATGAGCTACTGTGCCCAGCTAAGGTATATAAGCTTTTAATTTTTCCTCAAAAGTATTTTTAACTCTCCTACTAGGAATGACTCTATCCTACTTATCAGACACTGAACTATTTAAGGGCGCCAGGAGTAGTGGCTCATGTCTATAATCCCAGCACTTTGGGAGGCTGAGGTAGGAGGATTACTTGAGCCCAGGAGTTCAAGACTAGCCTGGGCAACGTGGTGAAACCCTGTCTCTACAAAAAGTACAAAAAATTAGCCAGGCCTGGTGGTGTGCACCTGTAGTCCCAGCTATTTGGGAGGCTGAGGTGGGAGAATCACCTGAGCCAGATCAAGACTGCAGTAAGTATGATCCCAGCACTGCACTCTAACCTGGGCAATGGAGTGAGACCCTGTCTCCAAAAAAAAAAAAAAAAAAAGCCGTGAAAAGAATTGCAGTACCACCAACTGTAAACTACAGGGCATAAATTTTAATAAATTTCAAGAACTATACTTATTGCAGAATGCTGAAAACCTGATTAGCATTTATTACTAGAACTCTACCTCCACTGTGGTGTTGGGGAAAGAATATGGGCTTTGGAGTGTCACTTTATTATCTGAATTTATAGAGAAAGTACCTAATAATAGTACAACAGTATTACAGCCCCCCCCAAAAAAAGAAAGAAAAAAAGTAGTGAATAAATGAGTTATTTTTGTTCATCTAGCAGTTCTATTTTGGAAGTCTTACCTACATCCCTGATGTGATATTTAATCTCCATTTTGTGTGTGTGTTTAAATTTTTCACACTGAATTAACTCTCTTTAAAGAAATATACTCTTAGCTGGGCGCGGTGGCTCACGCCTGTAATCCTAGCACTTTGGGAGGCCGAGGCAGGCGGATCACGACATCAGGAGATCAAGACCATCCTGGCTAACACAGTGAAACCCCATCTCTACTAAAAACACAAAAAATTAGCCGGGCGTGGTGCTGGGCGCCTGTAGTCCCAGCTACTCAGGAGGCTAAGGCAGGAGAATGGCGTGAACGACAACAACAAAAATATATATATATACGCACACACACACTCTTGGACCCTGTTGTTTTCCAAAGTAATTTATCTCCTAGTAAAGCATGTTAGTGCTTAGTCTTCACACGAGTATTAAATCTGGAGTTTCTTGTCTCATTTATGTGCTATCTGCAAGATGTAAATACCATGAAATAGCCAAAACAGGGAAAAGGGACAGTCCATTAATTTGTTTAGTTCTGAACTTTCATTCAGGGACCTAACATACTTCCAGGCTAAAATGGAACAGAGTAGGCTGGGCGCAGTGGCTCACACCTGTAACCTTAGCACTTTGGGAGGCTGAGGCAGGTGGATCACTTGAGGCCAGGAGTTCAAAACCAGCCTAGCCAATATGGAGAAACCCTGTCTCTACTAAAAATTCAAAAATTAGCCAGGCATGGTGGCGCATGCTGCAGTGAGCCAAGGTTGCACCACTGCACTCCAGCCTGGGTGACAGAGTGAGGTTCCGTCTCAAAAGAAAAAAAAAAAAGGAACAGAATAATAGCAATATTTGTTTGCTCAGTGTTCAGATGGGATGTCTAGCTATACATCAATGATTGTTCAAAATATGCTCAGGGGCACAGATGCCGGTACTATCCTAAATTCAGGAGAACAGAACCACAGGGATTTGCAAAGTGATATTAGAGGAAAACAGTTGGTTGCTTTTACCAACACTTTCTATTAAAAGCATGGTCATGTTTTAAGAGTTTATAAAGATGTTAAAGACACCTGGGCCACCTGTTTCTTCTGGCCACAGACAAGCTATTTGAAGTGGGCTATACTGCTTACATGCTTTCCTCACTTTCCGCCCTCAGTAATTCTCCAATTTTAATTTCAACCTGCATTTCTGCCCATGCTGAGGACATGTAGGAATTCCTTGACTGCCAGCCTGAGGCGTGGCGTGGGGCACTTCAGTCTGCAGTCTGACTACATTTGGCTCTGTGTTAATGCAGCCCGAGCCCTGAACCAGAGGTCTGGACACTGACTTTCATCTCCATCTGTGGAGCTTTGTTCTCTTAAATTGGCAGTCACATACAACCTTGTCAGCATGAAATCAGGGCTTGCAGGAGTTAAATCTGCTTGAAACATCTGACACCACTTTAACAGAACAACCAAACCTGGTTAATCCAAATCACTTTGCAAACTCTGTATTTATTTGGATTAAAAAGCTTTAGATGAACAACAAAAAAAAGATACATACATGTTATAAGACTAGTTACCACGTAAACCTCAGATGATATGATACAGAAATTAGAATAAACCAAGTTTTAATCAGGTATGAAAACATTCAAGCTCAAAATCATCAACACCAATTTGGGGATTTTACAGAAATAGGTGCCCCTCTCAATTCTTCCTCATAGGAAGGGGAGAGTGGCTTAAAAAAAAAACAACAACCAAAACAGTTAAAGGCCTTTTAAATCAGTTGGCTGACAAACATACTGTTTTAAACCTACAGGTTCCCCTCAGTCCCCCCGTTTGCAATATAAACAATTCTTCTCCACAGGAACTTACATTTTGAAAACATTTAGGCCATTATACTTTCTAAGCCACATTACTACAGTTCCTAAAACTTATGAAAAAAAGGTGTATAGTTTACTTGTACTTTCTTGAGTCAATTTTTTTTTCTTTTTTGAAGATGGCTGACCTCAAATCTTATATCCTAAATATTAACGATATCCCCCAAGTTAATATACAGAAAAACATGATTCTAAAATAAATACACAGGCTTTTTAAAAAAAACTTAATTAGGGCCTGTCTAGTGATGCCCTGGGCCGGTGCTGCACTGCTTTAGGGAAGCCCCTGGCTGGATCTATGTTTCCTATAGCACCTCTAGGCACTGGGAAGGAGCCTGGAGGAGAGCTCTGGCTTCTAATGACCCACGTGGCCCCCAGTGAAAAATTTTTTTAGAGGCTCCCCAAAGAAGTCTCATCCAGACCTTAAGGGAAATAAAATGAATGCATGAAATAAATAAATAATTTAACCACAACTAAATTTCATGTTCTTTGGTGTAATTCAAGGATGTCTAGAAACAAAATAATCTGATTGCATTATACAGTCCATGATGATTCAATTGCCCAAATAGCCAGGAATTGAAGATTTATCTGACTCACTTTAACAATAAGGTACTGACACACTACTGCAATACATTTTTTTAAATTCAATATTATTTAAAATACTTGATGCAAATTCAAATCCAGTGGTTGACTAAAGGCAATTAAGTTAAAGGGCCTCCCATATTTAAAGTATCTAGATACAAGAGACTTTTTTCCATTCTACACTCTTTTGCCCTCATGATTTAATAAGTACAGTAATTAAACATCTGGGTACTGATTCATAGCAGATTAAAAGGAAAAAAGCATCCTCTGAGATTAACTCTCTCAGATTATAAACAGCAGTGGAAGCTCTACCACAATGGCAATCACCCAGTTACTATAAAGCAGGTTTCAAAAACATGCCGCCAAGTGAAACAATGTTCCTACTGTCTGCCATCCTATGCTGCCTTCAAATGTTTATTGTAGGGTCATATAAGAAAGACAGGGTCACCAAACCCAAGTGTTTGGGATCTGTAATGGTCTTTCTAGTAAGCGTTTTATTAAATTATGATTCCCTTCTCCTGTAATTCAAAAGCACAAGCTAAATTTAAAAAATATTTTAGAAAGTATTAAATTTCTGGTTGAGAATTATAACAACATTGAAACTTAAAAGAAAAAATACATCTGATAATAAGGAAATAAGGAATACTAAAACATACTTGTATATGAAGGCAATCAATCTACTTGTTCACAATTATGCTTCTTATACAGCTCATATCTAGTTCCATACTCTCTTACCCATGTTAGGTTAGGTGTTATGTTTAAAAATAAATCACCTCCATGCATACCTTAATGCTTTCTTCAAGACGAACTTCAATGTTTTTCAATGTAACAGGTTTAAAATTTTAAATCATCTGAAATTTATAGGCATAAATTGTGAATTCATTATAAATAGATCAAAATATCCTTAAACGTACCTGCCTAGATTAAACATACCTCAGGGTTGTGCACGTGTTCTGCAAAAATCACTGACACCATAGTCTAACTCACAGATGTCTAACTCAGCACAATTGAAAAAGTGCTTTTTCCCCTCCTGGTGTCCAGGAGGTACATTAGCTGCAGACAGATGCACAGCACTGATTACATATTTCTGTAGTGAGCCTCTGAGTTAATAGAGCAAATGTGCTGTGTCTATTAAACATCTAAAACCTAAATAACCACCTTTCAAAGAAAGCACTTCATCTGTAAGAAACAGCTTTTGCAGAAAGTGGCTTAAGATATTCAGGCACATGAAACAAACACAAGTATACTCCCCTCTCTAAGATGTAAACTAGGACAAACTTCACATTTCATTATCAATTTAAACTAATCTGTAAACTCTTGTGTGTGTGTGTTTTTTTTCATTTTGTTCTTTTATATATATATATAAAAAAACCCAAAACCAAGAAAACAAAAACCCCAAGCCAAGACAAAAACCTCTAATGGTTTCAGTTCCATGGCAACAAGTAAAAAGATAAAACTCCAAGTCTACATATACAACCAATTATGAAACTGGTTTTAAACGAAGGAAACATATGCAAAAAAATCTTTGTGTATTTGATAAAGTCAACTTAATATAACAAACAAATTGAAATAGCTTATTAAAAGTGTCCGTATATAAAAATGGCCTTGTGATGTACAGTAAAATGCAATAAAAATTATCCTCCTTTGTTCCTTCCCCCCACCCCCAGTAACTAAAATGGCTACTGATCCACAACTCTTTATGCTTCTATATAAAAGAAACGTAATGATGTGATTAAACATTTTCTAGGTTGTATGCTTGGCGAATGTTGAGGGTGTCCCGGAGCATCAAATCTCGAAGGCGCCAGAGGGCATCTGCCATGGTGGTGTGGGCCCCTTTGCTTTTCAGCCAGTGAGAGGGTAGGCGGCTCTCCTGTTCTTTCGACAAATGGACGTCGCGTCTTCGAGCTGAAAATTAAAGTACAGAGAGACAGAAATTAGAATTTTAAGTTGGCAAAATTTCCCTCAGTTCTAAGGTCTGACGAACTTATTAAAACACAAAACATTGAATATTTATTAAATATTATGAATTTTAACTGCAGAATATTTCCAGGCACATTTCTTATATCATTTTACTAGGCACTAAAAGATTTGATCATAAATTTTTTTTTTTTTTTGACATCGAGTCTCGCTCTGTCGCCCTCGCTGGAGTGCAGTGGCGCGATCTCAGCTCACTGCAACCTCTACCTCCTGGGTTCAAGCGATTCTCCTGCCTCAGGCTCCAGAGTAGCTGGGATTACAGGAATCTGCCACCAAGCCTGGCTGATTTTTCTATTTTTAGTAGAGACAGGTTTCACCATGTTGGCCAGGCTGGTCTTGAACTCCTGACCTCAGGTGATCTGCCTACCTTGGCCTCCCAAAGTGCTGGGATTACAGGTGTGAGCCACTGCACCCGGCCTGATCATTATTTTTTTGTAGGCATCCCTGATATTTAATAATTACTTCAATGTTAACAAAAATTCCTAAAAAGGTAAACATGTGAAGAAAGGGAAAATATACCTTCTACTCTAAAGAAATGAAATGAGATGACCAAAGTTGGTTTAGAAATCAAGAACAAGTAGAAACTTCCAAACTTCTCTCCAGAAACTACACAAGTACTTTAGTACATACTGAAAATACATAAGTATGTTGAACTAAATGAATAGCCTAATCGGTTTCTAATATTTTTTTCCTTTTGTTAAACTGAGGTAAAATAGTTTTTTTTTTTTTTTTAGACAGAGTCTTATTCTGTCACCCAGGCTGGAGTGCAGTGGTGCGATCTTGGCTCACTGCAACCTCCACCTCCGGGTTCAAATGATTCTCGTGCCTCAGCCTCCCAAGTAGCTGGGATTACAGACACCAGACACCACGCCCAGCTAATTTTTGTATTTTTAGTAGAGATGGGATTTCACCATGTTGGCCAGGATGGTCTTGATCTCCTGACCTCAAGTGATCTGCCCGCTTCAGCCTCCCAAAGTGCTGGGATTACAGGCGTGAGCCACCGCTCCTGGCCCTCATCTGGCTAATTTTTAATTTTTTTGTAGAGACGGGGTTTTGCCATGTTGTCCAGGCTGGTCTCAAACTCCTGAACTCAATCGATCTGTCCACTTCAGCCTCCCAAAGTGGGAGCCACCGTGCCTGGCCAATAATTTTTAATTTACCCAATGCATCTATACTAATGTCCAAATGCCTGAAAAACAAAACAAAACAAAACAAAACAACAAACAAAAAACAATGTACTTAAAAAGATGGCAGTGATGTTTATGAGAAAACTAGGCTTTGAAATTTGGCAAAAAAAACCACAACAACACTTTTAGGCAGGGCGCTGTGACTCATGCCTATAATCCCAGCTCTTTGGGAGGCTGAGGTGAATAGATCACCTGAGGTCAGGAGTTCGAGACCAGCCTGGCCAAAACGGCGAAACCCCATCTCTACTAAAGATAAAAAAATTAGCTGGGCGTGGTGCTGAGCACCTGTAATTCCAGCTGCTCAGGAGGCTAAGACACAAGAATCGCTTGAACCTGGGGGTCGGAGGTTGCAGTAAGTCGAGATTGTACCACTGCACTCCAGCCTGGGCGACAGAGTGAGACTGTCTCAAAAAAAAAAAAACAACCCAAAAACCATTTTCAGGCCAGGCACAGTGGCTCACGCCTGTAATCCCAGCACTTTGAGAGGCCGAGGCAGGTGGATCACTTGAGGTCAAGAGTTTGAGACCAGCCTGGCTGATATGGTGAAACCCCATCTCTACTAAAAATATAAACATTAGCCAGGTGTGGTGGCATGTGCCTGTAATCCCAGCTACTGGGGAGGCTGAGGCAGAAGAATCAGTTGAACCTGGAAGGCGGAGACTGCAGTGAGCCAAGATCGCGCCACTGCACTCCAGCCTAGGCAACAGAGTGAGACCCTGTCTCAAAAACAAAACAAAACAAAACAAACCATTTTCAGTGTGTTACGTAAACATGCAAAGAAACTCCAAACCATTTATGAAATATATAATTTATTTTAATTGTATAAGAAAAAGGGGTGTTTATTGTATGATATACTATGCTAACAGCAGTAAGACAGCTTTGAGGAAGCATGTATTTCACAAAGGCTTATTTAGAAGGAATCTTACCTGCCAGTGTCTGATCCCACTTGCTAATGCTGTTGGACTCCGCACTGAGTCCTTCAATGTATTTCAGGTAGGCCTCTGAGTGAAGAAGCCGCTGGGTCTTTGGTGGGGGAGCTACAAACATGGGTGTTGTTGGCTGCTGTATGACAGGGGGTCCAGCTGGATGTGGGCCGGGATATGGAGGTGGTGCCTGCTGCCCTGGAGGCCCCAAAACTCCCACCTGAAAGAGCACAGGACCACATGGTGAGGCAAAAAGAGACTCTGCACATGTTCTGAGAAGGATAACTCGAATTCTGTCAAGTCCTAGAAAATCAAACTGGGAGGCTCACCTGTTGTCCATATGGACTTCCACCTGGTGCTGGAGTCCCTACCATAGGGGCCACTCCTTGGTTCATCACACCTATAATTCAGAATGCAATGGCACAGTTAGAGGCTCTGGGTTGAAATGACTGAAAAACTACTGTCTGATAAGAAATGATGCCATTCATAATTCAAACCTATGTACCTCTGCCCTTGAATCTTTGTGGCTAGGAATCTTAAGCACCCCAATAGGATTTGAATAGAAAGTTGTTTTGTTTCTAGGTACTTAAAGTATAATACTAGAACAATCTGTCAGATGTACATCAATTATGGCTTAGAAATGATTTGAACCTTGCATAAAATTCTAGTATTTCTCTAGGTAAGCTATTGTCAGAATATACCTCTACATTCAAGGTGTTTTTCTTCTGACAACACATTCTCCTGCAACTGAAGCCTGTATTTAATTTAAGCAGGAATGGCACTGGAATCAGGCTCAGCAGTAAGCAATGTGCTAGGACAGCAGGGACACAAGGGAAGAGGCTGTGGAAGTGCATAGTTAAATGAGCTTTGTGAAGGCTGAAGGCACAGCCTTGCTATCCCCTCCCAGACCATCAGCAGCTGGTTCTAACTGGAGTCACTAGTGCTGGCAGGGAGAGAACACTTCCATCTGATAGAGTAGCACTCTGAAAAGGAATCATCTGAAGTGAAGTAACCTTGTTGCTATTGCTTTATATGCAAAATGACAAAGGAACAGAGAGACTTCATGGCCCTACTAGATTTGTACTATGTCCCTGATAATAATTTTGTAAGCTTCCCTCAGTGAATGCTCACGAGCAATTGTTGTCTCACAGGCACAGCTGATAATAATGAGATGTCCTAAATTTAGTGTCAGAGGCTCTTTTGATTTCAGGGTGCATATTTGCTATTCTGATAAAATACAGAAATAGGCAAGGGACCCAGTTCATTAAAATCAAATAAACCTAAAACTGTGGTGAACTGTTCTTGAAAACTTAAACAAATCCTGCTGGCTGTGTAGAAGAATCGAGAGGAGGTATAACTTCATAGTGTATAGTCCCTTCGGATTAAAAATCGTAATATTTTGTCCAGGCAGAAGCAGCTCCTCATTCTAAAGTTCAGAACTGTTTCATGAATTTGCATGTCATCCTTGTGCCATGCTCAACTCCATATTGTTCCAATTTTAGTGTATGTGCTGCTGAAGCGAGCACTAAGGTTCAGAATTGTTAAATGCCACTTCCAGGAAGCATAAGAGAGCCTCTTATTTGTTAGAAAATAACAAGTAAAAAAGCTTCTGTTTAAAAAGCAGGGAGTTTTATATTCCAAGTACCCAGAAGTCCACCCGGATCACCAAAGTAGGATCCTGATGATTATTCGTGAATGAATGAAGAGGTTGTGGTGGGTAAGCTGGTGCCCCAGCAATATATTATTAACCTCTGTGCCCATCACCTCCCTGTGCCCTGGGACACTCACCCACCTTAGATTCCAGAACACGGTGTGGCTCCCTAAACTGTGTAAATCATTGCTTTGCAGGGCAGCACAAATCAGCAAACTCTTCTGCTTCCTCTATTGACAAATGCCATACTTGGGCAGCCGGTGAGAATCTGAGCTGAGTCACCAAAAGAGCTCAATGAATCCCCTACTCCTCTAAGCCTGCTCAGACATGTGCATTTGTAGGCACTAAGAGGGGGTCTTCCCTGACTCCTGGCTTCTTTTTTAATTAAATAAAATAGATATGGGGTTTCACCATGTTGCCCACTGGTCTTGAACTGCTGAGCTCAAAGCAATCCTCCCACCTCAGCCTCACAAAGTGCTGGGATTACAGGATTGAGTCACTGTGTCCGGCCCTGTCTCCTCAATTCTAAGCAGGTGTGTTGGGCTTCCCTCCAGTTGAATTTAGGATTTCAGGAAGGTGGAAAGGAAGACAGCTATGTCCCAACACCCACCAAAAGACATCTGCAACCTAGAGGGTACTGGCATTAGACATGGATCCCACTAAGTGCACCTAGAAGGTGTAAACTCCAGCCTGGTCTTATTGGCTCAGTGATACCCTGTATCAAGGTGAGAGGGCAAAAAATTAAGGCCAAGTCTACCTGCCACATGGGAACATTTACCTTATGACTGACTCCTGCTGCAACAGCAATTCACACAGTCCACTGTTTTCATATGAAGCACCTAACCCTACAAACACTTCCTCCTCTGGCAATACCTGGAGCAAATGCTTCTGTGGAATTATGGCCATATTCTAAGCAACTCTCACAAAGAGTGTGGCTGGAGGCTCCAGGCCAGGCCACCAAGTTTGCTCACTCTGCACACTGCTGGGTGCACCCTCCAAAGCATCATTTGGTACCCTGCAAAACCCTATCACTGGTAGGTCCAACACTGGTACAAGCAAATTTAACAAGTTTCCAACCACATTTTACCATTTGGGTTGGGCCCTTAGCTGATGTTGTAGGTAATGGACCAAATGCTTTCCGAGTCTTCCAAAGGTCACATTCCCTCCATCCAGATTACAGCTAAGAGTTCTTTTGCATATGATGGCAATTAATATGGGAACATGTGATTTTCCTTTCATTTAGGTTTTCTTTAAAATAATCTTTCAACTTGCTAATTCACATTTTAAAGTGAAAATGAATGTCGCTATTTCTGGAATCCATTTATATATTTCTATATAAAAGAACTTCTAAGCTTCTGTTGACAGACAAACCAGTATCTACAGCTAGGAGGGTAGGCTAGGCTGTTCTTTAATGTCAGGCTTTTTTTTTTTTTTTTTTGAGACAGGATCTCATTCTGTCGCTCAGGCTGGAGTGCAGTGGTGCGATCACCACTCACTGCAGCCTCAGTCTCCCCAGGCTCAGGTAATTCTCCCACCTCAGCCTCCTGAGTAGCTGGGACTACAGGCACATGCCACCACACCTGGCTAATTTTTCCTTTTTTTTTTTTTTTTTTGACACGGAGTCTTGCTGTCGCCCAGGCTGGAGTGTAGTGGTGCAATCTCGGCTCACTGCAACCTCTGCCTCCCAGGTTCAAGTGATTCTTCTGCCTCAGCCTCTCGAGTAGCTGGGACTACAGGTGCCCGCCACCACGCCCAGCTAATTTTTGTATTTTTAGTAAAGACGGTGTTTCACCATATTGGCCAGGCTGGTCTCGAACTCCTGACCTCAAGTGATCCGCCCACCTCGGCCTCCCAAAGTGCTGGGATTACAGGCATGAGCCATCGTGCCCGGCCTAACACCTGGCTAATTTTTATAGAGATGGGGTCTCACCAGGTTGCCCAGGCTGGTCTTGAACTCCTGGGCTCAAGTGATCCACCTTCCTCATTCTCTGAAAGTGCTGGGATTACAGGCATGAGCCATTACACCTGGCATGTCATGCTTCTTAGGGAACTCACATACAGAACACTAATTCAGTGAAAATGCATTCCCTCCCTGCTTTTTGTTCTAAGACAGACTGAGTGAAAGATTTCTGAAGAGTTCTACCTTAGCAGCTCTGCAATCCCCTTAGAAAGGCTGCTTGAGGAGAAGTAGGAGATGGAACAGATACTCTATACCCTGTGAGATAAGAATTGCACCAGAGGGAGAAATGCAACTCAGGGGCAAAAAATGCTTTTACATGTTACTCTGAACTAGCAATTTGGGAAACTTCATTCACTGATAAGAGGACACAGCCTTCTAGGCTGTCTGGCTTTTCAAGGACATGTCAAATTAGTTGAGTGATTATCGATAGAGTATGCCTCTTGTCCCTTGGTTTGCTGAGTCTGGCCTCTGCCATGTGTGCTGTGCTGCTGCCAGCAGCCAGGTGCACAAGGGCACAAGTGCTGGGCCACCTGCTGAATGCACAAGACATGCCCTGCTGCTGACAACCTTTGGATTCTCAGGGAGGGAAGGCCTGGCCACAATGGGCCACGGGTGCCTCCTGGAACAACTGGTTGAAAGCGGAAAAAGAGAATATGAAGATGAGATTAATGAGTGAATGAGGATGAAGTTCTTACCCGGTGGTGGGATGCCCGGGAGGCCAGGCACACCTGGCGGAAGATGGTGGGGTGGAGGCCCCCCAGGGTGAAGTGGCTGCATGCTGCCCATGCTAACAAGGCCATCAACTGGGCCCTGCAAAGGTGGAAGGCCTGGCGGATAGCCACCCATCATGCCTTGAAGGACACAACAAATTTCAGACATGCATCATTAACATGCAACATGAGCTAAGTAATAACAACCAACCCCCACATGCACTACCAATGAATAAAGCACCCTTAGTACTGCATGATATAACAGCAATTAGTGCAATTATTTTGCTGCAATAATGAACAAAATAAAAAGTTACAAATATGAGACCCAACATTTTGGGATGAATTAGTACTTAGTACACTATTATTTGTAGTTATTTTCCCTGGGGTAAATATGCTGCATGTTTTCAGTTAAATAATAGTAAAGAGTTCTAGTAACAGCCTTCCCAAGGAAATAATTATTGCAAGCTGTTCAAACAGAGTGACCAGTTCTGCTGACTGCAATTCTAACTGAATAGTATAAACCCCATCATTCCACTCTGCCCACACTCATATGCCTATCATGGGTACACATGAGGGGAAATAGGAAGGGAGGGAAATGAGCGCATAGTCCTGATCACAAAGCATGGTTCTCCAGCTTTGGGGCAGGAATTGTTCAAGACTTCTACATCTACTCCTCCTTTCTAGCCTTACCACTGCTGGTAAGAATGGATTGTGCTTGGGCTTGAGTTGGGGAACAGCTTCTAAGAACCATCACAGTGAATGATATTTCCTTCTTTAGATCTAAAAATGTGATAAAGATAAAACCTAAACACTCCCAACCAAGCCAACCAAGTCCAGGTCACTCAGGAGCCTACACACAGACTTTACGGAGGAATGGCTGGAGAATTGGGCTCTGCTGATATGAGAAAATGCCAAATGCCATCAGTCTCCAAGCTCAAATGTCCTCATATAAACCTTAACAGGGAGCATTTTAATTTGAGGTACACAATTTCTGTGAACAGAGGCTTTTATTCCTTTATTTTCAAAGTGTACCTACACATGACAAAATATTTTCTACTGGCTAGAGAAGAGTTTCAGCAAACAAGTATTTTTGGCAGAAGGAATAAATGTAAGAAAAAAAATTCAAAATGTCAAGGACTCACCTATCAAAAGACCTTTAAAACCACATGGCATTTTTTTAAAACAAGAAAAACAACTTGACTTTTCTGGGATTTGTAATGATCATGATGAATAAGAACACAAAGCTCCCCCCAAAATGCAGTCACCTTTGGTCACAGCTTCTTGCAAAGGGAGGGTTGAGGGACTGGTGCCAAACCTCATTTTTATAAAATACTCTTTGCAGAGGGACTCTGTCAAATAGTGGAAAACTTCAGATTCTGAGAATTTTACTCTTGGACTTTCCCTGAAGATTTCAAACATATTTATTTATAAAAGTTTAGTCTTTTAAGGCTATGAAATTACTAAAAATTCTGAGGTCGATTCACCCTGCTTCACTAGTCATACCTAAGCTGACTAACTTACAATTACATAAACCGAATGACAAAAATTTGAATAATAATCTCTCTATACATAAGATTATGAGTTTTCATTTTTTTTTAAATGAAGAGTTCAGAAAGTAAAAACTACTTTTGAACAGACACCATCATCTTAATTAAACATGAAGAGATCCAATGCTACCAATCTTTTAACCACACCACCAGTTATAGCATTTAGGGTTAAGTAGGCGGGAAATTTAAGGATGTTAAGAGGCTTTGCTTTCAATTACAAAAGCCCATCTGAACGCAGCCTTCATGGGCTGTGGTTGAGGAAATTATTAAGAACTGAAAGACATGACACTTGTCTTCATTAAACTGTACTTTGGCATTTATTATCCCAGTCACATGTGTTCAAATGAGCTTCAATGCTTGTAAGCAAAGCTGGTCTCAAGACAGCAACAAGGCTAATAAGTAAGACTCAGGCCCTAAGAAACCTGTAAAACCATGAAAAATCACCCTCTTAGCTGCAGGGTTCCCCATGAGGACCAAAGAGTGGTTACTGCAGAGAATGCTTGCTTTTCACTCCCAGGGCCCAGAAGTCTAGCCAGCACACCCTAAATAATGGAGCAGGGGCTTTCTAGAGGGACCACCTTCCTCATCCATAGAGTTCTATAATGTTCTTCCCCAACAGGGAGCTAAAATGCTGCAGCTGCTGTTTTTTTTTTTTTTTTAATTGTTTTTAGCTGTTTGTATTCATTTTGTTAATGTGCCCCTGGGTTTTGAAGTCAAGGGCACAGTGCCACAACGTCACACATCAAATAGAACAAAACACAATGTCAACGAGGGAATTCTAACTTTCAAAGTCCCCATGTTCAAGGCCTGATTTCTAAAAACCTCTGGAACCCCATTAACCAAAATGGGCCATGGAATAGAGCAGGCGATTATGAGATTTGTTAGATCAACATCAGTTACACTGAAAGCACTGAAAGCCATGATTCAGATGTGCTTTGGCGAGTGCAACTGCTGAGTTCAGCGACAGTGCATTTGAGAACTTGCCATCACAAAAGTTAGGAGCGACAATGGAAAAGTTATCCTATGCTACTCTTCCTTAAAAAGCAAAAACGAAACAGCAAAAACAGCATCCCAACAAGCCTGCCTTGAACAACACTATTTTGGACTCCCTGTGAAAGAGGTCAGACTGCTTGCTTAAGAAGAAACACAGGTGGCTTGTACAGACCTCACCAGGACTGGAGAGATCTCAAAGAAGGGGCC
This sequence comes from Homo sapiens, assembly GCF_000001405.40. Classification (NCBI taxonomy): domain Eukaryota; kingdom Metazoa; phylum Chordata; class Mammalia; order Primates; family Hominidae; genus Homo; species Homo sapiens. Next base: position 52,557,486 of record NC_000003.12, read on the forward strand.
CGAGAAGTGGTCTGCAGACTTCTCATTGGAGACATGTCAGACAAAGATATTCAATTCAAGAACAGTCAAATTTGCTATGGCTACCAGAACCAGAGACAACACACACAGACAAACCACATTCATCATTTTCTTTTTCTTTTTTTTTTTCTTAAATATGTGACTGGGATACTAACAGAAAATGCAGTTTAATGTAATTAAATAGAAAAGCATTACAGAGTGGGCACAATGAATTGAATAAGGACTTTGTATTCTATTTAGCAGTCATGCACATTGGTGACCAAGAAAGGATTTACAATTCATTGTCAAAAAATCCTTTTAAACGGTCAGTCTTTTAAGGATGGCTGCAGCAGAACAAGGCAAACTGAATACTGGAATGAGATGGGAAAATCAACACCACCTAAAGACTAGTTTTGTGTTTTCTCTTGGGAGTCCCTCTAGAACAGAATTCAGGGTCTACTTTCATATTTTCTGCTATAGTGCTCTATCAAGAGCAGGCTGGGGTGGAGAACATCACCAGACCATGCCCACAGCCAGGGAAGAGCTGCTCCCTACCAATTACCAGGGTTGGGCCCAGGGCCCATTTCTGGGGCAGAAGGGAGGCATTGCCCATATGGGAAAGGCAATATAGGACAACATGGATGACTTCAAACTTTGAATCTGTCATGAGAAAAGGCAATAGACTGTGGCCTACTCCTTATTGGAGAAAAAAAAAATGAAGGAATTTCTTAAAGTGGAAAAAAATGGTCTTAGCTCCTGTTTTTACCTGCAACAGGTGTCAACTGCTGATTGAGCATCCCCATTGGTGTTGGTGGTGGCACCACCCCCATGAGAGCCCCCACAGGGGTGCCTGCTCGGGGAGAAGCACTCGGCTGCTGTTGCTGTGCTGCTCGCTCTCTCTCCTGCTGCTCAGCAACTTTAGCTGCCCGCTCTGTAAAGGCATTTCAGATTTTCAATTCTGTTTTTAACCCAGGAATTCAAAATACCATCCATTGCATTCAACAGGACTAGTAAAAACACAGGCAACAGTTCTGTCTCAATGGAAGGAACAGTAGATGACTAGTCTCAACACAGGAGGAGTCGGGCCGATTTCACTTGGTAACCTAGAGTCCAGCTTTCCTATCCCATCTTGAGAACTGGTCTGCAAAGATTTCAAGAATGTTAAGACTGCAACACACATTCAGAAAGCACAGGTTTTATGTAAACACGTCACCAGCATAACCACCATGGTTAATCTCACGAGGCACCCTGAAGATGAGAAGCGCTACCATTATTCTAGTATTAATAGCATTACAGATTATTTATAATTTCAATATGAAGCAATTCCATGGCCCATTATAATTTTTGGTACAATTGTTACTTACTATATATATTTCCTGATTCTTTGTACCCAATTTTACTAAGATTTGAGGACTCATCACGAGTGTCATGGAGTTTAGCAGCTGAAGAAAATTAACTCTGTAAGGGAAAAGTAGCTGACTGCCTCCTTCAGAAGGTTTTAGGGAAACAACTAATTTCTACATTCTAATGAAGCAAAGAAGTCATGTTTAATAAACCCCAAAGGAAAAAAATGCATTATACTTCAGGCTACAATCATCAGAAGCAGAGAATTAAATAAACACGTATGTAGCAATGGACAATGTACTGAAAGAACCAGGTTTCCTGAAGCTGAGCAGTTCAATACTGACCATAAACCACCCTAAATCAATGAAAATTCCAGAATCCCTCTTACTTCATTCAAAATGCAAAAAGAGCATTTGCTGTGGCAGTTCTGGGCCGTAGAATACATCCTGCTACCTCCCCACTCCCCGGCCCTGAGCTACTCTGCATCTCCAGAGCCGGGAGCTCCAATGATCATGTTTCCAGTCTTTTTGTGAGCTAGCAGACTGAACCCCTACTGAAGAACTCCTGAAATGCTGTATTTCCAAAGCTCCCACCATACAGGGTTTCTTGTCTCACCATTCATAAATAGAAGATCCCCCCACTCATCACATAGGCAAATGGAGGCTGGGAGACAGGCAGTCACTTGTCCAAGGATAGAGAGAACCAGCAACCCTATGGCCCTAACTCCTGATATCACACTCCAACTGCCACACATAAACCCTTTAACATGGAACTCAACACCACTGATTTCAGGAGGGGGAAAATAGCTCGAGGTCATATGGCTTTACAGAGAATCAAGAAGCTACAGCTCCAGTCCTCCTTTAAGAATATGAAAGTCAAGCAATCAAAGGCCTCTTGGCTGTGACAGAGTTGCCTGCATAGCCTTATCATCACTAAGACTGTCCTAGTTTACAGACCCTTTGTACAATGAGTATGAGAAACGAAGGCCATTTGAACAAACTATTTACTTGAGCTAGCAGTAAAAAAAAAAAAAAAAATCGACCTAGGGTTCCACTTCAAATTCTAGTATTTTCATTATACAAGTGACACAGTAAAGTGGGAAAGCAAAAAAATGAAATGGAAAAAAAAAAATAAGGCCTGTGGATTGAATATTGGACTGGCTACCCAAACTCTAAACTTTGGGCTTTGAATTCAATGAGAGAAAACATCAAAAGTTCAGATTTTATGTCTCAGGTAGATGCTGCTGAGTCATATAACTCCCCCCTCACTAGGTTCTCACTCACTTTCAGACTCCCCTTTGAATTTGGAAGGATGTTCCAGACGCCATCACCTCTCCCTCTCTTCATTCCTACTCCAGTGTTTTTACCTTCACAGTGTCTTCAGGTATCTCTCTCCTGCTCACACTCTAAATAACCAGCCATCCAGCACTGGCTCCATTTGCCTTGCTGCTGCTGCTGTGCTGCTCGCTCAGCAATATTCATGTGAGCTTGATTTTCAACACTCCTCCAGCTCAGTGGTGTAGTAGGTCTTAACTTTCAATAAGGTCAGAAATATCAAAGCTCCACAAAGTTCTAGGTTCTTATGGAACTGACTAGGGTTTTCCAAAGAATATTCTGCAAAATGTTAGTTCTTTAGGGTATTCATAGGTACTACATAAATACCTGGTCAAATTTCAGAAAATGCCAGATAATATAAAACAGCTTATTTACTGGTGGTCTTAAAGCCTTTAATATGGGAATATGCATGCTGTATGAAAGGAGAAAAGGTTAGCACTCCCCTTGATAAGGACAGAGGAGGCCCTTGGGCCTGACAACACACATACGGGAATATGCACCATAAGTTTCCAAGAGAGAGAGTTTGGAATGCTTCTCAAACTGGTTTTGCCACAAAATGTTTTTTGGCTAAACATCTTGCAGGATTAGGATTCTTTGCAGAAGATCCTTGGGGAAGCCTGTCAGATAATTTCATAGTAATCAAATAATTATAATAAATGACCTTTTTTTTTTTAAAGAAGTTTCTTTGGAGACTTCAAAAATTTTAATAAAAGGGGCAGCCTAAATAATTAATGTTTGCCAGAAAATAATAGAACTGTACCCACCTAAGAAGAGTAGTGGTTGACCATTGTAGAGAGGAGCTCTAAACTGGCAAAATGAACCAATATATAAAATTCCAGATGGAAAAAATATAGCTCAAAGGGCAACAGTACTGCCTAATCTAATGCTTACTACTAATTTCTTTACTAAGTCCATGTCTGATATTTAAAAAAAACCCACAAAAACAAAAACCCAACAACAAAAAACAAAAAATCTCAAGTATTTGTCTCTAAATGGCTAAGAACCACCAAATTCTTGAATGACAGCTCACTGCCCAAAGTGATTTAATTAGAATAAAAGGAAAATAAAGGCAGTTGAGCTTTATAAAAAAGACCCAAATACCTTAGAAGTAGCTATGAATACAGACACAGTATAGGCCAGGACTGACCTAGGAAACCAAGCACTTTAGCAAAGACTCAGCCTGAAGTTTAAATATATGGCTTACCAAGAGCTGTAACACAAGATCACTGATTTTAAGAGGCCCTTTTCAGACGAATTTTAATTAAAATTATATTTAACATCATTGTACAATAATTCCCTAGCTCAACATGTGTGCTTACAGGGCTCAATGAAAGAAAAAAATCATGCAATTTTTAGTAGCAAAATATTTTGGAGAAATTTGCAGGGGAAAATACAACACCAGGATCAGAGGCCAAGTCAGGGGCAGTGCTCTGCTCAGTCAGGACAAGGCTAGCATCTAAAATACTGGTTGGGTGCCATTTGGAACAGTCCCCAAAATAAAAGTTCATGTGCAAGTGGTAAGAACAAGAGTAAAACCTGTCTGTGCGCGTGCATTCCTGAAACACCCCCTTGCTTCGAAAGACAGTTGTGCCTAGGCTCTATTTACCTTCATATTCTGCTTTCTTGGCTGTCTCAAGATTTCTCCATTCTGTCCCCACCAGGCGGCTGAGCTCCCCGAAAGAGTAGTCTGGGTGTTGGGCCTTAATCACAGCCCTCATCTCACTGCTGAACAGGATGTAGCCACTCATGTTGATTTTCCGTTTGGAGCCTTCCTTCTTTGCACTGCCTTTGGCAGACTTTGGGGTAGACTGTAAGACAGAAAGGTCTTATGGTGCATCAAAACATTACATTTGGTTAACTGCTCAAAATTTCAGAAGCCAGCCGGGCGCGGTGGCTCACACCTGTAATCCCAGCACTTTGGGGGGCCGAGACAGGTGGATCACAAGGTCAGGAGATTGAGACCATCCTGGCTGACACAGTGAAACCCCGTTTCTACTAAAAAAAAAAATACAAAAAATTAGCCAGGCGTGGTGGCGGGCGCCTGTAGTCCCAGCTACTCAGGAGGCTGAGGCAGGAGAATGGCGTGAACCCGGGAGACGGAGCTTGCATTAAGCCAAGACGGCGCCACTGCACTCCAGCCTGGGCGACAGAGCAAGACTCTGTCTCAAAAAAAAAAAAAAAAAATTTTTCAGAAGCCAGGAACACGTGATTCACTAGTTACTGCTTTATTGACACGTTTGGTTTATAGCTGGCTATTTTCTTGGTCAAAACACACCTCTTCCTTATCTATTACAAGTAAAAAAGAAATGAAAGTTTCACTGAATTCCATGGGTGCAATCTGTAATGGTGACCTCACAATTAAGTCTTGAGAAAATTCTTTTTTTTTTTTTTTTTTTTTAAATGATACAGGGTCTTGTTCTGTCACCAGGCTGGAGTACAGTGGTGCACTCATATCTCACTGCAGCCTTGATCTCCCAGTCTCAAATGATTCTCCTGCCTCAGCCTGCCGAGTAGCTGGGACTACAGGTGTGCATCACCATGCCTAATTTTTAAAATTTTTAGTAGAGATGAGATCTCACTATGTTGCCCAATGTGGTCTTGAACTCCTGAGCTCAAGTGATCCTCCTGCCTTGGCCTCCCAAAGTGCTGGGATTACAGACATAAGCAACCATGCCTGGCCAAGTCTTGTAAAAATTCTGAATGAGAAAAAAATACCAACAATCACCTCAACCAAAAGATGAGGTCCTACATAAGGAGAGATTAAAAAGACACGGGTAATAAAAGCTAAAGACAAACAGGGTGATGTTGCTCCTTACTGCTTTTCTTCAGCACAAGGAAGAGTCTTCTAACTAAGCCCACCATTAAAATAGCTATGAAATTTTAAAGATATTAATTTTAAATTATTAATGGTATTAATATAAATTATTAATGGGATGACATATAATTTTTGTCAATCAAAAATAAATGAATAAATCATGGCACTGACAAAATCTGTTCCTTCCTGCAGAATTCTAAGTTAAAGCTCACATATGGAGGGGCTGGATGTCACTTTACTTTGGTTTTGAGTCTGCTGCAAACCAAAGGTGGTAATAAGATAAGTAACAGGAACCTGTCACCTTCACCTGTGGGGGTGTGTAGGGCATGAGGTCCAGCTCACTGGCCAGGGGGGTCTGAAGCTGAGGTAGAGAAGGAGGTTCAATGACCTCACTATCTTCTTCTCCCATCTCTTCAATATCATCATCTCCACCTTCTAACTCGGCAAATTTAGCTTCTAGCAACTGGATCTTCTTTTCCAGCAAAGGTGATGGCTCCTTCTGAGGAACAATTGGTTTTCTGAAAAAAGTGACATAAAAAACCTAAAATCACCTAATGCCCCTCCAGAATAAGCCGGAAAGCAGTGTTCCACCTTAACAACTAGAAGTGACTTCCTGCAATCTGCAATATATGCTCTAAAGGCAGCATGGAAAGAGTTTAAATGTGTATTTATGAAATTACTTGTACTTAGAGATGCTTGTTTTTAAATAATTATGCTGAATATCCACAAAAGTATTGTGTCCAAAGTTGGGATCTAGTTGCCTATACACAGCAAAAAGAGTTTTCATAATCTGTGGAACTGAGAAATCTCCTGACAGGATATAAACCAGAACCAAGTGTTTCTGCCTCATTCCACAATTATTGGAGTCTACGCCAAGGGCACTATTAGAGCAGCCACCAGGTCCCAGCAGATTATGAAGTCTTTCCTTTAATCTTTAAGTGAATAAATATTTTCTATTTGAAATATTTACTACTCTAGTTTAAGATCTAATAAAAAATTAAAAACACTGGACTACACTATGTTGCTATCAGTTAATGGAAGTGCTCTTTTTTCCTTAAGTTTTTCAAGCTTTACCTGAAGTAGTAAATTTCATCATCTACCACTTTAGCAGAGAGTGAAAACCTCTTCAATCCTTTGAATTTCTTCATCTGCTTGTCGCTCTCATTGTAGCGGCTCTCACAAAGCAGAATGTCATTTTCTGGTATTTCAGTTGGCCTGCAGGAGAGGAAGTCCTTGAATGACAACACAGCACACTTTCCTGAAAGAGAAAATTAGAAAGAAATTAAAGGAGTAAACTGTGGTCATAGTTACTAACTGTTTTAACATTTTATTATTTTTGGATGAATACATTCATATAATTAACAATTTTAAAGATATGAAAGGGGCTAGGCATGGTGGCTCAAGCCTGTAATCTCAGCACTTTGAGAGGCTGAAGTGGGCAGATCTCTTGAGCTCAGGAGTTTGAGACCAGCCTGGGCAACATAGTGAGACCCCCAAATTCTACAAAAAAATACAAAAAATTAGCTGGATGTTGTGGTGCATGCCTGTGGTCCCAGCTACTCGGGAGGCTGAGGTGGGAATCATCTGAGTCTGGGAAGTCTGAGTCTGAGGCTACAGTGAGCTGTGATTGCACTACTGCACTCCAGCCTGGGTGACAGAGTGAGACCCTATCTCAAGAAAAAAAAAAAAAGATATAATACAATATGTATTGGCATAAGGATAGAATATATAGGTCAATGGAATAGAACTGAAAGTGTAGAAATAAACCAATATAATAGGGCTTTTATGGATAATTGATTTTTGATAAGGGTTCCAAGACAATTCATTGGGGGAAAGAACACTCTTTTCAACAGATGGTACGGTACCAGGACAACTGGATTTCCACTTCTGCACATGAATGCAGTTGAACTCCTACCTCCTATCATATATAAAAATTAATTTGGCCAGGCGCAGTGGCTCATGCCTGTAATCCCAGTACTTTGGGGAGGCCGAGGCAGCAGAAACACGAGGTCAAGAGATCGAGACCGTCCTTGGCCAACATGATGAAACCCCATCTCTACTAAAAATACAAAAATTAGCTGGGCGTGGTGGCGTGCACCTGTACTCCCAGCTACTCAGGAAGCTGAGGCAGGAAAATTGCTTGAACCTGGAAGGCGGAGGTTGCAGAGAGCCAGGATGACGCCACTGCACTCCAGCCTGAGCGAAAGAGCGAGACTCCGTCTCAAAAAAAAAAAATTAATTCAAAATGGGCTGGGTGCAGTGGCTCATGCCTGTAATCCCAGCACTTTGGGAGGCCGAGGAGGGTGGATCACCTGAGGTCAGGAGTTCGAGACCAGCCTGGCCAACATGGTGAAACCTCGTCTCTACTAAAAATACAAAAAAATTAGCTGGGCTTGGTGGTGCGCTCCTGTAAGCCCAGCTACTCAGGAGGCTGAGGCAGAAGAATTGCTTGAACCCGGAAGGCAGAGGCTGCAGTGAGCCAAGAGCACCCCAGTGCACTCCAGCCTGGGCAATAGAGCGAGACTCAGTCTCAAAAAAAAAAAAAGGGGCTTTATCAAAATTAAGAACTTTTGTGCTCCAAAGGATACTATCAAGAAAGTGAAAAGATAAGCCATAGAAGAAAATATTTGCAAATCATATATCTAGTAAGAGTCTAGTATACAGAATATATATTCCTACAACTCAACATTAAGACAAATATATAACCCAATTAAAAAATGTGCAAAAGATATAAATTGACATTTCTCTAAAAAAAGACATACGAATGTCCAATAGGCACATGAAACAATGCTTAGCCAGGCGCAGTGGCTCATGTCTGTAATCCCAGCACTTTGGGAGGCCGAGGCGGGTGGATCATGAGGTCAGGAGATCGAGACCGTCCTGGCTAACACGGTGAAACCCCGTCTCTACTAACAGTACAAAAAATTAGCGGGGTGTGGTTGCAGGCGCCTGTAGTCCCAGCTAGTCATGAGGCTGAGGCAGGAGAATGGCCTGAACCCAGGAGGCGGAGCTTGCAGTGAGCCGAGATTGCGCCACTGCACTCCAGCCTGGGCGAAAGAGCGAGACTCTGTCTCAAAACAAAACAAAACAAAACAAAAAAAACACAATGCTTAACAGCATTCATCATCAGGAAAATCAAATCAAAACGGCAATGTAATACTACTTCACACCCCATTAAGATGCCTGTATTAAAAAAAAAACCCAAAACAGAAAATAACAAGTGGTGGTAAGGATGTGAAGAAAATGGAACCCTTGTATCTTGGTGGGACTGTAAAATGGTGCAGCTGCTGTGGAAAATATTTAGGCAGTTTCTCCAAAAAGTTAAACACTGAGTTACCATATGACCTCGCAATTCTATTTCTAGGTATATATCCAAAAGAAATCAGAGGATCAACTACTTGTACACCACTGGTAAGAGCAGTTTTACTCACAATAGCTAAAATGTGAAAACAACCTACATGTCCATTAACAGATGTAGTATACATATAATGGAATATACAGCCTTAGGAATAAAATTCTGATATATGATACAACATGGATGAGCCTTGAAAACATTAGGCTAAGTAAAATAGGCCAGATCCAAAGGGACAAATATTGTATGATTCCACTTATATGCAGTATATAGAACAGGCAAAATTCATGAACAAAAAAAGTAGAACAGTGATTACTAGGGCCAGGGGGAAGGGGAAAATAAAGAGTTGTTTAACAGGTACAAAGTTTTTATTTGGGATAATGAAAAAATTCTAGAAATGAACAGTGGTGATAGCTGTACGGTATTGTCAATGGACTTAAAGCCACTGAACTGTGTATTTAAAAACGGTTAAGGCTGGGCGTGGTAATCCTAGCACTTTGGGAGGCCAAGGTGGGCGGATCACCTGAGGTCAGGAGTTTGAGACCAGCCTGGCCAACATGGCGAAACCCCGTCTCTACTAAAAATACAAAAATTAGCCAGGCGTGGTAGCTTGCGCCTGTAATCCCAGCTACTCAGAAGGCTGAGGCAGGAGAATTGCTTGAACCTGGGAGGCGGAGGTTGCAGGGAGCCGAGACTGTGCCACTGACTCCAGCCTGGGTGACAGAGAAAGACTCCATCTCAAAAAAAAAAAAAAAAAAGGTTAAAATGATGAATTCTATGACATATATATAAAACAATAAAAAACTCCCATAAATGGTAGCATATCACTTAAAACTGTTTTGCATCTGAATTTTGTCACAAAATAATATGTCTTGGAGGTCACGGCTTGTATGAATGTACTAAGTTTATTCAACTAGTTCCCTATTGATGGGTATCTATGTTGTTTCCCAATGTTTGCTCTTCTGCTGACGCTAAATAATGCTGAAATAAATAATTTAAGACATATCAATTTGCACGTAGGTGAATACATCTGAAGCATAAATTTCTAGAACTATAAAAGCTGGGTTAAAGGGTATGTATACACTTTTTAAATTTTTGTAGGTATTATCAAACTGCCTTCCATAAAGGGTGTCCTAATTCACAGACTACCCACAAAGTAGGTAAATACCATTTCCTCATGCTCTTGTCAACTAGTGAGAAATGTCTTCTGGATCTTTGACAATTTGATAGGTAATCTCAAAAAAAAAAAAAAAAGAAAAAAGAAAAAAAGAAAAATGAAAAAGAAAAGAAGAAAAGCACCTGGGTAGCTTTAACTAGCATTTCTCTAATGGCCAAGGTTGGGTATATTTTCTTTTCTTTTCTTTTTTGATCTCAGCTCACCGCAGCCTCTGCCTCCCAGGTTCAAGCAATTATCCTGCCTCAGCCTCCCGAGTAGCTGGGATTACAGGCGTGTGCCACCATGCCTGGCTAATTTTTGTGTTTTTTTTTTTTTTTTTTTTTTAGTAGAAATGGGGTTTCACCATGTTGGCCAGGCTGGTCTCGAACTTCTGACCTCAGATGATCCGCCTCCCTCAGCCTCCCAAACTGCTGGGATTACAGGTGTGAACCACCGTGCCCAGCCGGGTATATTTTCATTTGTTTAAGAATCACTGGTAGTTTCTTTTTTTTTAAGATGGAGTCTCGCTCTGTCACTCAGGTTGGAGCGCAGTGGTGCGATTCTGGCTCACTGCAACCTCTGCCTCCTGGGTTCAAGTGATTCTCCTGCTTCAGTCTCCCAGGTAGCTAGGACTATAGATGCCTACCATCATGTCCAGCTAATTTTTGTAGTTTTAGTACAGACAGGGTTTCACCATGTCGGCCAGGCTAGTCTTCGACTCCTGACCTCAGGTGATCCACCCACCTTGGCCTCCCAAAGTGCTGGCATTACAGGTGTGAGTCATCACACTGGGCCCTAGTAATTTATTTCTGCTCTCCTTTATTTTCTTTGCCTATTTCCCTGCTGGATGTTGATCTTTATCTAATTGCTTTATAGGAGCTCTTCATCTATGAGGAAAATCAGATCTTTGTCTATGATAAACATTGCAAATATTTTCTCAAGATTGTCATTTTTGTTTTTGCCAGTTTTGGTCATATAGATATTTTCCATTTTTATACAGCTGAATTTATCAGTATTTTATTGTATGAGTTCTGGCTTTTATGTCAGAGATTAACAAAATTTCTTTCTCATGGTTTCTTTTGGTATCTTTGTTGTTTAATTTTATGTTTATTTAAATTTATAATTCATCTGGAAATCTATCCTGAAGTTAAGATGTGGGATATGGCTACAATTTTATTTTTCCAAATGGTTATTGAATTTCCAAACACCATTTGGAGAAAAATACTTCTTTCCCCACTTACCTGATATGCCACTTTTACCATATATTTGCTAAACTTTCTATTTTGTTCAAATAACCTGTTTACTCATATATCATATAGTTTTAATTATTGTAGTGCTATAATGTTTTAATATCTGGTAAGGATAGATCCCCTTTCACTATACTTTTCAGAATTTTCCTGAGTTCCTTTTTCTTTTTTTGAGACAGGGTCTCACTTTGTTGCCCAGCCTGGAGTGCAGTGGTGAGATGACAGCTGCTCACTGCAGCCTCAACCTCCTGGGCTCAAGCGATCCTCACACCTCAGCCCCCTACTCCGGGTAGCTGGGACTACAGACAAGTGCCACTCAGCTAATTTCTGTACTTTTTGTAGAAATGAGGTTTTGCCATCTTGCCCAGGCTGGTCTCAAACTCCTAGGCTCAAGTGATCCACCCACCTCGGCCTCCCAAAGTGCTGGGATTGATAACAGGAGTGAGCCACTGCACCCGATTCTAAGTTTCTTTTTCAATATGATTTTTTTTTTTTTTTTAGATGGAGTCTTGCTCTGTTTCCCAGGATGGAGTGCAGTGGCGCGATCTCGGTTCATTGCAAGCTCCGCCTCCCCGGTTCACCCCCTTCTCCTGCCTCAGCCTCCCAAGTAGCTGGGACTACAGGCGCCCGCCGCCATGCTCGGCTAACTTTTTGTATTTTTAGTAAAGATGGGGTTTCACCATGTTAATGAGGATGGTCCTGATCTCCTGACCTCGTGATCCGCCCGCCTTGGCTTCCCAAAGTGCTGGGATTACAGGCATGAGCCACCGCGCCCGGCCTTCAATATGATTTTTAAAATGAGTTCACATAGTATCAACTTCCTCACAAGCAAATTCCCACTGGTATATCTAATGGGATCATATTAAAGATTAATTTAGGGAGGATGGACATCTTTATGACATTGAAACCTACCTAGGCATATGGTACTGCTTTGCAATTTGTTCAAGCATTCATTCAATAGCATTTTAAAACTTTTTTCATACAGATGTGGCATATCTTGTTAAGTTTATCTAAGGTATTTTATTAGTACTGAATCTTTTAAGATAATAGGTTTGTTATTTATTTATATTCAATCATCTCACTTCTCTTACTGTTTGCCATGATTTCTTAGTTGATGCTCTTGAATTTTCACCTCCTTACTTTTCTTATTTTAGACTTCTGTTTCTTCTAACTCCACTGGCTAGTACCTCTAGAACAATGTTAAATAAGTGTGATAAGGACATCCCTATTTTGTTTCTTTTCTTTTTTTGTTTTTTGTTTGAGACGGAGTCTCACTCTGTCGCTAGGCTGCAGTGTAGTGACTCGATCTTGGCTCACTGCAACCTCCACCTCCCAAGTTCAAGTGATTCTTTTGCCTCAGCCTCCCCAGTAGCTGGGATTAAAGGCACCCACCACCACGCCCACATCAGCTAATTTTTGTATTTTTAGTAGAGACAGAGTTTCACCATGCTGACCAGGCTGGTCTCGAATTCCTGACCTCAGGTGATCCGCCCTCCTTGGCCTCTCATAGTGCTGGAATTACAGGCATGAGCCATCGCACCCAGCCAGAACATCCCTATTTTGCTCTTGACCTTAACAGGAATGTTCATAGCTAACAACTTACTAAACATGTATATGAAAAACAGGTCAGAAACATTTCCAAAGCTTAAAATAGCTACAATTACTATCACTGCTTTGAACTTACACAGCACTTTTATTTACATAATTCAAAGGCCTTTTAATTCAGAAAAGGGATAATTACAATTTTCCATATTTTATAGAAGGAAAAATAGACATTAGGAAAAAATAATAATTCTGCTTACAACCAAAGAGTAAAAGTGATTGGTGGCTTTGGAATGGAGGTGGTATCTCTGTGTCCTGACTTGGAGCTCCTACCAAGCCCCCAAAAGACAGGGAAAAGATGAAAGTTTAGAAAACTTCATTTAATAAAGTATAAAAAAATTATCAAGACCTGCTGGATTTTGATTGGAATTGGAACGAACCAATAGATCAATTTGGGGGGAACTGGCATCTTTTTAATATTGAATTTTCCAGCTATAAATATGATGGATAACTTTCATTTACTTATGTCTTCAATTTCTCAATAATTTTCTTATAGTTGTGTGTGTGTGCGCACATGTGTGCACATGCGTGTGCAGGTGCCCTACACATCTTTGTTTCTTCGTTTTTTTTTTTTTTGGTAGAGTTTCCTTCTGTTGTCCAGGCTGGTCTTGAACTCCTGGTGTCAAGCGACTCTCCCATCTTGGCCTCTCAAAGTGTTGGGACTACAGGCATGAGCTACCACGTTGGCTATCTTTTAAAGATTTATTCCTGGCTGGGTGCCATGGCTCATGCCTGTAATCTCAGCACTTTGGGAGGCCGAGGCAGGCGCCTCACGAGGTCAAGAGATTGAGACCATCCTGGTCAACATGGTGAAATGCTGTCTCTACTAAATATACAAAAATTAGCTGGGCATGGTGGCACACGCCTGTGGTCCCAGCTGCTCGGGAGGCTGAGGCAGGAGAATCGCTTGAACCCAGGAGGTGGAGGTTGCAGTGAGCCGAGATTGTGCCACTGCACTGCAGCCTGGACGACAGAACGAGACACTGTCTCCAAAAAAAAAAAAAAAAAAGATTGGCCAGGCGTGGTGGCTCACGTCTGTAATCCCAGCACTTTGGGAGACTGAGGAAGGTGGATCACGAGGTCAGGAGATCAAGGCCATCCTGGCCAACATGGTGAAACCCCGTCTCTACTAAAATACAAACAATTATCCTGGCATGGTGGCGCATGCCTGTAGTCCCAGCTACTCAGGAGGCTGAGGCAGGGGAATAGCTTGAACCCAGGAGGTGGAGGTTGCGGTGAACCGAGATTGCACCATTGCACTCCAGCCTGGGCAACAAGAGCGAAACTCCATCTCAAAAAAAAAAAAAAAAAAAAAAAAAAGATTTATTCCTAGGTATTGAATGCAAATGGTAATAATTTTCTAATTGCTCACTGATGGGATACAGATACAGAAATAGAAATATTGGGGCTAGGTAAGGTAGCTCATGCCTATAATCCCAGCACTTTCGGGGAGGCTGAGCAGGGAGGATGCTTGAGGCCAGGAGTTTGAGACCAGCCTGAGCAAGAGGGATACCTCATCTCCCCAAAAAAAAAAAAAAAAAAAAAAAAAAAAAAAATTAGCTGGGAGTGGTGGTACATCCCTATAGTCCCAGCTTCTTGGAAGGCTGAGATGGGAGGATTGCTTGCGCCCAGGAGTTGGAGGCTGCAGTGAGTTATGATTGTACCATTGCACTCCAGTTTGGATAACAAAGCGAGATCTTGTCTCAAACAAAACAAAAAAAACTTCATATTTTCATTTACTAATTTTAATAGTTTATCTGAATATCTCTTGGATTTTCTACATACCTAATATTTTTGAAAAAAAAAAAAAAGGCCCTTTTGTTTTTCCTTTCAAATCTTTAGATCTTTTATCTTCCTTGCCTTACTGAGGACAGTTTTTAAATTAATGAAACGTTATAAAAATCTACTGTGAAGGGAACAAAACCTGCAAATAAATTAGGAATCGGCATGTTTCAAGAGCCCAGGTTCCTGGAAATTTTATCACCTAAGGGGTTAAGGGTAGAGGTACTGTCTGCCACATGTGGCCATCTGATTACTGTTTAAGTTCTTTTTTTTTTTGAGACGGAGTCTCACCCTGTCACTCAGGCTGGAATCCAGTAGAGTGATCTCAGCGCACTGCAACCTCTCCCTCACAGGTTCTAGCGATTCTCCTCCCTCAGCCTCTGAGTAGCCGGGATTACAGGAATGCACCACCACAGCTGGCTAATTTTTTTTTGTATTTTTAGTAGAGATGGGGTTTTACCATGTTGGCCAGGCTGGTCTTGAACTCCTGATCTCAAGTGATCCACCTGCCTCAGCCTCCCAAAGTGCTGGGATTATAGGCGTGAGCCATTGTGCCCAGCTTGATTACTGTTTAAGTAAATGAAAACAATTCTTCAACGAAACTGAAAAAAGAACATAACCGTTGGAAAAACAGGATTGTCTCCTTTGTATGTAACAGAAGATGAAAAAATGATACACCTCATCTAATTATCTTCAAAACTTCTATTTCAGAGACACAAAAAAGTGCAAAATATGATTTACATTTAATAGTGGTTAGAGTTAATACAATGAAATTATAAATTCTCTAAAGCTTATATAACAAAACCCTTTTTCCTTGGAGGCTGGGGACAGTGAATTCCACAAGCTAGGCTGAAATCCCACTTTGTGATTACTAGATGCATTTTCTTTTGGGTTTTATCTCAAGATGAAGTTACTTATATTTCATTATATGCCTGTTGTCCTACCTGATATTACTGGCACCTCCTTTAATTCTCAAAAGTGTGCCAGCTAGCTGTAGACTAACTAAAGAAGAATTAGGAAAACCTAGGTTTTAGTTCTGGCCCACTCCCTGGGTAGTAACTTCACCTTTCTGACAATATCAGCATCTTTCTTCCAGGGTCATGTTGAAAATTAAATGAGATCCTGGATATAAAACTGGTAGATAAACTGTAGAATGCAACACATTTTCTTTCTTTCTTTTTTTTTTTTGTTACATAGAGTCTCTTGCTCTGTCTCCAGCCACAGGCTGGAGTGCAGTGGCTTGATCTCAGCTCACTGCAACCTCCACCTCTCGGGTTCAAACAATTCTCTTGCCTCAGCCTCTCTAGTAGCTGGGATTACAGGTGCACACCACCACGCCCGGCTAATTTTTGTATTTTTAGTAAAGATGGGGTTTCACCACGTTGGCCAGGCTGGTCTCTTAACTCCTAATCTCAGGTGATCTGCCTGCCTCAACCTCCCAAAGTACTGGGATTACAGGCATGAGCCACCATGCCCGGCCAGAATGTAACACATTCTAACAGGCATCTTTAGAAAGAAATTACTCCAAGTTATGTCAGTGAATATGGAGGAGTAGTGAGCTCTAAGGGCCATTACTTCACAGAAACAGTGAAAAAAGCAGAATAAACTTTATTGGAATTCTGTAAGATAGTCAAAGGTTTACAGCAACCAAGCAAATGCTTAATTAAGAAAAAAAGTGACTGAAACTTGGCAGGAAAGCTCTGTGGCATTTTAACTTACCCTCACTCCATTCCTTACTTTCTGTCTCAGTGGCAGCCTTGAAGATGGCAGCCTCTATTCCTGGTGTAAGATTGTGGTGATAGAGGAAGCAAAACAGCTCCATGCTCCAAGAACTGTGGTCATCTGTTTTGACCTGTCAGGCAGCTTTCTAAACACTAATGCAAAGTGCTTGCCTTTATTGTGCTTAGCTTGGAATTCCCTTGGTGGAGAAGTGTCTAGGTTTTTTTGTCAAAAACATTTTGTCTTAGTTTGTTTGTGCTGCTATAACAGAATACCACAGACTGGGTAATTTATAAAGAACAGTTTTCTCACAGTTCTGGAGGCTGGAAAGTCCAAGATAAAGGTGCCAGCATCTGGCAAGGGCTTTCTTGCTATGTCATCATATTTCAGAAGGCAGAGGGCAAGAGTGTAAGAGACAGCAAACCCATTCAGACAGAGCAGACCCATTTACATGAGCCCTTTTTATAAAAGCAATATTGTATTCACGAGGACAAGCCCTCATGACCTAAACATCTCCTAAAAGTCCCCACTTCCCAACACTGTTGCACTAGGGATTACACTTTAAGTCATGAATTTCGAAGGGGGCACAAACATTCAAATCACAGCACATTTAAAGTCAAATGAACCAGCTGTTGCCGGCTGGGGCAAAGGGTATCAGTCAGGACCAACAGTAGATATGACAAAAGGCCTCAGAGGAAAAGATGAGGAGTGAGATGCTTTGGCCAATAAGGGTTTTGAAAAGTTTCCACACATTCCTGGGAGCCTAGAAGGCCACACACATGCCAACAATAGTGTACATGCTCAGAAAGGACCTAAGAAGGCCCTAAGATCTCATTTCTGGCTGACCTTCAAGCTCTGCACAAGTAGGAAGTAAAGGCAAAGCAGAGTTGTAATCTGCATGGCTGAGTGTTGAAGGTGTGCTCCACCATACGCAGAGAAGTCAGCAGTGAAGACTGGGAGTTTTATGGTTTTATTGGCTCCACGTATTTACGAAAACCTCTGTCAAATCACTGGCTGATCACTAAGCTTATAGAACAGAGACTGTAGTAACCATATACAACAACAACAAAAATCTTTTATTTTTTGAGACAGGGTCTCACTCTGTTGCCCAGGCTGGAGTGCAGTGGCATGATCATGGCTCACTGCAGCCTCGACCTCCCTGGGCTCAAGTGATCCTACCACCTCAGCCTCCTGAGTAGCTGGGACCATGGATATAGACCACCACACCTGGATAATTTCTGTATTTTTTTGTAGAGACAGGGTTTCGCCATCTTGCCCAGGCTGGTCTCGAACTCCTGGGCTCAAGCGACCTGCCCATGTCAGCCTCCCAAAGTGCTGGGATTAAAGGTGTGAGCCACTGTGCCCAGCCAAAAATACAATCTTTAAAACAAACCAAACAAACAAACAAACAAACAAACGTTTAGAAGAGTCACTGAACAAACAACCATAACCTATAATAAGTATTAAGAACAAAGCCTGAGGATGGGGAGAATCTGATTTCCAGAGTTATCATGTTATAATACCCAAAATGAGCACTTTTCAACAAAAAATTATCAGGCATGCAAAGAAACAAGAAGGCACAGCCCATTCATAAGAAAAAACAAAATGAACAGAAATTGTTCCTGAGAAATTCCAGACACTGGATTTACTAAACACATACTTTAAATCAATTGTCTTTTTTTTTTTTTTTTTTTTTTTTTGAGACAGTCTTGCTCTGTCATCCAGGCTAGAGTGCAGTGGCGTGATCTTGGCTCACTGCAGCCTCTGCCTCTGCCTCTGCCTCTGCCTCAGCCTCCAGAGTAACTAGGATTACAGACATGTGCCACCATGCCCAAATAATTTTTTTTTTTTTTTTTTTTTTAGCAGAGACAAGGTTTCACTATGTTGGCAGGCTGTTCTCAAACTCTCGACCTTAGGTGATCCACCCGCCTCGGCCTCCCAAAGTGCTGGGATTACAGGCATGAGCCACCATGCCTGGCCTTAAATCAACTGTTTTAAATATACTCCAAGATCTAAAGGAAACCAGTAAAATGTCATTGCAAATAGTGAATATAAATGAAGAGACAAATTATAAAAACTAAATTCTGGGGCTGAAAAGTACAATAACTGAAATGAAAAATTTATTAGAAGGGTTCAACAGAAGATTTGAGCAGGCAGAGGATGAATGCACCTGAAGACAGGCCATTTGAAGTTATCCAGTCTGAGGAGCAGAAAGGAAAAAAAAGGTAAAGAAAAATGAAGAGTCTGAGAGACCTGTGAGGCACCATTAAATGTACCAACGTTAAGTATAATGGGAGTTCCTGAAGGAAGCAGAGAAAGGAGCAGAAAGAATATTTGAAGAAATGGCCAAAAACTCCCCAAATCTGATGAAAGACATGAACAAAAAAAACTATCAATGGAGAATTCTATATCTAGGAAAACTATCTTTCAAAAATTAGCTCAGTGCGGTGGTGCATGCCTATAGTCCCAGCAACTTGGAAGGCTGAGGTGAAAGGTTTGGTTGTGCCCTAATTACCACCTGATATTCTATATATTTATTTTTTAATTTATCGACTGACTCCCCAATCTCTGCCCCAACATAAGAGAACAGAGATTTGGATTTGGGCACTGCTCTATACCTAACACCTAGAACAGTGCCCCACAGAAGTAGTATTCCATCAATTTTGATGGAATAAACACGATTAAATAAAAAAGCACAAATACCTACCGAGAATACATGTCATGGGGCAGGTTTCTTCCAGATTACTCAGAAATACTTCTTTTTTGTAGAACATTTTTGTGGGCTCATGCTCTGTTTCTTCTGGGTGAATGAAGATGGGGCCATAAAAATATGCAGCTCCATCTCGAACCCATACTTTTTCAATTCTTGGGGAGGAAAATATATAAATTACATTAAAATAGTTTCCTTCTTGAAGGATTAATCTAACAAAAATCGCATTAACCAAAAACTTAGTAATGTGTACCATTCAGAGGAGTTTCACTGGCTGTTTTGGTAAGACAACTTCATTAATTTTTTCCCCCATTAAACACATGAAAAGATACTTAGAAAAAGAGAAAGGAACATTTGACTATTTTTCCAAGTGAAAAAAATTTTTTAACTTAATATCAAGGCACAAAACTTAATAGTTTTATCTAATGACCAGGTTTTCTTCCTGAGACGTTCATGATGAAAACAGAACTAAGCATTTGTCATTGGACTTGTGAACCAAACAAAGACATAAAACATCAATATTTGGGGTCAGATCACATGAGTGGCAGACATTCCTTTAAGACAGTGGTTTATAATCTTTTTGAAGGTCAAGATCTAATATCCCTGGCTGGGCCCAGGGGCTCACGCCTGTAATCCCAGCACTTTGGGAGGCCAAGGTGGGCGAATCACGTGAGCTCAGGAGTTCAAGACCAGCCTGGACAACATGGTGAAACCCCATCTCCACTAAAAATACAAAAATTAGCCAGCCCTGGCAGTGTGCACCTATAGTCCCAGCTACTTGGGAGGCTGAGGTGGGAAGATGGCTTGAGCCCAGGAGGTGGAGGTTGCAGTGAGCCAAGATCATGCCACTGCATTCCAGCCTAGGTGACAGAACCAGACAATGTCTCAAAAAAAAAAAAAAAAAAAAAAAAAAATCTAGTGCCCCTTCACCCCTTCAGAATTTGATGAAAGCCATTATTCTTGACAACTAACCCATAAAGCTGACATTATTATTGCTCCATATTATCGTGATTCCTGACCTGAAGTATCATACTTATTTCAGTTAATGGTAACTGCAACCTTCCTGTTCCTCAGGCTTACACACAGGAGTCATCCTTGACTTTTTTATCTTTCTCAGACCCCACACTCCATTTATCAAGAATACTATTAATTTGACCTTCAAAATACTATCTTTTGCAATCACCCTGGTCTGAAGCATGATTGTTCTTGCCTGGATTATTGCAACAGCATCCTAGGCGGTGGATCTCCTTGCTTCTGCCTTGACTTTTTACAGTCTATTCTCAACAACCAATAGGCAGAGCAATCCTATTAAGATCTAAACCAAATGTCACTCTGTGCTTGAAACAATCGATGGCACTCCATTAACTCAGTAAAAACCCAAATCCCTATAATGGTCTCTGAGGCCCTATGTGATATGCACCCTACCCCTGGCACTTATCTCTTACTAACTCATTAATGGCTCACTCTCCTACTAACAAACAGGCCTGGCATGTTTCTCCTCAGGTGTTTATACTGGCTGTTCCCACTGCCTGGAATCCTTTCTCCCTGGATATTCACATTATTCACTTTCTCAGTTTCTTCAAGTGTTGGTTCAGCTGCCGACTTCTCAGTGAGGCCTATATAAACCATTCTCCCTGCTCTGACCATGGGACCCCCTTCTCCCCTTGTTCTCCTCTATTTTTTCTACGGCACGTATCATGACCTAACATACTATACACTTTACTTATTCAAGATGTTGTTTGTCTTCACACTAGAAAAAAGCTCCCCAGGAAAAAGAATATTTGTCTGTTTTATTCACTAATGTATCCACAGAGCCTGGTAAATAGTAGGTATAATAAATGCTTACTGAATGATGAACAGATATAAACTGAAGCCTAGAGGGCTAAATCATTCACCTAAGGACCTACAACTAACAGAGCTGGGACTCAGGGAATGAACTACTGTTCTTAGCCACTATCCTCTCCTACCCAACCCTATACCAGACTCTGCTGTGTTTGCCATTCAACCATACTGTCATCCTTTTGTCATTTACTTGTTCATCAAATATCTGAGGCCCTACTATGTTTCATGCACTATGATTTGAGCAGGGAATACAAGGGTGAAACCTGACAATAACACAATGAACACCGATATGTGATATATACGCTAAGGAGAAGGAAATATGTGGTGCTTTGAGAGTGTGCAACAGGGAGACTTAACCCATTCTGCAGTGGACAGGAAAGACTTCCTTTTAAGAAAGTGTCACTTCAAATTTATGCTAAAGGAGTTTACTGTATGAAGTAGGCAGGGAGATTTCTGAGCTGAAAGTTCTGTAAATAGTGGAAGAAAACAAAAGAGCCCAAAGGGATAATTTAAGGAAGAAAGTGTGGTTGGAGGGGAACATGGTGTGAGAAGAAGCTGGAGAAACTGCCAGGGGAAGGACTTTTGTCTTCATCCGAAGGGTGACTAATTTCTACTGGTTCCAAATTTCTCAGATTCAACCTCATCTTCCCTAATTCAATGACACTCACCTGCCCACACGAGGACGCACCAGGCCATGGGACTTGATGAAGACACAGTCGCCAACCTTCAGCCACATGTCATTGTAATGGAGCTGCTCAAAGTAGTGGCAACCTGGTTCACCATTGGACATTTCCACAGGGACATCTTCTTTTTCCTGTTGTAAAGAAAACTGGCTGAAGAAAGGTAGTTGATAATCAAGGAATAGAGAAGGTAAGAAACGAAAGCAGACTTTTCTTTCACATTAACTTAAAAGAAAAAACCACCATTGGTTACGTGGCTCACGTAATCCCAGCATTTTGGGAGGCCAAGGCAGGACGATCGCTTGAGCCCAAGAGTTTGAGACCAGCTTGGGCAACATAGTGAGACCTTGTCTCAACTGAAGAAAGAAATTAAAATAAAAAATTAGTTGGGCATGGTAGCGCATGCCTGTAGTCCCAGCTACTCAAAGAGACTGAGGTGGGTAGATCACTCGAGCTCAGGAGGTCGAGGCTACAGTGAGCTAGGATCACGCCATTGTACTCCAGCCTGGGCGACAGAGCAAGACCCTGTCTCAAGAAAAAAGTAAATTAAAACAAACAAACAAAAAAACATAAAGAGAAACTCTGAAGGAGGCTAGGAAACAAAACAATTAGATTATTGAAATAAACGAAGACTTATCAAGTATCTATTTGAAATTTCTAGTTAATTTTCATAAAACAATATTATCCCAAGATGCTTTTATCCTGTCTCCCTCCTGCTCTCAATTCCCACTGCCTTTAGAAACAAACAAAAAAACTGGAGAGGATTTATCGGTATTTAAAAGCAGACTCATTCATGCATTACTATAGTGTAAGGGGCAAATTCTATACAAGCTTCCTCTCTATCACATTTACTGGGCTCCCTTAATGTCTTAACATTAACAATTGATAAGATTTAGGCCAGGCACAGTGGCTTATGTCATAACCCCAGCACACTGGGAGGACAAGGTGGGAGGACTGCTTGAGCCAGGAGTTCAAGACCAGCCTGGGCAATACAGTGAGATCTCATTTCCAAAAAAATTTAAAAATTAGCTGTCTTTGGTGACATGCGCCTGTATTCACAGCTACTTGGGAGGCTGAGGTAGGAAGATTGCTTGGGCCTGGCAATTGGAGTTTGCAGTGAGCTGAGATCGTGCCACTGCACTCCAGCCTGGGAAACAGAATGAGACCCTATCTCAAACAAAAGAAAACAAACCACAAAAAACAACTGATAGATCTAAAATTTTTACTATTTTGATTTATTCCAACATGGAAAGGAATAGCATAGCCTCTGTGATATAAACATGCTTTTTTTGTTGTTGTTGTTGTTTTTTTGAGACATAGTCTCCCTCTGTCGCCCAGGCTGGAGTGCAGTGGCGCGATATTGGCTCACTGCAAGCTCCGCCTCCCGGGTTCACGCCATTCTCCTGCCTCAGCCTCTGGAGTAGCTGGGACTACAGGCACCCGCTACCATGCCCAGCTAATTTTTTTTTTGTATTTTTAGTAGAGACGGGGTTTCACTGTGTTAGCCAGGATGGTCTTGATCTCCTGACTTCGTGATCCACCCGCCTTGGCCTCCCAAAGTGCGGGGATTACAGGCGTGAGCCACTGCGCCCAGCCAAACATGCTCTGTTTTTTAATAAATTACAGCATCTGTCACCTAATGACTGCTATGGCTTTGGGCAAATTATTTGACCTCTTATGCCTTAGTTTCCTCATTTGTGAAATGAAGATAATGATAGTGTGGCCACCAGATAGGGTTGTTTACGAAGCTTAAGTGACATAATCCATGCTCAAGTACATAGAAAAATGCCTAACTCATAAAAACCACTTAACAGACATCATTATTACTGTTGTTTTATAGTCCTGACTAAAAAAGAAAAAGCAAAAAGAAGATACTTCTCACTAATGTAAAGATGGTAAAGAAGAACCATCATTTACTGAGAACCTAGCTGATAATCGGCACAAGGCTAGATGTTATAAATATATTAACTCCAAAACATATATAAGCTGAGGAAACTCCAAAGCCTCCAAGTTTTCTATAGCATCTTCCTGAGAATACTTCAAACTTCACACTTAAAAAAATTCCTCCTTCACAATGTCCAAATAATTTAACATTCTGATCTTTATGACTTCAAATGTGATACTGAAATGGTATTCTTGGAAAATGATTAAGAATGAGGGAAGGCCGGGAGTGGTGGCTTACGCCTGTAATCCCAGCACTTTGGAAGGCCAAGGCAGGCGGATCACTTGAGGCCAGGAGTTCGAGACCAGACTGGCCAACATGGTAAAACCCCATCTCTATTAAAGATACAAAAATTAGCCAGGCATGATGGTGCGCGCCTGTAGTCCCAGGAACTTGGGAAACTGAGACACAAGAATTGCTTGAACTCATGAGGCGGAGGTTGCAGTGAGCCGAGATTGTGCCGCTATACTCCAACCTGGGCAGACTCTGTCTCAAAAAAAAAAAAAAAAGAATCAGAGAGGTTCCATATACATGACAGGCAAGGGACATCTGAAAGAATGGAAGCTGTGAATAAAACAACCCATGAGATTAATAATACCTTTTCCTTTAAGGAATGGGTTCTATTCTAAAGTAATTCTTTTTTTTTTTTGATACGGAGTCTCCCTCTGTCTCCAGGCTGGAGTGCAGTGGCGCAATCCCGGCTCACTGCAACCTCTCCCTCCTGGGTTCAAGTGATTTTCCTGCCTCAACCTCCCGAGAAGCTGAGATTACAGGCACGTGCCACCACGCCTGGCTAATTTTTGTATTTTTAGTAGAGACAGGGTTTCACCATGTTGGCCTGGATGGTCGTGATCTCCTGACCTTGTGATCTGCCCGCCTCAGCCTCCCAAAGTGATGGGATTACAGGCATGAGCCACCGAGCACGGCCTAAAGTTATTCTTTAAAAAAGTTCCGGTCGGGAGTAGTGGCTCTCACCTGTAATCCCAGCACTTTGGGAAGGTGAGGTGGGTGGGTCACCTGAGGTCAGGAGTTCAAGACCAGCTTGACCAATATGGTAGAAATCCGTCTCTACTAAAAATACAAAAATAGCCGGGCATGGTGGCACACGCCTGTAGTCCCAGCTACTCAGGAGGCTAAGACAGGAGAATCACTTGAACCTGGGAAGTGGAGGCTGCAGTGAGCTGAGATTGCGCCACTGCACTCCAGCCTGGGCGACAGAGCGAGACTCCGTTTCAAAAAAAAAAAAAAAAGCTCCTGAATGACCTGTCTTGGTCATATAATATTGAAATAAAGATATGAGACCAAAAAAGACCAAGTAACTCATATACAGAGAGTTCCTAGAGACTTCTAAATACCAGGTAAGAAATCTAAGTTAATTATCATGCTGACTTCCATTGATAATTCTTTTTTTTTTTTTTTTCAGACGGAGTCTCGCTCTGTTGCCTAGGCTGGAATGCAGTGGCGTGATCTCAGCTCACTGCAGCCTCCACCTACTGGGTTCAAGTGATTCTCCTGCCTCAGCCTCCCAAGTAACTGGGATTATAGGCACCTGCCACCACGCCAACCTCCTCAGCCTCCCAAAGTGCTGGGATTACAGGTGTGAGCCACTGCACCCGACCGGATAATTCTGCTTTTAAAAGAAATTATTTTATGATTCCAACACATTCCCATACTGATAAAATATAAAAAATCACATTCTTTCCCAGCCCCATGATGTCGCCTCTTACGTAGAATCTTTCGGAGCACCTGTTTGAGTACTACCATTGGAGCATATTCTTTGCCATCAAACTGCTGGGTCAAAGACACCGGGCCGGGCACGGTGGCTCACGCCTGTAATCCCAGTACTTTGGGAGGCCGAGGCGGGCGGATCATGAGGTCAGGAGATCGAGACCATCCTGGCTAACACGATGAAACCCCGTCTCTACTAAAAATACAAAAAATTAGACGGGCGTGGTGGTGAGCGCCTGTAGTCCCAGCTACTCAGGAGGCTGAGGCAGGAGAATGGTGTGAACCCCGAAGATGGAGCTTGCAGTGAGCTGAGATCACGCCAATGCACTCCAGCCTTGGGGACAGAGTGAGACTCCATCTCAAAAAAAAAAAAAAAAAAAAAAAACTAATAGGGGCGGGGGCGGTGGCTCACACCTGTAATACTAGCACTTTGGGAGGCCGAGGCAGGCGGATCATCAGAGGTCAGGAGTTTGTGACCAGCCTGGCCAACATGGTGAAACCC
Source organism: Homo sapiens (assembly GCF_000001405.40). Classification (NCBI taxonomy): domain Eukaryota; kingdom Metazoa; phylum Chordata; class Mammalia; order Primates; family Hominidae; genus Homo; species Homo sapiens. Next base: position 52,583,238 of record NC_000003.12, read on the forward strand.
TGTCTCTACTAAAAATACAAAAATTAGCTAGGTGCGGTGGTGCACACCTGCAATCCCAGCCACTCAGGAGGGTGAGGCAGCAGAATCACTTGAACCCAGGAAGGCGGACGTTACAGTGAGCTGAGATCACGCTACCGCACTTCAGCCTGGGCAACAGTGAGACTCCATCTAAAAAAAAACAAAAAAAAAAACACCAATAGGAGAAAAGTGTGTGTGGTCTCATCCTATACCAGGCTACACATATTATCAGTCTTTTCAACTCTTGCCATCCTGTTAGGTATTATACAAACTATTAGGTTAACTAATACATGTTTTTTGCTGCCTTCTTTCCGTAAATTATCTATTTGGGCCTCTGCTCATTTTTGTAGTCCTACTTTCCCCCCTAGACCCTAAAGAGCTCTTTGTATATTAGAAACAGTAACCCTAGACTGTTTTATTAACCTTGTATTTTCAATCATAAATCAATAAAATGATCAATGGTTTTATATAATGAACAGAAAATCCTCGTCTATTCCAAGTTTATTATTGAAAAAAAATTATAGGTAAATTACTGTTTTTCTAAATTAAATAAAATTCTAAAAATCTTCTGTAGAGACAAGGTCTTGCTATGTTGCCCAGGGTGGTCTGGAACTCCTGGCTTCAACTGATCCACTTGTCTTGGCATCCCAAAATGCTGGGATTACAGGCGTGTGACACTGTACTGGGTTTTAATTTTGTTTTTTAACTGTAGTTTTATAAAATGTAATACATCTGGCAGGGCAAAGTTCTAATTTTTAAATTTAAAAAAATCCCTCAGTTCACTATCAAAGGGCAAAGCTCTCTTTCATACCCCTTTTTCCCCCTTGTTTTCTGGTGACTGTCACATATTTATTCTTAATAAGAATGCTAGAATAATTTTGTCAAGTTTCAAAAACAATCTATGCAAGTCTTTTATGTCCTTCAGTAAATTTTTTTCCTAGAGGTTCTATATATTCCTTGTTAAGGTTATTTCTTAATTTGTTGTTAGTGTGAAATGGATATTTTCTCCCATAAGATTTTTCTAACAGTTGCTAAAGTGTATTCAACACTTTCACTTTACTTTCAAAAGTCTTACTAGTTTATATATGAAGACTATTCATTTACATATGGATTTTGAAATTTCTATTTGCTAAATTTTCTGTTTCCAACCTTTTCAGTTAATTTCCCCCAATTATCTGCAGAAAAGTATTCTTGCTTTTTTTTTTTTTTTTTTTTTTTTTGAGACGGTCTTGCTCTGTTGACCAGGCTAGAGTGCAGTGGTGCAATCACAATTTACTGCAGCCTCTACCTCCTGGGCTCATGGGATACCCCCATCTCAGCCATCCAAGTGGTTGGGTCTACAGGCATGTGCTACCATGCCTGGCTAATTTTTGTACTTTTTGTAGAGATGGGGTTTCACCATGATTCCCAGGCTAGTCTCAAAATCCTGGACTCAAGCGATCCACCTGCCCTGGCCTCCCAAAGTTCTAGGATTACAGGTATGAGCCAACACGCCTGCCATCTTGCTTCTTTATTGTCAATATTTTTACTGCTTTTGTTTATCTAACTACATTGGCTAATTTCAAAAAATATTAAGTAACACTAGAACAGTAAGCCCCTTTGTCCAGTGTGTAAATTTAAAAAGGAATTTGTTTTATAGGCTTCAGGCTTGAGACACAAATATGAATTTAAAAAAAAATTACACTAGAAGAAATACCTATTGAAAGTCTTAAAAAAAATCAAGATGGGTTCTCTACCAAATAATCTTTCCTTTGATCTAATGGAATAATGAATGAAATTTAAAGATCTCCCTAACTTTGAACAATTCTTGCTTTCTTAGAATGAATTCCCACTTCTTGGTCATGTTGTTCTCAAAGAAGTAATTTGATTTCACTTACTTTTTCCCCCAAGTAATTTTTGCATCAATATACATGAATAAGACTGAGTTGCAGTTTTTTGTTTTTATTTTTCAGGTTGTGAAATCAAGATTATCTTGGCTTTGCAAAACAAACTGGAAATTTCTTGTTCTCCCTGCTCTGAAACAGCTTCAACAGTATAATAATCATAGGTCCCTTAAAGAAAAAGTCACCTATGGAACTGTCTGACCTCAGTACTCTTTGGGGTCAGTTCTATGATACTTTAAAAAATTTCTTCATGTTGTTGTACATTCTGTATTATATCTCTTCTTGATTCCATTTTGGTAATTTGTAATATCCTAGACAATTAGCCATTTTATTTAGGTTTTCAAATTTATTAGCAGAAATATACAGTCTTTACATTTCTTCCACATTTATTTATTTATTTATTTTTTGAGACAGAGTTTCGCTCTTGTTGCCCAGGCTGGACTGCAATAGCACGATCTCGGCTCACTGCAACCTCTGCCTCCTGGGTTCAAGCGATTCTCCTGCCTCAGCCTCCCGTTGGGATTACAGGCACCCACCACCTCACCCAGCTAATTTTTTGTATTTTTAGTAGAGACAGGGTTTCACCACGTTGGCCAGGCTGGTCTCGAACTCCTGACCTCAGGTAATCCACCCATCTTGGCCTCCCAAAGTGCTGGGATTACAGGTGTGAGCCACCGCGCCTGGCCTTCTTCCACATTTTGTGTCGAAGTTTAACCCCTTTCTTTTCCCATTATTAGATAGTTGGCAGTTTATCTAATTGGACTTGTCAAATAATTAGCTCTTAGATTTACTTTAAAAAAATTTTTTGTTTTTTTGAGACAGAGACTCACTCTGTTGCCCAGGCTGGAGTAGAGTGGCGTGGTCTCAGCTCACTGCAGCCTCCGCCTCCCAGGTTCACGCCATTCTCCTGCCTCAGCCTCCTGGGTAGCTGGAATTACAGGCACGCGCCACCACACCCAGCTAATTTTTGTATTTTTAGTAGAGATGAGGTTTCACCATGTTGGTCAGGCTGGTCTCGAACTCCTGATCTCGTGATCTGCCCGCCTTGGCCTCCCAAAATGCTGGGATTACAGGCGTGAACCAATGCACTTGGCCTGATTTACTTTTAAATTATAATGTACAGTTTTGAAAGTGTAAATTTCTTTCTGTTATAGTTTCCTTCTTCCTGTTTGGCTAAGGTTTTGTGTTGTTGCTCTTTTTCTAAGTTTGAATACTTTATTCATTTATTTTCTGGAATAGGTGTTTTGAGATGTAAAATTTTTTCTGTGTGGCTATTATCTGCATACCTTTTCCAAGTTAAAATTGTCTTCAGCTCGACTGTCCTCTGAGTTGTCTGTATTCTTCTCATCATCACCTTTATCTGCATTTGCAAATACAGAGGCCACGCGAACCACAGGCAGAGGCACATCCCGAGGGACAAACCTGACTGAGCTGATGGGCATGGTCCACAGTTTAATTTTCTTAAAAGATTTGGTTTTGGCAGAATACCGTGATTCACAGACAAAAACATCCTCATCTCGGAAGTTTTCTGGGCATAACTTAAAGTATTCCTGGGGGGTGGGGAGGGCATAAGAATAAAACTAGTTAGGTGAATTTTCTGAAAATCAATCAAAAAAAAAAAAAAAAAAAGCAAATAACCAACCAACCAAACAAAAGCTGAACTGATTACAGACTTTCTGGCAGTTAACAAAAAATAATAAATGACCAGAGATTTAGAAGTATTTCTTTGGCTACGGAATGGACTTATTATATACACACCCTTTAAATTATAAAAACAAATAATTCCATTTAGCTTACAATTGCTCTTTGAAAACATATGAACATTTCATATAGCTATAATGTTCCTTAAAGCTTTGAAGAGGGCTTGTGTGTGTGTATCAGACAGACACACAAAAGCACACATTATTACCTAAAAAACAAACTGAAAATTTGTAATGATTATCCTTAAAAAAACATCATACTTAAAAATTAGCCTGGCAATATTAAAAACTTAACCTAACTGCATTATAGCCAAATAGTGTAAGCAGCAAGTGGTCTTTCACAACGAAGTTCAGGTTAATTTCTTCCCAAATCTTTTCATATAGCTATATAGACACGGCTTAAAAAATAGCTTAAAACAGAGTTCCTAATTTTGTAAACATCGATTATTTTCTGTGTTTTAAAATTTTATTCCTAGGGAATGAGTGAGACTTTGGGATTTAATGAGTTTCTTACCTTGACAAACATGACCACACACTTGCCTAGAATTTTACTAACTGGAACTTTGTTGTAATAGTCACTCTTAAAAACTTCTTTTTCTAGAAATTTTCGTGTAGCCAGGTGGAATGTTTCATTTGGTCGGTAAAACCAACAGCCATACAACCATTTTTCACCTCAAAAATGGGGGGTGGGGGAAGGGGAAGAGAAAGAGAATCATTGTTAACAGAAATCACTTTTTTTTTTTTTTTTTTTTAAAGAGACTGGGTCTCACTACGTTGCCCAGGCTGGACTTGAATTCCTGGGCCAAAGTGGTCCTCCAACCTCAGCCTCCTGAGTAGCTGGGACTACAAGTATAAGTCACTGTGTCCAGCTCAGAAATCACACATTCTTTGCAAAATTAGGAAATACACCATCAATCCACTCTGCCATGACATGAACCTAGCACTGTGCTTATTTTTACAGCTACAGTTTAATATAATTATCCACAGGAGAAATAATACTCAAAAATAATAAAGTGTAATGAGGCCTAAAAAATGCATGCTACTTTTCCCCCCTCATATATATATATATACACCCTCAACCTCTTGGGCTCAAGTGATCCTCCTGCCTCAGCCTCTCAAGTTGCTGGGACCACAGCAAGTGCAATCACACCCTGCTGATTTTCTTATTTTTTCTAGAGAAGGGGTCTTGCCATGTTGCCCAGGCTCTTCTTCATATTAAAAGCCATATAAAGTACATAATGAGGAGGACAGGTGATGAGACCTGCTCCACTCTGCTCTGGTTAGTACATACCTAGAGTTGTGCACTTTAGTAAGGGGACAGATATGCTACTGAAGGACATATTTAGCTCTCTGGTGAAGGAATACAAAAGTATTTCATGTGATAGGCAGCTCAAAGAACTGGATTGCCTGGATCACATTTCCACCAACTTCTGGCTTCATTAATTTCTATGCATACTCCATGTCTCAATTTAAAGGCAACTGTTCTAGAAAGCCTTTTTGAAAACAAATGCTAAGCCAAGGCATGTCATTCTATAATAATTTCTTTTTTGATCATAATCTTCCTTACTGGAGTAGTTTTGCAAGGGAAAATATGAGCTTTTTGTTCTTCTGAATCTATGTCACTCTACATAAAGTTTGGCTCAAAGTATGTTTTTAATAAGTATCAAATGAATGAATGAATCTCAACCAGACTTTAAGAAGCTGTATTTCTTTCTTTTTTTTTTTTTTTTTTTTTGAGACAGTCTCACTCTGTCACCCAGGCTGGAGTGCAGTGGCGTGATCTCGGCTCCCTTGCAAGCTCCGCCTCCTGGGTTCACGCCATTCTCCTGCCTCAGCCTCCCGAGTAGCTGGGACTACAGGCGCCCGCCACCAGGCCCAGCTCATTTTTTGTATCTTTTTAGTAGAGACAGGGTTTCACTGTGTTAGCCAGGATGGTCTCGATTTCCTGACCTTGTGATCTGCCCGCCTCAGCCTCCCAAAGTGCTGGGATTACAGGCGTGAGCCACCGCGCCCGACCTAGAAGCTGTATTTCTTTTGACTCAACTGTGACACTTGCCCAATAGGTCCTATGTTTTTCATATGATGGGTGCTTACTTACATTTATTGACATATTGAACAATTATTATGGAAAGGCTTAAGATGTCTGAGTTAAAATTTTCTTCCCTGAGGAGCAAGGAGAAGTCAAACAGTCATATCTCACTAAACTGTCCTTTGATTTAAAACAAACTTACCAGCTGAATCCTCCCACAGTCTTTCAATACAGACGATATGTGGTTGTAGGTTGGCCTCTGCAGGTTCCACATAGACGTAATCTCCAACATGGTACATGCTGTTTTTAAAGCTACAGTCCTGGCTGTATGTGCGATGTAAGCCTGAGAGGCCTGCAGCACCAGAGGAATCTTCACTCTTTTCAGCTTCTTAGGTAAAAAAATAAATAAATAAAGGAAAAAGGTACTCACCAAAGGGATGCTGAAGTCAGATGTAGGGTTCAAACAACACATACTAATAATACATTTAATACATTTAATTCCATTTGCAACATGCGAAGGCAGGAATCAGCAATAGTATGATCTTCACATTCCTAATAGCCTCTACTCAAAACTATCTTTGAATTACAACCATCATTAATTTAAATGAATATATAACTACACAAAGGATGTAGAGAATAAAAACATCACCTTACTAATATATGATCATATGGACATTTTGGATAATATCGAAAGGCACAAAGAAGTACGTATGTCGTTTCGAATCAAGTAATTCTAGAGATAATCTCTGATATACTTCATCCCCACCTTAATGCTTCTTAATGTGTTTCATTTCACTAAGTTATTACACGAATATGACACATTTAATGGAGTCTTAGAATTGAAGAAATATAGAATACATATATTCTACAATATACTATAAACTATATCTAGTATATATACTTAATATATCAAGAACACTAGCCCTGAGAGGAAATGCTTTTCAAAATGACTTTTATTTTTATTTATTTATTTTTTTCGAGACGGAGTTTCGCTCTTGTTGCCCAGGCTGGAGTGCAATGGCACAATCTCAGCTCACCACAACCTCTGCCTCCCAGGTTCAAGCAATTCTCCTGCCTCAGCCTCCCGAGTAGCTGGGATTACAGGCATGCACCACCACGCCTGGCTAATTTTGTATTTTTAGTAGAGATGGGGTTTCTCCATCTTGGTCAGGCTGGTCTCGATCTCTCGACCTGAGATCCGCCTGCCTCAGCCTCCCAAAATGCTGGGATTATAGGCGTGAGCCACCGCGCCCAGATGACTTTTATTTTTGTTAAGTAAAACTTATTAATAGTTCCAGTACAGGCCGGTAGCGGCAGCTCACGCCTGTAATCCCAGCACTTTGGGAGGCCGAGGCGGGCGGATCACTTGAGGTCAAGAAGAGTTCAAGGCCAGCCTGGCCAACATGGTGAAACCCCATCTCTACTAAAAATATTAAAAAATTAGCCAGCATGATGGCAGGTGCCTGTAGTCCCAGCTACTTGGGAGGTTGAGACAGAAGAATCGCTTAAACCTGGGAGGTGAATGTTGTAGTGAGCCAAGATCAGGCCACTGCACTCCAGCCTGGGTGACAGAGCAATACTCCATTTCAAAAGAAAAAAAAAAAAGTTCCAGTACAAGCTATCGTTTGCAAATATCACAGGGTTTTTATTGAGGATAAAGCTTTGCCCAAATCTTTGATTACTTCCTTAGGTTAATTTCCCATAAATGGAAGAGCTAATAATAAGCATTTTAAATGTTATTTATTTTATTCCTCCTGAAACATTAAATTTTCTTTTTCTTTTTTTAGACAGTCTCACTCTGTCACCCAGAGTCTTGAACTCCTGACCTCAAGTGATCTGCCCGCCTTAGCCTCCTAAAGTGCTGGGATTACAAGCGTGAGCCACCGTGCCTGGCTATCTAAATTTTAAAATAGTTTTTCTAGTTCTGTGAAGAATGTCATTGGTAATTTCATACGATTAGGACTGAATCTGTAAATTGCTTTGGGCAGTATGGCCATTTTAATAACATTGATTCTTCCTATCCATGAGCATGGAATGTTTTCCCATTTGCATCTGTCATCTCTGATTTCTTTGGGCAGTGAGTAATTCTCATTGTAGGGATCTTTCACCTCCCTGGTTAGCTGTATTTCCAGGTATTTTATTCTTTTTGTGGCAATTGTGAATGACAATGCGTTCCTGATCTAGCTCTTGGCTTGGCTGCTATTGGTGTATAAGAATGATAGTGATTTTTGTATACTGATTGTGTATCCTGACACTTTGCTGAAGTTTATCAGCTGAAGGAGCTTTTGGGCTGAGACTATGGGTTTATTAGATATAGAATTAAGTCATCTGCAAAGAGACGTAGTTTGACTTCCCTCTTCCTATTTGAATACCCTTTATTTCTCTCTCTTACCTGACTGCCCTGGCCAGGACTTCCAGTACTATGTTGAATAGGAGTGGTGGGAGACAGCATTCTTGTCTTGTGTCAGTTTTCAAAGGGAATGTTTCCAGCTTTTGGTTATTTCAGCATGACGTTGGGTGGCTTTGTAATAGATGGCTCTTATTATTTAGAAGTATGTTTCTTTAATACCTAGTTTATCTAGAGTTTTTAATATGTCAAAAAGCCTTTTCTACATCTATTGAGATAATGTAGTTTTTGTCTTTGTTTTTTTTTTTTTTTTTTTTTTTTTGAGACGGAGTCTTGCTCTTGTCTCCCAGGCTGGAGTGCAGTGGCATGATCTCGGCTCACTGCAACCCCCGCCTCCCAAGTTCAAGCAATTCTCCAGCTTCAGCCTCCTGAGTAGCTGAGATTACAGATGCCCACCACCATGCCCGGCTAATTTTTGTATTTTCAGTAGAGATGGGGTTTCACCATCTTGGCCAGGCTGGTCTTGAACTTCTCACCTCGTGATCCACCCGCCCCGGCCTCCCAAGCTGTTGGGATTACAGGCGTCAGCCACTGCGCCCGGCCTTTTTTTTTTTTTTTTTTTTTGACATAGTCTTGCTCTGATGCTCTGATGCCCAGGCTGGAATGCAGTGGCGCCATCTCGGCTCACTGCAACCTCTGCCTCCCAGGTTCAAGCAATTCTCCTGCCTCAGCCTCCCAAGTAGCTGGGATTACAGGTGCCCACGACCATGCCCGGCTAATTTTTGTATTTTTAGTAGAGATGGGGTTTCACCATCTTGGCCAGGCTGGTCTTGAACTCCTGACCTTGTGATCCACCCGCCTCAGCCTCCCAAGGTACTGGGATTACAGGTGTGAGCCACTGCACCAGGTTTTTTTTTTTTTTTTTTTTTTAAGACTTGAGATGGATTCTCGCTCTGTCGCCCAGGCTGGAGTGCAGTGGTGCGATCTTGGCTCACTGCAGTCTGCCTCCTGGGTTCAAGTGATTCTCCTGCCTCGGCCTCTCGAATAGCTAGGACTACAGGTGCGTGCCACCACACCTGGCTAATTTTTGTATTGTTTCTAGAGACAGGGTTTCACCATGTTGGTCAGGCTGGTCTCGAACTCCTGACCTCAGGTGATCCACCCACCTTGGCCTACCAAAGTGCTGGGATTACAGGCATGAGCCACCACACCTGGCTGTCTTTAGTTCTTTTTTATGTGATGAATCACATTTATTGATTTGCGTATGCTGAACCAACCTTGCATCCCAGGGATAAAGCCTACTTGACCATGGTGGATTAGCTATTTGATATACTGCTGGATTTGGTTTGCTAGTTATTTTCTTAAGGATTTCTGCATTAATAAACATCAAGGATACTGGCCTAGTTTTTTCTGTTATCTCTGCCAGGTTTTGGTATCAGGATGATGCTGGCCTCAAAGAATGAGTTGGGGAGGAGTCCTTTCTCCTCAGTTATTTGGAACAGTTTCAGTAGAAATGGTACCAGCTCTTCTTTGTACATCTGGTAGAATTTGGCTGTGAATTCACCTGGTCCTGGGCCTTTCTTGGTTGCTAGGCTATACATTACTAATTCAATCTCAGAGCTTGTTATTGGTCTGTTCAGGGATTCAAGTTCCTCCTGGTTTCAGTCTTGCGAGGGTGTATGTGTTCAGGAATTTATCCATTTCTTCTAGATTTTCTAGTTTGTGTGCATAGAGGTGTTCATAGTAGTATCTGCTAGTTATTTGTATTTCTGAGGGGTCAGTGGCAACACCCGCTTTGTTGTTTCTAATTGTGTTTACTTGGATTTTTTCTCTTCTTCATTATTCTAGCTAGCGGTCCATCTTACCAACTTTTTCAAAAAACCAACTCCTAGATTTGTTAATCTTTTGAATGGTTTTTCCTGTCTCAGTCTCCTTCAGTTTTCAGCTCTGATTATTTCTTTTTTTCTGCTAGCTTTGGGAATGGTTTGCTCTTGCTTTTCTAGTTCTTTCTCCTATGAAGTTAGGTTGTTAATTTGAGATCTTTCTTTTTTTTTTTAAACAAGAGTCTTGCTCTGTCACCCAGGCTGCAGTGCAGTGGCACAATCTTGGCTCACTGCCACCTCCACCTCCTTGTGCCTCAGCCTTCCGAATAGCTGGGACTACAGGCACACACTGCCATACCCAGCTAAATTTTGCATTTTTAGTAGAGAAGAGGTTTTGCCATGTTGGCTAGGGTGGTCTCAAACTGCTAGCCTGAAGCAATCCACTCTCCTTGGCCTCCCAAAATGCTTGGATTATAGGCATGAGCCACCGTGCCTGGCCATTGACCTATCTTTTTGATGTGGGTGTTTAGTGTGATAAATTTCCCTCTTAACACTGCCTTAGCTGTGTCCCAGAGATTCTGGTATGTTGTGTCTTTGTTTTTGTTCGTTTCAAAGAACTTCTTGATATCTACCTTAATTTCATTATTTACCCAAAAGTCATCCAGGAGTAGGTTGGTTAATTTCCATATAATTGTATGGTTTTGAGTGATTTTGTCTTGATTTCTATTTTTATTGTGCTGTGGTCTAAGAGAGTGGTTGGTATAATTTTCCTTCTTTTGCATTTTCTGAGGATTGTTTTATGTCCAATTGTGTGGTTGATATTAGAGTATGTCCCATGTGGTAATGAGAAGAATGCATATTCTGTTGATCTTTGGGTGGAGAGTTCTCTAGATGTCTATCAGGTACATTTGGCCCAGTGTTGTGTTCAGGTCCGGAATATCATTGTTAATTTTCTGCTCTGATGGTCTGTCTAGTACCGTCAGTTGGGTATTAAAGTCTCCCCGTATTGTGTGGGAGTTTTAAGAGATGAGGTGAGGTCCTGCTGTGTTACCCAGGCTGCTCTTGAAGGCCTAGGCTCAAGCAATCCTCCTGTCTTGGCCTCCCACAGTGTTGGGATTACAGGCATGAGCCACTATACCCAGGCCTTTTTCTTTTTTTATTGTGTGGGAGTGTAAGCCTCTCTGAAGGTCTCTAAGAACTTGCTTTATGAGTCTGGGTGCTCCTGTATTGTGTGCATATATTATTTAGGATAAGTCTTCTTGTTGAAATGAACCCTTTACCATTATGTAGTGCCCTTCTTTGTCTTTTTTGGTCTTTGTTGGTTTAAAGTCTGTTTTGTCTGAAATGAGATTACAACCCTTGCTTTTTTCTGTTTTCCATTTGCTTGGTAGATTTTTCTCCATGTCTTTATTTTGAGCTTATGGGTGTCATTATGGGTCTCATGGGATGAGAGATGGGTCTCTTGAAGACAGCATCCCATTAGACCTTGCTTATTTATCCAGCTTGCCACTCTTGTTTCTTTTAATTGGAGTATTTAGCCCATTTACATTCAAGGTCAGTATTGATATGTATGGATCTGATCTTGTCATTGTGTTGTTAGCTGGAAGCAATCTTGTTTGTGTTGTGTCATTGGTCTATATACTTCAGTGTGTTTTTGTAGTGTCTGGTAACAGTCTTTCCTTTTCATATTTAGTGCTTCTTTTGGGAGCTACTGTAAGGCAGGTCTGGTGGTAACAAATTCCCTCAGCATCTGCTTGAGGAAAAAGGACTCTATTTCTCCTTTGCTTATGAAGCTTGGTTTGGCCGGACAGAAATTACTGGTTGGAATTTCTTTTCCTTAAGAATGTTGAATATAGGCCCCCAATCTCTTCTTGGCTTGCAGCGTTTGTGCTGACAGGTGCACAGTCAGTCTTCTGGGCTTCCCTTTGAAGGTGACCTGTCATTTTTTTCTTTCATTTTGACCTTGGAGAATCTAGTGATTGTGTGTCTTGGAGATGATCTTGTGAAGTATTTTGTGGGGATTCTCTGAGTTTCCTGAATTGCAATGTTGGAGGAAAGAAGGCACTCTGGCTTCTGAATTGTCAGAGTTCTTGTGCTGGTTCTTTCTCATCTTTGTGGGCTAAAGTTCCTTCAATCTTTAAAGTTGCTGTCCTTTGGCTATTTTTTTTTTCATTCTTTTATCCTATTTGATGACCTTGGGTGTTTGATTGTGGTATAAGATGGGTTCAGTTGATGGGCTTAGTTTCTAGAGGATTTTAGGGGGCCAAGGCTCAGCTCAGGACTCCTGGACTGTGTGCCCCAACTCTGGGGTACTAGTATCAGGCCCTGGCTTTTGGATAAAAGCCATTTTAACTGGAGTGATATGATATCTCATTGTTTGTTCTGATGATCAGTGATGTTGAGCACCTTTTCATATACCTGTCTGCCATTTGTATGTCTCCTTTTGGGAAATGTATATTCAGGTCTTTCGCCCACTTTTTAATTGGATTATTAGATTTTCTCTTAAGGAGTTGAGTTCCTCATACATTCTGGTAACTAATCCATTGTGAGATGGTTAGTTTGCAGATAGTTTTTTCCCACTCTGTGGGTTGTCCCCTCACTTTGTTTCCTCTGCTGTGCAGAGGCTTTTTAACTTGATGTAATCCCATTTATCTACTTTTGCTTTGGTTGCCTGTGCCTGTGGGGAATTACTCAAGAAATTTTTGCCTAGTCCAGTTTTATTCCAGTAGTTTCATAGTTTCAGGTATTAGATTTAAGTCTTTAATCCATTTTGATTTTTGTACATGGCAAGAGACGGGGCTAATTTCATTATTCTGTATACTGATATCCAGTTTTCCCAGCACCGTTTATTGAAGAGACTGTCCTTTCCCCAATGTATATTCTTGGCACTGTTGTCAAAAATGAGTTCACTGTAGACGTATGGATTTGTTTCTGGGTTCTCTACTCTTTTCCATTGGTATATTTGTCTGTTTTTATGCCAGCACCATGCTGTTTCAGATACTATATAGCTCTATAATATAAATTGAAGTCGGGTAACGTGATTCCTCCAGTTTTCTTTTGGCTCAAAATAACTTTAGCTATTCTGAGTCTTTTATGGTTCCATATAAATTGTAGGATTGTGGCTGGGCGCGGTGGCTCACGCCTGTAATCCCAGCACTTTGGGAGGCCGAGGCGGGTGGATCACGAGGTCAAGAGATCAAGACCATCCTGGCCAACATGGTGAAACCCCGTCTCTACTAAAAATATAAAAATTAGCTGGGTTTGGTGGTGCGCGCCTGTAGTCCCAGCTACTCGGGGGGCTGAGGCAGGAGAATTGCTTGAACCCAGGAGGCGGAGGTTGCAGTGAGTCGAGATTGTGCCACTGCACTCCAGCCTGGCGACAGAGTGAGACTCCGTCTCAAAAAAAAAAAAAAAAAAAAAAAAAAAAAAAAAAAAAAAAAAAAGAAATGTATCCTACAGGCCTACTACCTGGCTACTGTTGCTGATTATTCAGGGCCCAAGGGCTCTTTAGTCAGCAGGTGATGAATTCTACCAAGACTGGGTCCCTCTCTTCAAGGCAGCGTGTTCCCTTCTGGCTCAGGGGCATGTCTAGAAATGCTGCATGGGAGCTAGGGCCTGGAATGGGTGCCTCAGGACTGCCCAGTGCCTTATCCTACTGTGGCTGAGCTGGTATCTAAGCTGCAAGGCAAAGACCTCTTTACTCTTCCCTCTCCTCTCCTCAAGTGGAGGAAGATGACTTTTTCGGAGCTGCCCAGGGTTGGGGAGGGGTGGCGCAAGTACTCCCCTGGTTACCCTGCTGGTGTCTCACATGTCATGTGCCCCCTAAGTCCACTGGCTCTGAGCCCAGCACAGCACTAGGACTTGCCTAATAGTTGTAGTCCTTGTGGCCTACACTTCCCTTCAAGTTTATTTAGGACCCCAGAGCCCTTTAGCACACAGTGGCAAGGCTTGCTGGAACCCAAGTTCTGACAATTGTCCAGTCCACTGGGCTGGACAATTCCCCTCTGATGAGGGCTGGCCTGAATGTTTCCTCTGTGGGCATCGGCTGAGTTCCAATGCAAATCCCTCAATCACTGTGCTCTAACTCCCGCAAGCACAAAGATTCTCTGTGTCACACAGCTGATGCTGGGGTATGGGAGAAGGGTGGTGCCAGCAATTCAAGACTGTGTTTTCTACCCTCTTTCAGAGATATGAAGTTAAAACTAGGTACTGTGATTGTTTACCTGATTTTTGGTTCTTATGAAGGTGCACTTTCTGTGTGTAGATAGTTGTTAAATTTGGTGTTCCTGTGGGGAGGACAATTGGTGGAGGCTTCTATTCGGCCATCTTGCTCTGTCTCCTAATTCTCCTATTTCTTGGTATTAGATATGTAATTTTTAAAAGTTCTGCCAATTTTGGTGAAAACTGTTATCTAGCAATTGATTAATCAAGTGAATCCCTGTGTAATACACAGCAGATCTATAAGGTTCTTGAGAATTTTATACCAGCAGTAACACTATCAGTTTACTCAAAGGGACAGAGAGACTAGAATTTTTTTTTGTTTTTTTACAGACAGGGTTCACTCAGGTTTCAGGGTACTGGCACCATCACAGCTCACTACAACCCTGAACTCCTGGGCTCAAGTGATCCAGCGATCCTCCCATCTTAGCCTCGTGTGGTGGCACATGCCTGTAGTTCCAGCTACTCGGGAGAGTCTCACTGTGTCGCCCAGGCTGGAGTGCAGTAGCACAATCTCGGCTCACTGCAACCTCTGCCTCCCAGGTTCAAGCAATTCTCTTGCCTCAGCCTCCCGAGTAGCTGGGACTATAGGCATGTACCACCACACCCGGCTAATTTTTGTATTTTTAGTCGAGACAGGGTTTCACCATGTTGGTCAGGCTGGTCTCGAACTCCTGACCTCAGGTGATCTACCCACTTTAGCCTTCCAAAGTGCTGGGATTACAGGCGTGAGCCACTGCACCCTGCCAATTATCTTTTTCTTCCTTTATTTCTGTTGTTGTTCTACTTCTGGGAGACTTCTTCAACTTTGTATTCTAATATTTCTCTGAATGGAAAACAACTTCATATATGATTCACACACCACATAATTCACCTATTTAAAGTTCAATGGTTTTTGGTATATTACATTATTAGTTTTTTAATAATTGTAGTAAAACATATAATACAAAACAGTTATCATTCTGACCACTTTTAAGTGTACCATTCAGTGGCAATAACTTAGTGTTGTGCAACCATAACCACAAACTATTTCCAAAACTTTTTCATTATCCCAAACAGAAACTTTAATCATTAAACAATAATTATCCATTTCTCCACTCTGCAACCTGGCCCCTAGCAACCTCTATTCCACTTTCTGTCCCTATGAATTTGCCAATTCTATATACTTCAAAAAAGTATAATCATACAATATCTGTCCTTTTCAGTTTGGCTTACTTCACTTATCATAAGGTTTTCAATGTTCATTTACATAGCATGAATAAGGATGTCATTCCTTTTTATGGTGGAATAATATCCCATTGGATGAATATACCACTTTTTGGGCTTTTGTTATTTTTCATTGACATATGATAATCATGTGGCTGGTGTCTGCAATCCCAGCACTTTGGGAATCTCAGGAGGGGGGATCCCTTGAGCCCAGGAGTTTGAAACCAGCCTGGGCAACACAGCAAGATCTCATCTCTACAAGTAATTTAAAAAATTAGGCCAGGTGCAGTGGCTCACGCCTGTAATCCTAGCACTTTGGGAGGCGGAAGCAGGCAGATGACCTGATGTCAGGAGTTAAGAGACCAGCCTGGCCAACATGGTGAAGCCCCGTCTCTACTAAAAATACAAAAATCAGCTGGGTGTGGTGGCGCACGCCTGTAATCCCAGCTACTCAGGAGGCTGAGGCAGGAGAATCGCTGGAACCTGGGAGGCAGAGGCTGCAGTGAGCTGAGATCACACCACTGCACTCCAGCCTCAGCAACAGTGCCAGATATCTCAAAAAAAAAAAAAAAAAAAAAAAAATTAGGCAGGTGTGGCACATGCCTCTAGTCTCAACTACTCAGGAGACTGAGGCAAGAGACTCGCTTGAGCTCAGGAGGTTGAGGGTGTAGTGAGCCATGATCGTGCCACTGCACTCTAGCCTGGGTGACAGAATGAGAGCCCATCACACACAAAAAAAATTGCACATATTTATGGAGTACAGTGTGATATTTCGATAACATGGATACAACGTATAACAATCAAATCAGGGTAATTAGCATATTAATACTCTCAAGGATTTATCACTTCTTTATGTTGAGAAGACTCAAAATCCATTCTTCCAGCTATTTGAAAATATAAAATGAATTGTTAATTATAGTCAGTCTATAGTACTATTGAACACTAGTAACTTATCCTTCCTATCTAACTATAAACATATAGATGGTCAATAGGCATATGATAAAATGCTCAACATAACTATAAACTTCAGGGAAATGCAAATCAAATTTTAAAAAAATTTTTACTGTTGGCCAGGCGTGGTGGCTCATGCCTGTAATCCCAGCACTTTGGACAGCCGAGGCGGGCGGATCATGAGGTCAGGAGATCGAGACCATCCTGGCTAACACAGTGACACCCCGTCTCTACTAAAAATACAAAAAAAAAAAAAAAGAAAAAAATTAACCAAGCGTGGTGATGGGCGCGCCTGTAATCCCAACTACTTGGGAGGCTGAGGCAAGAGAATGGTGTGAACCCGGGAGGTGGAGCTTGCAGTGAACTGAGATCACGCCACTGCACTCCAGCCTGGGCAACAGAGTGAGACTCCATCTCAAAAAAAAAAAAAATTTTTTTTTACTGTCAATCTCACTTGCATATGAAAATATTTTTTATAAAAACATTAACATTTCATGGATGTATTATTTTTAAATACATTTTAAAATTGTGATAAAAAATCTATAACAAAATCTGCCTTTTAAACCAATGTAAAGTGTGCATTTCAGTGATATTAATTACAATCACAATTTTTGTTTTTCATTGATATATAATATAAATATTTATGGGGCACATGTGACACTTCGTTGCATTTATAGAATGTGTAATGATCAAGTCAGGGTATTTGGGGTAACCATCCTTTCTATGTGTTGGGAACATTTTAAGTTCTCTCTTTTTATCTATTTGGGGATCTTTGACTCCTCTGTAACTGGATGTCTAAATTTCTTGATACACTTGGAAAGTTTTCATCCATTATTTCACTAAATAGGTTTTTCAACCTTTTAAAATTTCCTCTTCACCTTCAGGAATACTGAAAATTTGAGAATCTGGTCACTTTATGGTGTCCCTTATGTTACCAAGCTTTGCTCATTCTTTTTTATTTTTCTTTGACTGAGTTATTACTATTTCAAAAGACCTGTCATCAATTCCTGAAATTATTTTTTCTGCTTGATATAGTCTGTTCTTAAAGTTTTCAAATATCTTTTGTATTTCATTCAATAAATTCTTCAGTTCCAGAATTTTTTAGTTCTTTTTCATGATGTCTATTTGATAAAGTTCTCATTCATATCCTGAATTGTTTTTCTGATTTCTTTGTAATGTTTCTAAGAATTATCTTGTATCAAACTTTGAATTATTTTCCTGGAATCTGATAAATTACTTTGTTTTTGAGACGGAGTCTTGCTCTGTCCCAGGCTGGAGTGCAATGGCGCGATCTTAGCTCACTACAACCTTCACCTCCTGGGTTAAAGGTATTCTTCTGCCTCAGCCTTCCGAGTAGTTGGGATTACAGGCACGCGCCACCACGCCTGGCTAATTTTTGTATTTTTAGTAGAGACAGGGTTTCACCATGTTGGCCAGGCTGGTCTTGAACTCCTGACCTCATGATCTGCTGGCCTTGGTCTCCCAAAGTGCTGGGATTACAGTCATGAGCCACCGTGCCCAGCCGCTAAATTACTTATCGACTGAAATCTATTGCTAGAGAATTACTGGGTTCTTTTGGAGGTGTAATTATTTCCTTGCTTTTTCTTGATTCCTGTGTCCTTACTTACATTGATATTATATGTGTGTCTAGTACAACAGTCACTTCTTCCAGTGTTCTGAATTTACTTTCGTAGAAGAGGACTTCTCCCTGAAGATGTATCTGTGGTGTTCGTTGGGCAGGATACTTTGGTTTTGAATCTGGGTTTGTACAGTAGTGTAATCTCTGTATGATTCCTTCTACTGTAAACAGTATCAGTGGTATCCATGACTTCCTCAGTGGCTTAGGGCGGCAGCCCCCAACGTTTTTGGCACCAGGGACCAGTTTCGTGGAAGATAATTTTTCCACAGACAGGGATGGGGTTTGTGTGGGTAAGAGATGAGGGTTGGGTGGGATGGTTTCAGGATGAAACTGTTCCATCTCAGATCATCAGGCATTAAGAGTTTCATAAGCAGTGCACAACCTAGATCCCTCACATACACAGTCCACAATAGGGTTCATGCTCCTATGAGAATCTAATGCCACCACTGATCTAACAGGAAGCGGAGCTCAGGGGGTAATGTTTGCTTGCCTGCCACTCACCGGCTCCTGTGGAGCCCAGTTCCTAAGTAATGTGGGGGGTGGGGAGGAGGTGGGGGTGCCTGGCTTGAGGTGCATAAAGTACTGCTGGGGACTGGGCTGTCAAGGGGGCCATGCTTTGGGCCCCAGAGTGGTGTATACTGGCACTGGTGTTAGCAGGTCCAGGCAGGCCAATTCCTGGGACTCCAGCTGGCTTGCTGGAGTGCCAGGAATGGCAGCAGTGGATCGAGCAGGTGGGTGGGTTCCCGAGCCCTTGGGCAGTGGATGTGGCAAGGGTGAAAGCAGTAGCAGTGCTGGGCCAACTCTCTGGGACCCAAGTGTTCTGCACCAGTGCTGGCAATGGCTATGATAGGTGAGCTAGTACCCGGACCGACAGGTAACACATGAAGATGGGTGCCAGTTGTCGTGGTAGTGACAGATTGAGTGGCCCTGACCCCACATGCTGGGAAAAGTGCTCAGGTATCACTAATTGTCAATTGGGCTGGACAATCCCCAGGCCCCTGGATGGAATGTGCAGATAATTACATGTACGTGATCAATCAGTTGCTGCTTTTAAGATTTTCATCGGTTTGATGATGATGTATCTAAATGGGGCTCTCTTTGTGATTATCTTACTTGAAATTCTTGGAGCTGTTTTTCATCAATTTGAGAGGTTTTCAGCATTATGTCTTCAAATCTTTTTTCTCTCCCTTTCTCTTCTCTCCTCTGGAGCTCCCACTATAGGTCTGCAAGGAAACCTGACACTAGGGGTTGCTCCTCTCTTTCTATAGCCAATGACTTAGGTGAAGTTTGTACTTAACTACCTCAAGCCCGTAAGGATGTACCATGTGCTGACAGATCTGTGTATAGGTTGGGGGATGCACTCAAAGTTGCAGCCAATTTTCAAGTATCCTTTGGATTCTGCTCTTCACCAGGTTCTTTTGCATCTTCCCCCACAGCATGTGTAGGTTTTCCAGCTGGCTGGGAATGTGTGGAGAGCTTATCTCAGTCCTTTTATAGATGTCTAATTTTCAGAATATTCTTTAACTTGGATCGTCACCTTGGGCCATCAAAGTTGCAGCTTTACTCCATGCATTTCTGCATCAACCACTTTTAGCTGGCAAAGTCATAGATTCCCCTCTCCCCTAAACCCCACACATATATATTCACTATCTTCCTGAATGAGTATATCATATATCTCCTTTGGTGACAAAGCTGTTGGTTTTGCAGTTAGTTCTATGCTGGCAAAATTACTATTCTCACCAACCAAGTCTCTTTCCCTTCTTTTTGGGGTTTGCCATCGCTTATAAGAATTTGCTTCAAATCAATCTATTTTGTTTTCTTGCCTAAGGGAAAAAAATCTACGGAGGAGATTTGATGCCAAAGATTAACATAACTTAGAGTCACACATTCTAGGAATCTATGTGAACTTGAACTTTAACAGAAATGATCCAATTTGTAATCATAAGGTCCTGTTATCAAAATATTTCTAAATTCTGGCAAGTGACCCAAAGTAACATTTTATAGTTTGATACAATTAAAATAAAACTTTTCTCCAGGTATGTGATTCAACCAAAATATCATCTACTTGTCTGGTCCAAAGTATCTATGAGGAAAGCAATGCTACTGCATGATGTGGCAAAAACTTCATGGACTCACTGTTGAGAATGCTTTCTAGTTCTAGCTGGCCTGCTTAGGTTTTGATCTACCAATAATATAAAGAGGCATTAAGCCCCCACACTTGTGAATTAACTGACTCTTTTCCTGGAATGCTAGGATAACAGCTGTGTCACAGGTAACTTTTAATCTTTCCCAGGTCTGATGACCAAATTGATAACTATAAAAATATTTCCATCTCATTGCGTCTACTCTAATATAGTCAATACCCTGAGTTTTCATTCATACAAACAGGACTCTTTTCCACAGCTAATTATGAGAACACCTAGAAGACAGTGCATTTTTTCATATTCAATAAAATGAAAAGAAACCAACCTCTTTTTTCTTCTTCTCGTTTTAGTTTATCTTCCTCTATTTCTTTTGGCAATTTTTCCTTTCTCTCTTTCTCCACATCATTATGCAAATGTTTTGTGGTATAGCTGAGTGCCGGTGAAAGAAGAATCTCTCCATTTTTGCAGAGTTCATCACGAATTTTAATAAAAAACTGCTGAAGTTCTACTGCATCTTCATATATTTCTGAATCTGTCCTATAACAGCATCAAGAGTATCCATTGACATACAAGCTGTTTCTTTTAAACACCTCAATTATATGTTAAATTCTATTAAATGCTTCTTTAATTGATATAGTGGTATTTCTGTACAGGTCTATGAAGAGTATCTTTCCGAAGTTTGTTAGAACAAAATCCAAAGTGTCATTTTACCATGGTAAGCCCCATGCCCACCATTTTCCTTTACTTCAAGGCTCACTTCTTGTACAGCTCATGAAAAACGAAAGGCCTCATGTATTTTCTCTTGGAGATATATGGCACACGCATCAATCGATTCTGGCAGGGGAAGGTGGCTGCCAGAACCAAGAATTGTACCAAGGCTCCACAATATGTTCAACACTTACTCGTATCTATTCTTTGAATTTTTACTTTCTCTTAATAGCAGACCGATGTGTTACATAATAGGCTCTATTTTCTTCCTTTTGGTCCTACATCATGGTTGCCTAGGCTAGTGAGACCCTGTGAATATCGGAACCTAAAGCAAAGCCATGAAAGTATTCTATAATGGTTACAGGCCTCAGAGTTAATGTTCATTTTAGTTTCCCAGAAATAACTGTGTAATTCTGGGGAACCAGCAAAGGCAACATAGTGAAAGATGGAAAAAAGATTATGTATGTCATACCCAGAACTTTTCTGAGTCTCCTTCCTCATTTATGAAATAAAGCGGCCAGGCATGGTGGCTCATGCCTATAATCCCAATGCTTTGGGAGGCCGAGGCGGGAGGACTGCTTAAGGCCAGGAGTTTGAGACCAGCCTAAGCAACACAGCAAGACGCTGTCTCAACAAAAAAGTAGCCTGGCATTGGGGTACACACTTGCAGTCCTAGCTATCCGGGAAGCTGAGGCGGGAGGGTCACTTGAGCCCAGGAGTTCAAGGGTGCAGTAAGTTATGATGGCACCGCTGCATTCCCACTCTGGGCAACAGAGCAAGACCCTGTCTGTTAAAAAAAAAAAAATCAATAAACAGGCCAGTTGTGGTGGCTCACACCTACAATCCCAGCACTTTGGGAGGCCAAGGTGGGCCAAAATGGTGAAACCCAGTCTCTGCTGAAAATACAAAAACTGATGGTGCACACATGTAATCTCAGCTACTCAGGAGGCTGAGGCAGGACAATCACTTGAACCCGGGAGGTGGAGGTTGCAGTGAGCCAAGATCGCGCCGCTGCACTCTAGTCTGGGCAACAGAGTGAGTGAGACTCTGTCCCAAAATAAATAAATAAATAAATAAATAAATAAATAAAATGTGGGGAGTGGGCAAAATAAACTTCAGACTTTAGAATTTTGACTGGAGGAAATTTTATTACTGTTTCTAGTACCACTGTGGTCTGAGGAAGGTTTACATACAATTGTTTTTATTTCATTTTATTTTGAGGCTGGGTCTTGCCCTGTCACCCAGACTGGAGTGCAGTGGCGTGATCACAGCTCACCATAGCCTCAACTTCTTGGGCTCAGGCTGGCTAATTTTAAAATTTTTTGTAGCAACAGGGTGCTCCCTGTGTTGCCCAGGCTGGTCTCGAACTCCTGGCCTCGAGTGATCCTCCCTCTTCAGCCTTCCAAAGTGCTTAAATTACAGATGTGAGCCACCACACCTGGCTGGCATAAATCAAATTCTATTAACTAAGAATACCAGAGTCTAAAAACTTATTCACAAAACTAACCACAAAGGTCTTAGCAGTTACAGAGACATTCTGGTCAGAGGAGTGTGGCCAAGTAGGCCACCTACTGATACATGCCACTAGAGCATCAAACTTCAGAGAGGTCCCCAGAATGCTGCTCCCATCAGCAAAGGTGAACTGACAAACAATTAAAAGACACGATCAATAATCTAAATGGGTGTTTCCGGAAAGTCTCTTTTTTTTTTTTTTTTGAGATGGAGTTTCGTTCTTGTTGCCCAGGCTGGAGTACAGTGGTGCGGTCTCAGCTCATTGCAACCTCTGCCTCCCAGGTTCAAGCGATTCTCCTGCCTCAGCCTCTCAAGTAGCTGGGATTATAGGCACCTACCACCATGCCTGGCTAATTTTTGTACTTTTAGTAGAAACGAGGCTTCACCATGTTGGCCAGGCTGGTCTCGAACTCCTGACCTCAGGTGATCCGCCCGCCGTGGCCTCCCAAAGTGCTGGGATTACAGGTGTGAGCCACTGTGTCCGGCCTTGGAAAGGTTTTAAATATCTTTTGGGGTCATAGAAATGCTAATACTTGTAGGAAAGCAATAAAAATAAAACTTACCAAGGGAAGACACCCCTGAAACACTTTTTTTTTCTTCTTGAGACACAGTCTCACTCTGCTGCCCAGGCTGGAGTACAGTGGCACGATCATGGCTCACTACAGTCTCAATCTCCTGGCTCAAGCAATCCTCCCACCTCAACCTCTCGAGTAGCTGGGACTATAGGCATATGTCACCAAGCTTGGCTGATTTTTTAAATTTTATTTTAAGTAGAGCTAAGGAAGGTCTTGCTATATTGTCCAGACTGGTCTCAAGCTCCTGAGTGCAAGCCATCCTCCCACCTTGGGCTCCAAAAGTGCTGGGATTACAGGTGTGAGCCACTGTACCTGGCCCCTAAAACATAATTTTATGTTTGTTTTCTGAATGAAGATATTTGAATTCTGTTCACTTGAAATTAAAGTTCATTTTATAATAGTGTACAATTTTAAGTATAAAAAGTGAAAATTTCTGTAAATTAAAAGTAAAAAATTTTTGTAAAATTTTTGTAAATACCTTTCATGGTATACTAAAAGGGCAGATCATAATTCCATCATATCGCATGGTTTAGAAATGAACATTCTGTACAAGAGTCACTAAACACCTAGTATATGCTTTTGTTTATTCAAAGCATTATAAAGAATTTATTAGTCTACGAGGTCAGGTATTCATTGAATGTGCAGGAACATAAACGCAAGCTGGAAAAAGAACTCTAAATTCCCCTCAATTGGTAATCTTTTTATATAAGGCAGACATTCAGCAAAAGGAAATAATTAAGAATACAGGAGGCTCTTAATGCTTCCCTTGTTCATCTTCCCACAGGTCTCTTTTACCTGCAAGGGGATCAGAGTGTTTAGTCTGGGAATACTGCCAGCAGTTTAGGAAAGCCAGCAGCCAACTGGCATGAGTCAGCACTGTGCTGTTACTAAATACTGTTGATGGACAAACTATTGTCACCTGAGTGAATTTTTCTCTTGTTACGTCTCACTGTTCAGATTCCTTCTATTTTAGCCTGTGAAGTCCTAGGTGATGTTGGGTAGCAGTGGTGGGTAGGGGTAGGGGTAAATGGTGATGAAGCATGAAGACTCTTAGAGATCAACATGGAAATCTACGGTATGTAGACTTCATTGAATTTATGAACTAATATTTCTGGGATGCCTAGCTTTGTTACTGATAATATAGTAGATAAAGGCATAGTTTATCATTCACTAAATTGATGCATCTCCATCAATTCTTATTAAGTACTTATTCTTAATAAGTACTATAAGCAATCACAATACTATCTTTGTTCACAAAGTTAAGAATGGCTCCCCGTATGTTTTTCTTTAAAAAATTTTTCCTAACTACTAAATTACCAGGGATCCCTTTTGTTTTTCAACAAAGCTCTGGGCATGAGGGTAAAACTGTGTGCATCACTATCTCATAAAAATACACCTTGGACTCTATCTTCCAGGCCTCAAAAGCAAAAAACAACCATGTCAACAATGGGAGAATGAAAAGAGCTAATTTCCTAGAGATACAAATCTTAATTCTTAAAATAAACATTTCATCTATAAGACATAAACGAAGTTCCTAATAATCTAGAAGACAAATACTCATTGAAAGACTCACAGAACTAACACCAAGATGTAATGGGGCTAAGCAGGGAGGAGAGGAAGGGAGGGGTATTAGACTTAAGGACTACTTAAGCCAAGAACAAGAACAGAAAGAAGTCTAAGCTACATGAAAGCAGAGTTTGTTTTGCCCACTGGTGTATTACATGCATCTAGAATATGCTCATTAAGTAGCCTCTCAATAAATATGTGTTGAATAAATGAGTAACTCCAAGAGTTTTTGACTGCAAGATGTCCCTCCATCCTTCTCTTTATTTCTACTCAATTGCTGAAGAACCATATTATTAAGGACCATTTCTTAAAAGTGTCACACATGGGCCTCACCAAACTGGCCCCAACTCTATCCCTGTCTCTTAAACATATCATATTCATTTCCTAACTCCATTTCTTTGCTCATAACATTCATCTTATTTGAAATATCCTCTGGCCTATTCATTTGAACCCTACCTATCATCCCATGCCTTTTAAGGAGAACTGTGGCCCACAGAGTTCCTTACATCACCATCTTTACTAAATATAAGGTTGTGGCATGTTGTCTCATGTGTGGAATTATTTTTCCCTTAAGCGTAAGTCCTGGCCCATCCATCAGACTTCAAGCTTTTAGAGCACAGAGCTCAAGGCTTATCATCTATGGCCGTGCTCCATGACTTGTCCTGGTAACTGGCTCAGGAGTAGCCCTCTGCAGTGGAGAGCAAGACAAGTCACATCATTTACTAGTTGTAAGACTATGGGTAACTTTTCTCTGCCTATGCCTCTAATTCTTTCACATGCAAACTGAAAAGATTATCACTTATCTAGAATGGCTATCATAAGGGTTAGAGATTGCCTTCATAAAGTGCTTAGCATGGTGCTTTACGAAGAGCTGGTGCTTAACACAAGCAGCAAATGTTACTATGTTTTTTTTCTTTTATTTGCAAAGACACTGAAAGCAAACATTACTACTTGCTTTTCTTTAAAGGTTCAGAGCAAATTCTGATTTCATAGATTCCCCAGCTGGCATTACACTGCCTGAAGGTCTAGTTCTAAACATGATAGGCTGTAAGCTCCAGGAAGGTAAGGTTTGTATCTTTTTTTTTTTTATATTTTTCCAACTGTCTCTAAGTGCACATATAAAATACACTGTAATTGCTGAATTTAATAGTCAAGTCTGCTATTGACATGTAGCAACGATATATCACAGATAAAAATTAGAAGGAAATTTAAGTTTAAAGTAAATCTAAATTTGATTGCTTCTTTTAGAACATTTAATGTCTTCAGCAAGCTCTTAAGGTGAGAAACCTGAGATTAAAAAAAAAAAAGAAACCCTCTGAGGTACTTAAAATGGTGATCAAATTTCTATCAGTCTAACCTCAGGACAACACCTTAGAGCTATTTTATTTAAAGCATTCGTGCACTGAAGCCAAACCTTAAAAGAAAAACGCTGTTACTATTTCCAATTAGAAACATTTATCTTTTTAAAAAACACATTCTATGAAAGGCTGTATTTTAAGTTTATGCTTTTCAAGAGATTTTCAATTTTGTCTTCCTCCTCACTGGCCTTAAACTAGATGACTTAGTGGTGTGCCTTCTCTCCCCCACAGAATATACTCACTCTTAAGAAGTTCTGGCTGATTAGAATTCAGAATAGCATGCTACCAACTACAAATCATGTATGTAAGTGGAAATAGTACATCAAAGCAATATTCTTTCATCTGTTTTGTATTAAATAGCACATATCCTCAAAATAAAAATGGCTTTGAAAACATACCGATTCATCCTTCTTGCTCGTTCCAATACTTCAAACATATGCTCTTGAAATAAATCAAGCCGACGGTAGCGATTATTTTCAACATTCTTCCTAATTATGTCAAATGTAAGGGGTGGTTTGTTAGGAAAGTTGGGATCCACAGCAGGAATTTCTGCTAAAGAATCGCTGTAGCATCTTCCCTCATCATCCTGATGACTCATGACTGACACAAAAAGATTGTGGATAAGCTCTTGAATCAGCAAAGTCACATTTGGGACATGAGAGTCCTCATCTCCCTCCAGGTCTCTGCGTGTTTCAAGCAGGACTTTGTGTAGAACAAGAGCATCTTTGTAGATCAAAGACTCCGGCTCATTGTATGTACAGGCATTATTAAACATCATGACAAAGTCCTCAACCATAGAGTCAATATCTTGGTACTTGTTGGCCATCATGTGACTTCGAATTTTTTCCATGTCCATGGGCTTTTTAATAGTCAGATAGTAGTCAGGCAACTCAGATCTAGAGGGAAGCCTCAGAAATATGGCACTGAGGCGGCGACCCCTCTTATCAGTATAGTTCTTTACAGCTTCATAGACCTCATTTAGTTTCTGCTGCATTGGAGTCATGTATTTTGATTTTTTAGGAGAAATGCCACTCTTCCTACCTAAAGAGAGATATTTAATGTTAAATGAATAAAATAAATGAACCTAAATTTGTATACAGATGGTAGCATAACCACAAGGGACGATTCCAAGTAATTTGTAAAATCTAGCAATTAGCATGTCTATAGTGAAATATAACCTGCAGACAAAAAAGTACTAAAAATTTTTTTTAACTGTTTTCAGTAATTATATTTTTGATGGGAGACTACTGTAAGGTTGAGAAAGCTGTGAATAAGAAGGAATAAAGCAAATGAGTAGCTATGTGACATTCTATCACCTCTGGTATCCTGGAGAACTGAGATTTTCATCATGGGATAAAAAGAGATAACGGATGTTAAAACGTAGGACATTAATAATTACCTTGAGGCCTTTAATCTCAATTGAAAGTATCACTATGAACTTATGATGTAATTTATCTTTAAATATAAACATACAAACAAACACACAAATTTCCTAGCTCTGTCCACTGAAAATCGTACAAACAATGACTACCTCAGTAGCAGTATAGCCCACATTAGAGTTTTAAAATACTAATTCCAAATAGTAATGTTGAGGAGCCCTCACCTTTCAGCAGAAACATGAAAAAGGTAGGGCTCCTTGGTAAATGGCTGATTCCCAGTCTGGTATATCTTCAAACACTAGACAGTAAAGAATCTATCAATGACTTCTTACCATGACTTCATGTCAATAGAATATAGGAACCGGCTGGGCGTGGTGGCTCATGCCTGTAATCCCAACACTTTGGGAGGCCAAGGTGGGTGGATCACCTGAGGTCAGGAGTTCAAGATCAACCTGGCCAACATGGCGAAACCCTGTGTCCATTAAAAATACAAAAAATTAGCCGAGTGTGGTGGTGGCGCCTGTAATCCCAGTTACTCGGGAGGCTGAGGCAGGATAATTGCTTGAACCCAGGAGGTAGAGGTTGCAGTGAGCTGAGATCAAGCCATTACACTCTAGCCTGGGCGACAGAGCGAGACTCTGTCTCAAAAAAACAAAACAAAAAGAATACAGGAACGAGCCTGAACCAGCCTGAGTATCAATAAGGACAATAACTTCAATTACAACTCAGCCATATGTTTAAGTCTGGTAGTTCTTAATAATACGTACAAACAAACAACAAAATGGGTAAATATTGAAGGATGTTAGTAAACCAATACATATTTTGAAAACTGGTAAAGGTGAAAACAAAATAAAACAAAAATCAAGCCTTTATCCTTTCAAAAAGCAAGACACACACAAAAAAAACACTGTACCACTGGCTAATCAAATATTAGATAAGGCAAAGTTTCTCTATAGCTAATAAGGAATAAAATTAAAAACTATCACAATTTTACATCCCTTTCATGAATTAATAATTAATGAAGTATGCAACAACACCTGTTAACAGAAAGCCATAAATAGATTTCACATGTACCTGATGGAAGACCATATATTACCTATGAAGTCGGTTTTTCTGCCTAAGGGAGAGAACAGGGGATCAGACCTCAATCTGATCAAGCCTCTGGCTCCAACTACCAATTTATAGGAAATACAAAGGACAGAGGAACACATGAAAGTACAACATAGTGGGCCAGGAGCTGTGGCTCATGCCTGCAATACTAGTACTATGGGAGGCCAAGGTGGGCAGATCACTTGAGCCCAGGAGTTCAAGACCAGCCTGGCAACATAGCAAAACCCTGTCTCTACTAAAAATACAAAAAAATGAGCTGGACGTGGTGGCGTGTACCTGTAGTCCCAGCTACCCGAGAGGCTAAAGTGGAAGGACTGCTTCAGAAGGGAGGTGGAGGTGGCAATGAGCCAAAAATGTGCCACTACACTCCAGCCTGGGTGACAGAGTAAGACCCTGTCTCCACAAAACAAAACAAAACACAAAACACACAAAAAACCCCACAACATATGGATGCAATCAGCAAAACCCAGACTATGGGAAACTACAGCACAAATCTAATTTCTTCAACAGATAAATGGTAAGGGGTGGAAAAAGAGAGAGCTGGAGGGGAGTTTACAGATTAAAAGAAGTATCGGGCTGGGCATGGTGGCTCACACCTTTAATCCCAGCACTTTGGGAGGCCGAGGCGGGCAGATCACGAGGTTAGGAGTTCAAGACCAGCCTGGCCAATATGGTGAAACCCTGCCTCTACTAAAAATACACAAAAATCAGCCGGGCGTGGTGGTGCACACCTGTAGTCCCAGCTACTTGGGAGGCTGAGGCAGGACAATCACTTGAACCCAGGAGGCGGAGGTTGCAGTGAGCCGAGATCGTGCCACTGACTCCAGCCTAGGCAACAGAGCGAGATTCCGTCTCAAAAAAAAAAAAAAAAAAAAAAAAGAGGTATCAATCAGTTGCAGTATGTGGACTTTATCTGGATTCTACTTTAACCAGACACTGCCTCAAGACATGATACAACATAAGGGCAGCAAACCCCTTATAAAGTATCACCACCAAGGTGAAACTTAATCTAATCGCACCTTCAAAGTTAACTTCTATTTATAAGAAATAAGGGAAATAAAGAAAAAAGTTACAGATATCACAAGGAAGCAAGCCTGTCTAACCTAGAACTTGGGACACTGTACAGGAAAGTGACCTGATTTCTTCAATGAGTTACTGGCATGTGGAAAGAAAAGGAAGGAGACTGCTCTAGATCATGGGTTTAAGAGTATAACAATCTGCTGGGTGCGGTGGCTCATGCCTGTAATCCTAGCACTTTGGGAGGCGGAGGCGGACGGATCACTTGAGGTCAGGAGATCGAGACCAGTCTGGCCAACATGGTGAAGCCCTGTCTCTATTAAAAATACAAAAAAATTAGCTAGGCATGGTGGCGTGTCCCTGTAGTTACAGCTACCCTGCAGGCTGAGGCAGAAGAATTGGGGGAACCCAGGAGACGGAGTCTGTAGTGAGCCGAGATCGTGCCACTGCACTCCAGCCTGGGCAACAGAGTGAGAATCCGTCTCAAAAAAAAAAAAAAAAAGAGTATAATAATCAAATTTATTATATAGAACTTAATGAGAGTCTGATTTGAGGAAATCAACTATAAAAATACATTTGTGAGACAATCAGAAGAACTTGATAATTTATCAAGTATTAGATGAAACCAAGAAATTACTGCTAATTTTGTTAGGTATGATAATTACTTCATTGTTATTTATGAAAATGTCTGCATATTTTATTTTATTTTTATTTGTTTTATCCTCAAAGACAAAGTGGCAGATATCTGCACATATTACAGATGCATACTGAACTATGTGGAAGTGAAATGACATGATTGGATTTGTTTTAAAATAATTTAGGAAAAGAAGAAGAAAAAGGGGATAGGAAATAAGTTTGCCACGATTTTGACAAATGATGGGTAACAAGTATATACAGGGGTTCACTGGACTATTCTGTTTTTTTTTTTTTTGGAGGCAGGGTCTAGCTCTGTTGCCCATGCTGGAGTGCAGTGGGCATGATCAGGGTTCACTGCAGCCTTGACCTCGTGGGCTCAAGCAATCCTTCCACCTCAGCCTCCCAAATAGCTAGGACCACAGGTACATGCATGTGCCACCACGCCTGGCTAATTTTTTATATTTTTTTGTAGAGACAAGGTCTCCCTATGTTGCCCAGGCTGGTCTCAAACTCCTGGGCTGAAGTGATCCTCCTGCCTTGGCCTCCGAACGCACTGGAATTACAGGAGCGAGTCACCACCCCTGGCCACTGTACTTTCCATTTATATATTTTTGATATTTTTCATTAAAAAACACAGAGAAATAAAAAGGAGGCCAGGCACCATGGCTCATGCCTGTAATCCCAACACTTTAGAAGGCAGAGGCAGGAGGGTCGCTTGAGCCCAGGAGTTCAAGACCAGCCTGGCCAATACAGGGAGACCCTGCCTCTATTAATTTAAAACAAACAAACAAACAAAAGAAATAAAAAGGAAATTAACATCCCACATAAAAAGCCCCTTTTTCCTGAACTTTAAAAGTTACTGTGTTCCTACAAAGTGGAATGAAAGTTTTACATTTCTGCAAACCTTCTGTATGCTTTTACAATTCCATGAAAAGACAAATGCCTTAAAAAGGATTCATCGCTTAGCAGTAAATCATACCCAAATCTACTATCAAATTTAGTTGATAGTAATTTCAGATAAGAAAGCTAGTCTGGGCCAGGCGGGGTGGCTCACACCCGTAATCCCAGCACTTTGGGAGGCCAAGGCAGGCAAATCACTTGAGGTCAGGAGTTTTGACAGCAGCCTGGCCAACATGGTGAAACCCCATCTCTACTAAAAATACAAAAAACTGGCTGGGCCTGGTGGCGTACATCTGTAGTCCCATCTATGTGGGAGGCTGAGTGGAAGGATCACTTGAACCTGGGAGGCAGAGGTTGCAGTGAGCCAAGATCACACCACTGCACTCCAACCGGGGTGACAGGGCGAGATGCTTCATCAAAAAAAAAAAAAAAAAAAAAAAAAGCAAAAAAGCTAGTCTGTCTGTTTTCCCCCTTTTCAGCAAACATGGCTCCAATGAGTATCATTATCAATTGCTTGGTATCTATTTTATTTACATCATTTTAAAGAAGACAGAAATCTCTTATCTAATGGTATTAATAACTTTTCCTGTCTTCTCTTCCAACCTTTTTCTTCCCTTTTTTTTTTTTTTTCCGAGGCAGAGTCTCACTCTGTCGCCCAGGCTGAAGTACAGTGGTGTGATCTTGGCTCACTGCAACCTCCGCCTCCCAGGTTCAAGCAATTCTCCTGACTTAGTCTCCCAAGGAGCTGGGATTACAGGCATGTACCCCCATGTCCGGCTAATTTTTGTATTTTTAGTAAAGATGGGGATTCACCATGTTGGCCGGGCTGGTCCTGAACTCCTGACCTCAAGTGATCTGCCCACCTCAGCCTCTCAAAGTGTTGGGATTACAGGCATGAGTCACTGTTCCTGGCCTTCACTTACAACTTTTAATAAAACAACCAACCACAGACTACACTCAAATGATAGCTGAGTATAGTACAGTGGCTGGACATCTCTAACTCCTCAAATTCTGTCCAGTTGGAACTGCTGGGATTCATTTTTAATTCTAGTAATTGTCAGACATACATACCAAGGAAAAAAAAATCTGCTACTATATTCTTACAGCATTATACGTACAGAAAAATCTATTCTTACTATTTAAAATTTACAAAATGTCTACGCATTTAAGAAAGTAAACAAAACCTCTGACATTATATTTTACTCCCCATATGCTTGTCACAGTTTAGCTACTTAAAATACAGTAAATGAGAGGGCTTGACAAGAACAAAGAACTCCATGCTGGAGTACAGTGAGTTCAAATATATTCATAATTTAATTAAATATTATTTCAGAAAAATCAGCAATCTCTTCTTGATAGACTAAACTAAATAATGAAGTGTGAGGCTGCCTTACTCAGCTTGAGTTTGGGAGAAGCCATGTCATCATCATCAGGCAGTGGGCCCAGCTCTTTCCTTTTCTCCTTGAGTAACTTCTCCAGGATATGTGCATCATTATAAACCTACATTCCAAAAATATACTTCAATTATTTTCTAAAAACTTTTCATTAAGGTATAAAATGCATCCATAAAGAAGTTTTAAAAAGACAGTTTATGATAGTTGGGAGCTTAAAGAAAACCAAAACCAGCCTCACTACAGAGCAATAAAATCACTCTATCTGTGGGAGAGCCTAGGCCTTAACTGGTTTGTTTTTAAGCTTCCCAGGTGATTCTAATGCACAGACATGCATGTTAATGTTTGAGAACCACTGTAGTAGAATCACTGCAGGTTTTAACAAAAGTCCTGAAACACATTTACATGTGTTGTTTTCTTCAAAAACCTTTCTTCTCCACTGGACGCTCAAGGTAGCAGACTTAGCCCAATAGAAATTAGAAACTAAAAATATCTGATAGTTGGAGAGCAATATCTCAATATCTTAAATTCCAAATCTGAGTTCACAGTCTGAAGCTTAATCTATAAAAAAACAATTATCCTTGCTTAGGGATCTCTCTCTGAGGACTGAGCCAAGGGTGGTAATATGTAGTCAAGAATAAGGTTACTCACCTTATGCTTTGCATCCACAGCCCCTCCTCTTACCTCCTCAGCAGATGCTATGTCCTCCCTTGGCCACCCACCAAAGCAGAGGAGCTGAGGGAATAAGTGACCTCCCTTGTCTGGCCACCTCTCTTAAAGGTGGCTTTTTCCTCTACCAGTGATAGACAAGGGGTACATTAGCCAATGACACTGAGGACTGTGTAAACCCTTAAGATAGAACCATTTTTTTATCTATAAGCATCCTCAATGCATACTTTATTTTATAATCAAATGTAATTGCAGAGGGAAACAAATGACTTAAAAATGTTATTTTATTTCTGGGAGATGTAAAGTGGATAAAAAGATATCAAATAGAAAAAGTTTCAAAGAAGGGAGACTGTATCTCAGTTACAACGATAAAGAACTAAAAATCAAGAAGCTTTGGCCAGGCGCAGTGGCTCACGCCTGTAATCCCAGAACTTTGGGAGGCTGAGGCAGGGGGATCACGACGTCAGGAGATCAAGACCATCCTGGCTAACATGGTGAAACCCCATCTCTACTAAAAGTACAAAAAATTAGCTGGGCGTGGTGGTGGGCACCTGTAGTCCCAGCTACTCGGGAGGCTGAGGCAGGAGAATGGCATGAACCCGGGAGGCGGAGCTTGCAGTGAGCTGAGATGGCGCCACTGCACTCCAGCCTGGGCGACAGAGCGAGACTCCGTCTCAAAAAAAAATCAAGATGCTCTGTAGCAAAATCAATTAAATAAATTATTTAGAGGTACATTTATGGGACTATCATGCTGATTTTTATATAATTATACATTTTCTATATAGGCTGTCTTTGGAGAAGTATGGTCGTTGAGGATCGTAGTAATGATGATGATGAAAGATTTTAATACTATTGGCTTTCCTTTGAGTGCTTATTCAGTACCAGGCACTCTGCTAAATGCTCAGTATACATTATCTCTTTTAAATCCTACAACAACCCTGATGCAAGTACTATTATTAGCCCTAATTTATAGATGAAGAAATTGAGGCTCAGGAAGGATAAATTACTTACACAGGGACTGGCAGAGCAAAATTCAAATCTAGGATGTCAGATTACAAAGTAGGAACGTTTATCTTTATAATGTACTGCCTCTGATTGTAAACAATGAAGAAAAATCAATTAACCTAGTCACCAAAAAGAATAATCTAAGTTAAGCCTCTAGAGCTGGTCTCTCAAAATGCATTATTCTATAAGTACCCCTCTCCCGCAAAATGTGCCTACTTCAGGACCGCTGGCCCTCCTTACCTGGGAGCCCTCCTCATTATAGTGCCTGGCATTCCGGAACATCAGCTTCATGTCTTCTATCATTCCCTCTTCACCAGCATATTTGTCATTGCGGATGTTATGCTCAATTATTTTCAAGTCCATTGGCTCCAAGATGATTTTATAATAATCAGGATAGTCCTTTTTGGATGGTTTAACCATAAATAGGTCACAAAGTCTTCTGCCTGAACCTGGCTCTCGAGCTTCAAGAACAACATTGAATAAGATTTTCATTCGCTGCTTTCTTATGTTCTTTTTACTGTTGAGGGGGAGGTAGAAAAGGGGAAAAATTAGAATAGGTTCAGTTTTCTTAATATACGGATGACCACAAAATAAAACAAATTATTTATGGTGCTTTATAATGATTACAATTTATTGATTACATATGCCACAAACACAGTAACCATGCTGGAAGTTATAAGCAAATATTAGGAAAATTTCCAAAATAGTTAAAACACAGTAATTCTGGCAGGAGCAGTTAATGAACACCAAAAAAACTTTTTAGATATGTCATGAAATGCAATGTTTGAAATAAGATCCTCTCTGATACCAAAAGAAAATGAAATTATATAGTCAACTGAGATATATTTTTTGTTTAAAGATGAGTACAGCCAAAGTGCAATAAAACTAGCAATTCTCTACGGTTATAATATCCTCACTTCCAAGTACAAAAACAAAACAAAATAAAAAACCTAAAAAGAGAAGTGTTTCATCTCTTAAGACAAGTACTCCTGAACACTTGTGTATTTTGGTTGTCTGAAAACAAAAGGAGACTGCCAGACTAGTGTCTTTACAGTGGGTATGAGCCTCTCTTGCATTGATTCTGTCAGGGTCGTCCTTGCTTTCTCCATCAGCATTATTCCACAGTTCCAACCTACTTTAAAGAATAAGCGGTGTGGTTAATCTGAGTTTTCTAGAGTAAAATTTCCATCCTTGAGCATGAATCCGTCTTGTTCTCCAAATTCCCCCAGTGAGATGTGATGCTGAGAAGCTGATTTAAGCAGTATGGAACAAAGCATAAGGGACTATAGATTAGATCCAGAGTTCAAAAGGGCTCCAAGAGAGCAGATGGTCTATCTCTTAATTGCTGAGAAAACTGGCTCAGAGGGGGTAAAAGACTTGCCCAAGGTAAGTTTCCTAGTAAATTATTAGAAGCAATGATCTTCCGATATGGCTTCCGGTTAACTATTCTTATGTACTCAGGGCACGGCTAAAGAAATTCTAGCCAGATAAAGAAATTCTAGTCAGACTAACCAGCAGTCTCCAAGTGAACAGTGAAGTAGGTAATAACAAGAAATGACTTATGACTTAGTTTTTTTTTTTTTTTTTTTTGAGATGGAGTTCCGCTCTTGTTGCCCAGGCTTGTGTGCAATGGCACGATCTCAGCTCACCGCAACCTCTGCCTCCTGGGTTCAAGCGATTCTCCTGCCTCAGCCTTCCAAGTAGCTGGGATTACAGGCGCCTGCCACGACGCCCTGCTTTTTTTTTTGAGATGGAGTTTCACTCTTGTTGCCCAGGCTGGAGTGCAACGGTGTGATCTCTGCTCACCGCAACCTTCGCCTCCTGGGTTCAAGCAATTCTCTTGCCTCAGCCTCCCGAGTAGCTAGGATTACAGGCATGCACCACCACGCTTGGCTAATTTTGTATTTTTCGTAGACAGGGTTTCTCCATGTTGGTCAGGCTAGTCTCGAACTCCCGACCTCAGGTGATCCGCCTGCCTCGGCCTCCCAAAGTGCTGGGATTACAGACTTGAGCCATCGGGCTCGGCTGTGCCCGGCTAATTTTTGTATTTTTAGTAGAGACGGGGTTTCACCATGTTAGCCAGGCTGGTCTCAAACTCCTGACCTCAGGTGATCCGCCCACCTTGGCCTCCCAAAGTGTTGGGATTACAGGCGTGAGCCACTGCGCCTGGCCAACTTAATTTCTATTAAAAAAATATTTACTAAGGTCCTATAGTATAGTCATCCCTTGGTATTCATGGGGAATTGGTTTCAGGATCTCCCTTGTATACCGAAATACATAGATGCTCAAGTCCCTGATACAAAATGGTGTAGTATTTGCAAATAACATGTGCACATCCTCCTGTATACTTCAAATCATCTCTAAATTACTTATAATACCTAATACATTAAAAATGCTATATAGTTGTTTTGTTACACTGTATTGCTTAGGACATGACAGAAAAAAAGTCTGTACATGTACAGTAAAGATGCAATTAAAAAATTTTTTTTTCTATCCATAGTTGGTTGAATCCCTGGATGTGGAAGCCATGGATACAGAGGGCCAACTGTACTTAGAGGTAAATATTTTGTATCTGTTCCCTATCCTTTAGGTGGAAGAAAGTTCATTCCTCAGGCAAACTATATGTGGCTGTATAGGTCTTCTGGTCCAGTCCCCTGACTACTTGCACTACTCCTGGGTCATGAAGAAGCCAAAGGCCAGATCTTTTCTCTCCAAGGTTCAAAATACACTTTTTTAAAACACAGAAAGAAAAATCAAGAATTAACAGTTGAGAAAATAAACATCTATCCTTAAGATTTTTAGGCTTTTCAGAAATGCCTATAACTCAAGGCAAACAAAGTGATTTAATTAGGAAAAAAACAGACAAGAGCCTGTTTCCTGCTAGAGTTGGGATCATCCTCATAACTTGTGTCTTCACTCTGACTGCTTATTTCCTGCTCATTGTGGACCTCAGACAATTCCTGCCATTTTCTCCCCTCAGCACTTTTTTTTCTGTTAGATAAGTTTGTTAGATGATGGCAAAACGTTTGTTAGATATTTTACCTAGTGGAAACTCCTTCTCCAAGGAGACATCCTGGGGCAATGATGTGACAGGAAGAGTTCTCTCATTCTAAGTCTTCGGCAAGTGGATAATACAAGGGAAGTTAGGACAAAGCTCCAATACCACAGAGCTCCACATCTGGGCACAGATTAGAACACAGATGACTTTAACCTTCAGGAAGTCTCTAAAGAAAAATTTCAGAACCTGACTTTGAAGTCAGATGTGGTTTGATTAGATCTCGCATGTGGGGTGGACTTTAAAAGGAAGACAGAGGAATTCAATTCTGAAGCTCTAAGCTTACAGGATCTCTCCAATAAACAGGACAGGATGAAATTAGTCCTCATTCTAGCAATTTCAAGAAGCTTAACAGTTCAGTCAAGGCCCTGACCTGGACCAGGAGGTGCTCACCCCATTCCCATCTGGGTTTCAGCACACTAAGCCCAATTATCATTAGGTTTTTCTGTATGAAGCTGCAAATACTCTCAGATGGGAGTAAATCTAGGGCAGATTTTTATAAGAGGAGAGAAAGTTTTTAATTAAATTTTGCCAGTGAAGTAAAAGAATGGCAAGCGGTCCATTCTTCCAATGCCAGTAATTCTGATACTTGGCAGCTTTGAGTGAGACATACCCAGAATGTGGAAATCTAGTTGTATATATGAAACTGCTCTAATAACTGAAATTTACTGTTTTAGCACTCATATTACTAGTAGCATCCTTTCTCCATTTGTATCATTTATTCCTTAAGTAAAGGATGTGTAATTGATTTCCAGCCTCAAAGAAAGCAAAATTTCTATTACTAGAGTCACTTATGACCTTCTCTGAAAAAATCCAGTTTCATCTTTCATTTACATTTTTCCAGATCCTTACAGTGCCTTAGAGACTGAGAGCCACTGGCCCATTAGTTTTAATCCGGCTGCCAGAAAAAACTCAGAGCCAACTTCATACTCTTTTATAATAATAACTGTATTAGGTTGGGCAGCTGGTATGTTTGCTTTATCTTTTTCCAATATGGAGGCTGAGCCTTATATCCATGACTTCTGAAAGTTTAAAATACTTTCTGAAATGAGATAAACTCTATAACCAAAACATAACCATGACAGAGCCCTATTTGATACTTCTGGCTACTGTTTTCTTTTTTTTGAGACTGAGTCTCAGAGGTGCCATCTCGGCTCACTGCAAGCTCCGCCTCCCAGGTTCACACCATTCTCCTGCCTCAGCCTCCCAAGTAGCTGGGACTACAGGTGCCTGCCACCACGCCTGGCTAATTTTGTTTTTGTATTTTTAGTAGAGATGGGGTTTCACTGTGTTAGCCAGGATGGTCTCGATCTCCTGACCTCATGATCTGCCCGCCTCGGCCTCCCAAAGTGCTAGGATTACAGGCGTGAGCCACTGCGCCCCAGCTCTGGCTACTGTTTTCAATGTCACTTTGCTTTTCAGATTTTTCTTAGAATTTCTCAATGTCTTTTCCTCCTCCTTCAAACCATTAACTGTGAATAGTTTCTTTATTCTTCCCCATTTTTGGAAAAGTAATTAACTACCTTTGATTAAAAGGCATACAATTAAATCACAGGTCTTGTAACTGGCATAATCATTCTCCTTTTTAAAATCAGCACCTTTAAGCATATTAAAGTATAAAATACATCTTAAAGGAATTCAAAATCAGGACTGTTCATCATTGTGCATTCAAGGGGCCATAATACTTAAGGGGAGCCAGGTGTGGTAACTCCTGTCTGTAATCTCAGCACTTTGGGAGGCTGAAGTGGGAGGACTGCTTGAGCCCAGGAGTTCGAGACCAGCCTGGGCAATACAGTGAGACACCACCTCTTTAAAAAAGCGTAGTCAGGCATGGTGGCACATGCCTGTGATCCTAGCTACACATGAGGCTGAGGTGGGAGGATTGTTTGAACCCAGAAGATCACGGCTGCAGTGAGCCATGATGGTGCCACTGCACTCCAGCCTGGGCAACAGAGTGAGACTGTCTCAAAAAAGACAAAAAGGCCAAGCATGGTGGCTCACACATGTAATCCCAGCACTGTGAGAGGCCGAGGCAGGCAGATCACCTAAGGTCAGGAGTTCGAGACCAGCCTGGCCAACATGGCAAATCCTGTCTCTACTAAAAATACAAAAATTAGCTGGGTGTGGTGGCGTGCACCTGTATCCCAGCTACTTAGGAGGCTGAGGTAGGGGAATCACTTGAACCCAGGAGGCGGAGGTTGCAGTGAGCCAAGATCGTGCCACTGCACTCCAGCCTGGGAGACAGGGAGAGACTCCATCTCAAAAAAATAAAAAAAAAGAAAGACAAAAAAATACTTAGGAGGACAACAATTCAGATCATAGATACTGTTGTAGTAAGTACGCTACAATTTTAGAATTTCATAGGAAATGGGACATAAAGGGTCCTGTGCTATCAAAATAAGTATATTACAACAATTTTCCAATTCATGCAAGTCAAGTGTCTTGAGAAATGGCTGCTTTTTCTAATTTGCACAAAGTTTATGCACTAGCAGAGGCTCTATTCTGAATCCCTGATGTGTGATGGCAAATGTGATTTTCCAGGATCACCATCGACACTATCCTCCGGAACCCAACCCAATCTGAAACACCTAAATCAGTCACTTTTTCTCCCCCTGGCTGATCAGCAAGTTCTAGAAGACTTCCACAGCCCTTCTACATCCTGTTTTCCTTTTAATGTTTCATGCCACAATGTAAGTCCTTGGCTCTCATACTTTGTGGCTGACCACTTTGTCAAATGCCCTTATCAATATTCTTCCTCTAAAGCTACTATTTATTTTTATATATACTAATATTTACAAATACACACACACACAATTCTTATATACAGTTGTAAACTATAGCTACTAATACTTCTACCAAATGTTAAACACTATGCACTCTCATTTAATCTTCAAATTCAGAATCAAATATAATTATTACCCCAACTATGCAGATGTAAAAACTGAGGCTTAGAGACAGCAAATGAATACCTAAGGCCATAAAGTAAACAACCAGAACAGACATTTGAATCAGCTGATAATCACCATGCTGCTTTTATGTCCCTTCCTTTCCCAAAAGTTGGCACAGCCCGGCACAGTGATGCATGCCTATAGTCTCAACTACTCAGGAGGCTGAGGTGGGAGGATCACATGAGCCCAGGAGTTTGAGGCTACAATGTGCCACCATCACACCTGTGAATAGCCACTGCACTCCAGTCTGGGCAACACAGCAAGACCCTGTTTCCTAAAAAATAACAGCTGGCACTTACCAACAGCCTCTCTAATCAAAGTCAACCCTGTTTACAGGCTTTAAGGTGTCCCAGCATTTAGCTCCCCCACCTTAAGAGCTTCAGTTGTGCTTACTAGTAAGCTAAGTAAACCCAAACGTTCTTTCTTTTACAAGGCTTGCTATATTTCACCTTCAAGTCTTCAAGAAATAAAACCTTTTCATTCATCTTTTCCAATGAGTCTTCCCAGACAAGTAACATCTGACTAAAAACAAAACCAAAATCTACCAAGTCAATAGGTCAATAGGTCAATAAGCGCTACTTCAAGAAAATAAACAGCTACATTTACTGAGTACTCAGTGCATCCAGACCCAGTTCTAAGAGCTTTAAACATATTAACTAACTGGATCCTCACACCAATCCTATGAAGGTACTGTCATTAACTTGTTTTTCAGATAAAGTTGAAATGAGGCTTAGATTACAGAGCTAATAAGAACAGCTGGGATTGGAATTTAGGCAGTCAGGCTCTAGAACTCAGGGTTGTAACACTACCCAGTGATGCCCCCTATTCCTATTTCCACTACCACCTAGTTTCAATGCCATACATTATGAATGATATGAAAGAATACAATCCATGGTCTTTTTCTTAAATTTACCATTTAATTAAGAAAACTTTTCTTTAGGAAAATATTAGGAAGATGACAATGATAACATAGCAATTTTACTGAGTGGAATACATATGGTAGTAACATTTGGGGAAGCTCAAGACATTCAACTTTCAAGGGAAAGTATGGTAGGAAAATAATCTTTCCTAAAGCTATCTGGGCAATCATGCAATGATCCTATACAACTGCTTAGTAGTGTACCTTATGCAATTATTTTACTACCTTGCTTCCAAATGACTTCATTTGTTTTCAACCTGCCTCTTTCCTTGGCCTATATGTTCCTGGCAGGTAAAAGAGATGACTAAATGTTCTCCTTTATAAACTGTAAGAGCAGAGTTTAGTGTTCTATAAGCAACTGATACTCTGTGAATGTCAGACGGCAAATGTGAAAACAAAAGCACTACACAATTATTACATAGGTTGTTTTCAAATCATAAGTAACATGCAAAAGAATGCTTTTTATAAAAGACATGAACAAGATCAGAGACTGAGGAAATGTATTCATGCTCAAGAAGCACTGACCCAATGCATAGGTGTCCACATGCACTGATGTCACTCAGACTGTGAAGCTGATTTTGATCCCTCCACCACCCTCAATCTGTAAAAGGCATCCCTGAAAGGGAATCAGCACCTGCCAGTCCTGCACCAGCACTGCCACCTTCTACCTTTTGCTACAGAAACACAGCCACAATGATTGGTGAGGGGGCCTTCTGTCCCTGGCAAAGCTAGCAACAAATTAAGGCTACTTCTGAACTAGGTTAATTCTGAATTTATTTTGCTAACAAGATTTTTTAAACTGTACTGCTTTCTTTATTCATAAAATAAACTGGCACCCCAATAAAGACTTTTTTTCACATGCTTAAGGCTTCACTTTTCACCTAATCAGTACTGATCATGCCACAGAAGATACACTTTAAAAGAATGTTTATGCATAAAAAAGGACTGCACACCTGGATAGCCTCCTGAGACCCAACATCTCACTGTCATGAGTGTTCCTGGGAAAGCAGAAACAAACATTACATGTAAAGAGAAACAAAACAAGCAACATTGGAGGGTCATGTACAAACCATGTATGGTTGAAGAAAAAGATTATTCAGTCCAAAGTACCAAAGACAATATTTGAAACATTTCAACAAGGAAGACAGATGTTGGCAGAAAGAATGCACCCCCAGAATGAAGAGAATATACCCACAATCAATTTTTCTCACATTCTTTAGTATTAAAAAAAAGGCGAAGGCAGAATCATACACAGCACTTAGAAGTCAAGTCAAGTGGTACTTGGAAAACTTAGCCCTGACTTCTGTGGCCAAGATTAGCTTAATTTTCTAGGCTACTGTCTGCCTGACTTCTGAAGAAATCTCTTATTACCAAAACCTCTCAACATGACTGATCGTGTTATTTCCTTTTTCATAGTCCAAAGTATAAGACTTAATCCTTTCAATCTTTTAACGTCCACTCATGTCTACATTTCAAACTCAGATTCTTTTATTTTTTTAGTGGATGATTTATATTGTTCTTTTATTTGTGTTTTTCACTTCATTTGTACAAAACACTTCCTAGGAAACCTGTTTGTAAAGAGACTTTTTGTCTGAAGTAAGATTTTTTTAAATTAAGAACATAATGCTTAACTTTTTTTTTTTTTTTTGAGACAGAGTTTTGCTCTTGTCACCCAGGCTGGAGTGCAATGGTACAATCTCGGCTCACTGCAACCTCCACTTCCCAGGTTCAAGCGATTCTCCTGCCTCAGCCTCCCGAGTAGCTGGGATTACAGGTGCCCACTATCACGCCTGGCTAATTTTTTTGTATTTTTAGTAGAGATGAGGTTTCACCACGTTGTCCAGGCTGGTCTCGAAACTCCTGACCTCAAGTGATCCACCTGGCTCGGCCTCCCAAAATGCTGGGATTACAGGCATGTGCCACTGTGCCTGGCCAAAAACTTTAGCTTATTTGAGTGTCCCACAGACTACTAGCCACACAGGTATGTAATTTTCGAGTATCTGGCCTGGGCTAATGCTTCGTTGGAACTGTTTTCTTAATACTCAACTAATTTAAGATCTTTCTTTTCATCCAGTGTTGGCACTAATTGTACCATCACTTTTGCCTCCATTACCTTCTTTTGCCTGATAAGTTTTTATCTTTGATAGGTGACTGATCTGGAAAACACAGGTGATGCTGCAGTAGAGTTACATATTTACACTCAAAGTTGTTCTTGTTCTTGATTTGATGTCTTTGATCTGGTTTCACACTTTTCCTCCATTGTCCCTGGTATAACAAGGAATTAAGAACTTGGAAGGATGAAATTCATAGGCCAGTAATGGAGGAGACTCACATCTCAGGGTATACTGATCAATTTAGTTACCATGGTAAAGCTTAAAAAATTCTCCAAAATGCTATCTATAAGAAGGAAAGCAGGACAGCTCCTCTTTTCTAAACTACTTTTTAAATTCTTCTTAGTGGATCTCTTAATGCATGTATAGACTGTGTCAACAGTTACTAAAGACTTCATTCAACTTTGAATCTGCCAAGCCTTGCTATTAGTGATTAGCTTATTCCTTATTGAAGGTATCTTCCCTGGATTGACTGTTGCTGCAAAGATGGTGAGGCAGTCATGATTAAAGGACAATACAGTGTTCCACAATGATCAGGCGAGAGAAACTTTGTGTGGCGAGAGATAATATTGCAAAATTCCTTATAGGATCCCAGCTTTGGAATCTCACAGTAAGATCCCCTTCCACAAAACCCGTGAGAAGGAGAAACGGTTAGGGAAGTTGAGAGAAAGGTTATATAGGAAAAAAAACCCCAAAAATCTAGCTCAACATTTTATGAGCTATAAGAAGTTATGATTTGTTATTTTATAATCTGACATGCTTAAAATGGCAAATAAAGATGAGGTGAACAAGGACAAACAAAGGGTAGGACCAATGGCATACCTCACTGCAGTGGTAGTATCAAATTTCTCCTTACCTTTCCTAATTCAAATTGCATTTTTGTAATTCACCATGTAGAAATTACCCAAGTTAGATTTAAGTGGCATTCTTAAAATGCCACATTAAAAGAAAAAAAAAAACCCAGACGGCAAACGGAATAACATGTTTTGCCAAGCTACATATGTAGTAGTCATTTTCATCTGGGTCATCTAAAAGTAACATGGCACTTTTACAAAAAAAAAGCTAATCATCCAATTGCAAATGAATTTTAAAAGAGAACACATTACCATTTATTTAAAGCTTACAACTTGATAGCTTAAAAAATATATATTTTCTTCACTTATCTAAAACAAAATTAACAGGAACTGAGATGTCCCCAGCTATAAGAAGAGTATATACCTTTTTCTTTTGGCACTACCAGTATCAGAGGTGGCTGAAGAGATCATGCTGTCTCCGTCCTCGATATCGTCTCTCCTGGCAAGCTCTTTCTTCTTTGCCTAAAACAGAGCAGATCTCAGGAGTTGAGCTCATGTGCCAAACACTCCTCTGAATATATGAATGTTAAAGAGCTAGACATATCAGATTCACTCAGAAAAATACAATCACATGCAGGATGTACAAAATGAAAGAGTCATTAAACATTTTCAATAACCAATTTTAACAAAAGCCTGCATGACAAAAAGAGTAGGTTAAAAAATGGTTCTACAGGGTTGAGGAGTCAATACCAGCAGAGCATTTATGACTATAATGGGTGCTAACTGGTTAAAAGCACTGAGGCAAGCTGTAGAAGCATCCTGCTCTGGTTGTCCTATTTAAGTAAAACCAACTCAAAGAGGGCCTTTGGTACTCCTGACTTCTAAGGGGCAGTGTGGCTAAGAATAAAGTTTAATGCAAGAAGTGAAAGATCTACTTTTCAACACATGCATTTTTAAAGGCCTTCTGCCAAACAGAGCTGAAAGTCCAAGCACAGCAGGCTTAGGGAATGTACAGAGTACTAAAAAGGTAATAATACCTGAAAGTCTCAGCACTAAGGTTCACTGTTAATCATATAAAATGAAGATT
This sequence comes from Homo sapiens, assembly GCF_000001405.40. NCBI lineage: Eukaryota > Metazoa > Chordata > Mammalia > Primates > Hominidae > Homo > Homo sapiens. The sequence continues at coordinate 52,627,936 of NC_000003.12, forward strand.
CTATGGGTGATCTAAAATTGCCTTTGTTGCTTCATTGTTCAGAGATTTGCCTTTCCAGAAAGATTCTACCAAAAACTGTCAGATAGACCCAATTTGTATTTCATATCTACCTTTTCATCTTAAAACCCCTAGATGAACCATGACCTGAGACATCCTTCCAAGGGTTCTCAGAGAGGATCTGATAAATTCATAGACAATATACAAAGATTAATTTGCTTTCAGATGTCCTTTCTGATAGAATCAGCCCTACTTTAACAAAGTCTAGAACCAAAGGAATAAAATCTAAATGATGGAATATCATCGGTGATTGCAGGGTGACTTCATGAGAATCCCAAAATTACTGTACAGGGACCAATCCCTGCTTCCTCCAATCAGAAGGCTAACCCCATCTCAATTATTATTTCTACTCTATATGGCCATGACAACTCCAAAAAAAAAAAAAATTCAGCAGTACTTGAGGATGAAATACATAATAAATATATATTATAATACATAAGTATAATATATAAAATACATATTTTATATATATATTATATATATTGTTTGTTTGTTTGAGACAGGGTCTCACTTGGTTGCCCAAGCTGGAGTGCAGTGGTGCAATCTCGGCTCACTGCAACCTCCACTTCCCAGGCTTAAGCAACCCTCCCACCGCAGCCTCCTGAGTAGCTGGGACTACAGGCGTGTGCCATCAGGACTGGCTAATTTTTGCAGTTTTTGTAGAGATGGGGGTCTCGCTATGTTGCCCAAGCTGGTCTTGAACTCCTGAGCTCTAGTGATTCTCTCACCTTGACCTCCCAAAGTGCTGGGATTACAGGTGTGAGCCACCGCACCCAGCCAAATGATGTAATATTACTGCTGAGGGTGGGGGGGATCACACATCTTACTAGAACACACTCAAAACATGCAAAATTATTTTAATCATATATACAACAAACTCAGCAAAAACAATAAATCACACCTGCATAACTTGCTGCAATTTTAGAACTCGCTTGTAGATGGCTGAATTGGGCACATTATAGCGTTTGGCATTTTCAAACATTAAATTCAGATCACACTCCAAATGATCTAAAGTTTCATATTCTTGATTCTTCAGTTTTGTTCTGTGAAAGACAAAGAAATTGCTAGAATTTTCTGTCATGAAAATTATGAAACATTCTTCCTGAAAGTCCAATGCAAAATCTTGACAAGCACTACATGGTATCTTTACTGGTAATACTGATTAGGAACTTAAAAATGACTTTTGAGATACAAAGTAAGGAGGCAAAAGCACCATTACATTAAGGTAATATGACAGTTTACTTGAAAATCCAAAAGAATAAACTAAAACACTATAAGAAATAATAATAAGACCTAGTAAAGACCTAGCAAAGAAGACAATTACAAAGCAAACATTCTACTTGGAAAAAACCCTAATGGAAAAATCCTAATAGTTCATACGTGAACCTTATGAAGGGACGAAAATTAGGGAGGTTTTAAGTGACCTCAATGAACAATCATGGTGATCTACCCATTTCTGAAAATAAAAGGCCATTCTAGTTCATAAGGGTTAAAGAGACAGTACTGACAGTGCAAAGTATTTATAAACAATAAAGAGTGGTCTTATGATGGTAAAAGAGAGATAGATATGTCAGAGTCCATTCATTTCTATTCTTCCAATATAAACACATAATAACTTGGCAGCTTAAAGCTGGGATTTTTACTTAAAAGTCTTAAGATTCCAAGTATCTCACTTAAACACAATCATTATTATTGTATCAACTATCATAAAGCCCTTATGTACTTTGTACAAAGTAGAGTCACTATTTGCTGTAACACTATATGGATTTAGACAGGACAGACTTTAAATCTTTTGATTGTAGCATTTGCACGTTAACCATCAAAATCACAAAGACAGTTAACAATAATATGTATAAACAGCTTCACAGAATAAGTGAATTTTCTCTTAGAATGGCATCTGCATGTAAAGTTTTATTTAAAATTTACCAAAATCATATTCAGATTCTGTGTTGTGCTCCAACAGATGAATATTAGAGAACATCTCTGTGACAAAGCAAACAACAACTAAGCACAAATTCAGCTCTCAGTACCAGGTTGTGTAGCTAGCACCTAGAGTTCAAATTACAGCCTCAGACTTGTTCCCGTCAACTCAAAGGGTAGAGGGCTAGATGTTCTCAATACCCTCAAACAGACAGAAAACCCAAACTTGCAAATGACAACGAATAATAAACCTGCAGATATTTATCAGATTACTATTAATCAAGGGTAGTGGGGGAGGAAAAAGAAAAAAAAATAGGGGGGACAAATCCCAGTACAGCAGAAGGTAGCATATGGAGTCCACACTGTCTAGTTCCTGCTTACTCTTCCATTTTTGTTGCTTTTGGGGAAACTCAACTATCTTCCTTCTGCCAATAGATCTTCCTAGGGGTACACTGTACAATATAGTAGCCACTAGCCATGTGTGGCTATTTAAATTAAAATTAAATAAAACTTAAAATCTAATTCCTTAATCACACTAGCCACATTTCAAGTGCTCAATAGCCACATATGACTAGTGTCTATCACATTGGAATATTGATAATAAAACATTTTCATCAACGCAGAAAGTTCTGTTGAATAGCACTGCCCCTAGACCTCCCTGTTGCTCTGTAGACCACAATGGAAGGGATCGTAGGCACAGTAAGGCTCCTGTCAGGCACCACTGGCTCACAATCCGCGGAAGGCAGCAACATTAGACATAATAGTTTACCCTTCAGAACTTTAGTGTGCTGGGCTTCAACAACTTCCCTATTCCTTACTCTCCCCTGTGTGCCACACAATTGCCATTATAAATTAGAAAGGGGAGGGGAGATATTACTGACTTAAAGCAAAGTTTATATTAGAAAATTTCAACTTGGAAGAAGGCTGTGTTGGCAGGGGACTGAGCTGGCTAAGAATTTGTCTTCTTTTGAACTAAGCTACTGTAATAGACTATTTAAATAATTTAAAAATAATAATGAAGGAGAAAGGAAACCAAGAACAAAAATTGTTCAAAATTTTGGACAGGGAACTTCTTAACATCTGCAAGACTATCACTATCTTTTCCCAACGCAAAGAATATAAAAGACATATTTCTAGGCTATTTCTGTAATGAATCTCAGCCTTAATTTCCATGTTATTTTAATAAGACCAAAAAAACTAATCTTCTGTATCCTACTTGTATACAGGACCTCCAAAGTCTGGATTAAATAAAAGCACCATAAATCCTACTGATCAACGTCAGGCGTGGTGACTCACGCCTGTAATCCCAGCACTTTGGGAGGTCAAGGCGGGCAGATTGCTTGAGCTCAGGAGTTTGAGGCCAGCCTGGGCAATATGGCAAAACCCTTTCTCTATTAAAAAAAAAAAAAAATTATTACTGATCAAATGGTGAAAACAAAAGTTACAAATGCAAAAGCATGAAACATACTTTGTTAGCCAGCCTTATTTCCTAGAATCCAGCAAGCACATTAAATATCTGCCATGAAGCCAACTTACTGTTACTTAGCTAAGGTAGTTTTACCTGCTTCTTGACTCTATCTGGGTATTCTACTATAAAGCATCATATTTTATAATATTACTTCTTTCTTTTTGTTGAGACAGGGTCTTACTCTGTTACCCAGGCTGGAGTGCAGCAGCATGATCTTGGCTCACTGCAACCTCCATCTCCCATGTTCAAGTGATACTCCCACGTCAGCCTCCCAAAGTGCTGGGATTACAGATGTGAGCCACCTCGCCTGGCCAACTTTTGATATTTTTAAGTTTATTTTTAATTTAAATAAACAAGAAGGCACAGCGGGACCAATTAAACTATTTTTCTGTTCTTTATACCAAAAAGTCTAAGAATTTTTATTGATTTCCTGAAAGCAATAAATATCTTTGAAAATTTGTAATGTAAGAAAGGAGCTTGGAATGTACAGGTAATATCAAAATTCACAGAGACTGATTCAAAGATGGAAGGCAAACCAAGTGATTTTGAACACATTCATTTGATTCCAACTTAAGATTTTTGGTTAACTTTCCTTAAAGATATTTATTCTTTTGAATGTTTTGAATTTTTATGATTCTTTGGGAATGGTCACCTATTCTGCTTTTTATAGAAACAGAAATTTTAGCTATTGTGAATGCTGCTGCTGTGAACACAGGTTTACAAATACCTCTTTGAGACCCTGCTGTTTTTACAGAAACAGAAACTAGGTCAGGATCTATTTAAAAATAAATTAAAAGCTCATGAATTTTGTGTCTGTCTGGAAATCAGGATTTTTGACTTTCAGAGATATCATACAGAGTCCAAAAATATACTCCATGACATTATGGATTTTTTTTAGCTTTCACAGAAGAGATTTTAAAAGGCCGGGTATGGTGGCTCACACCTGGAATCCCAATATTTTGGGAGGCTGAGGTGAGAGGATTATTTAAGGCCAGAAATTCAAGACCTGGGCAACAAGCAAGACTTGGTCTCTACAAAAACATTTAAAAAAATTAGCTGGGCATGTTGGCATGTGTCTGTGGTCCCAGCTACTTGGGAGGCTGAGGCAGAAGGATCCCTTGAGCCCAGAGGTTCGAGTTGATCATGCCAGCTTACGCAACAGAGCAGAGACCCTGTCTCTTTAACAAAAAGAAAAAAGCAAATTTGATATTGGGAGGTATGGATAGAAAATGGGCACTGAAGAAAAGGTTACTATCCCCCCCAATTTGAAAAATTTTGGTATAACACAAAACTTACCACCTTGACCTTTTTTTTTTTTTTTTTTAAGAGATGGAGTCTCACTCTGTCACCCAGGCTGGAGTGCAGTGGTGCGACCTAGACTCACTGCAATGCAACCTCCACCTTCCCGGTTCAAGCAATTCTCCTACCTCAGCCGCCCGAGTAGCTAGGATTACTGGCTCCTGCCACTACGCCTGGCTAATTTTTGTACTTTTAATGGAGACGGGGTTTCACAATGTTGGCCGGGCTAATCTCAAACTCCTGACCTCAAGTGATTTGCCCACCAAATCACTGGCTAACCAAAGTGCTGGGATTATAGGTGTGAGCCTCTGCACCCAGCCTACCTTGACCATTTTTAAGTGTACAGTTTAGTAGTATAAAATACTTCCATAATGCTATGCAATTAATATGACCATCCATCTCTAGAACTCTTTCCATTTTGTAAGACTGACACTCTATACCCATTAAACAGTAACTTCCTGTTTCCCTCTTCCCCTAGTCCCTGGCAACTACTATTCTATTTTGTCTCTGATTTTTTTTTTTAATGTTCTGGATCAGCGTCTATGTCTCTATGACTTCTGATTGCACAAATACTCATATCAATAGAATCATTCAGTATTTGTATTTTGTGACTGGGTTATTTCACTTAGCATAATGTCCTCAAGCTTCATCCATGTTAGAGCGTTTCAAAATTTCTTTTAAAGATTGAATAATATTCCATTGTATGTACACACCATTTTGCGTATCCCCTCATCTCTTGATGCATACTTGAGCTTCCATGTTTTAGCTATTGTGAATGCTGCTGCTGTGAACACAGGTTTACAAATACCTCTTTGAGACCCTGCTTTCATTTCTTTGGGGTACATATGCAAAATGGAATTTCTTAATCACATGGTAATTCTGTGTTTAATTTTTTGAGGAACTGCCACACTGTTTTCCACAGCGTCTATACCATTTTACATTCCCACTATCTGCACAGAGGTTCCAATTTCTCCACATACACACCAATAATTATTATTATTACTTTTTTAAAGTAACCATCCTAATGAGTGCAAAGTGGTATCACACAAAAGTTCTGAACTGCATTTTCCTAATAATTAGTGATGCTGAGCACCTTTTCATGTGCTTATTAGCCAGCTGTATATTTTCCTTGGAGAAAGGTCCATTCAAGACCTTTGCCCATTTCTGAATTGGGTTTTTTTTTGTGGTTGAGACGTCCTACTATTTTTAATGACACTATTGTGATTTAAGTATTCTGTCTGGTAGCCCAATGATCACTTTAACATTTTCTAAATAGAAAAAAGAGAACAAGATGAATCATCTTTCTGGTATGGTTGCGGTTAATGAATTCTCCAGGAACTGACTATGCTTATCCTGGGGTTTCAACTATAGATACATAACTTAAATACAGATTAACTGTCATAATTAAAATATTAATAAAAGAGGTAGGCTGAAAGATTTTCGTACTTTGCTCAGTTATAAGATAATGAACAGTTAAGGCTGGGTACAGAGGCTCACACCTGTAATCCCAGCACTTTGGGAGGCCGAGGTGGGCAGATCATGAGGTCAGGAGATCGAGACCATCCTGGCCAAAGTGGTGAAACCCAGTCTCTAATAGAAATACAAAAATTAACTGGGTGTGGTGGTGCGCACCTGTAGTCCCAGCTACTCAGGAGGCTGAGGCAAGAGAATCACCTGAACCCAGGAGGCGGAGGTTGCAGTGAGCCGAGATCACGCCACTGCACTCCAGTCTGGCAACAGACTGAGACTCCGTCTCAAAAAAAAAAAAAAAAAAAAAGGTAATGAACAGTTAAAATTTGAGGTTAAAAAAAAACACCATTTTTACCTTTAATATCCTTATCCATTTTAGGAAGAAATACATTATGTGCAGGCTCAGCCACAACAAAATAAAATTATACTGAATAATGTAGAAGACATCTTACCGGATCTGTTGTAGTGATATGGGCATTTTAATTTGCTGGTAATAATCAGGGTATTTTTTCTTTGAAGGCAAATGGTAAAAAGGTTCAGCTATTAGCTGCCCTTGGTTATTCCGACAACTCCTAACTGTGTCATAAAGCTGATAAAAAGGATTTGAAACATCCATAAAGGAAGTGATGCTTTCTGCTTCTGACTCTCCCTCTTCATAGCGTGCAGCTGGAAAGACAAAAAAAGTATTTATAAAGGGACGAATGAGATGAAGAAAGAACCATACTTTAAAGTTCATTTAACAACCTTCCAGATTGAACTAAATATATTTGAAAACTATTATTACTATTATTTTTGAGACAGGGTCTGGCTTTGTCACCCAGGCTGGAGTGCAAGGGTGCGATCTTGGCTCCCTGCAGTCTCTGCCTCTGGGACTCAAGCAGTTCTCCCAGATCAGTCTCCCGAGTAGCTAAGAAGACAGGTGCACACCATCACACCCAGCTAATTTTTGGATTTTTCAGTAGAGATGGGGTTTCGTCATGTTGCCCAGACTGGTCTCAAGGTCCTGAGCTTAGGCAATCTGCCAGCCTCAGCCTCCTAAAGTGCTGGGATTACAGGTGTGAGCCACCACGCCTGGCCCTTTTTTAAAAAAATTCTAAGATAAAGGGAATAATTACTTTAAAAAAATAGTCTCTAAGGCTGGGTGTGATGGCTCACGCCTGTAATCCCAGCACTTTTGAGAGGCCAAGGTGGGTGAATCACAAGGTCAGGAGTTCGAGACCAGCGTGGCCAACATGGTGAAACCCCGTCTCTACTAAAAATACAAAAATTAGCTGGGCATGGTGGCATGCACCTGTAATCCCAGCTACTCAGGAGGCTGAGGCAGAAGAATTGCTTGAACCCAGAAGGCGGAGGTTGCAGTGAGCCGAGATTACACCACTGTACTCCAGCCTGGGTGACGGATGAAGACTCCATCTCAAAAACAAATACAAAAACAAAAAAACCTCTCAAATGTTTATTAAAGATAATGCTAAAAAGGCTTAACATAATTGCATGTTTAGAGAAATATTACATAGAAATAGAATATTAAATAGTAAAAGTACAATAGTTTTAAAGGTTGCAAAACAGTTTCTTTCTGAAATGTGCTTTCTTCAGAGACTGTTTGCTATGCTTGGCCAAAAGGAGCAAGTAACCATTCAGAGATCCCAGAACTAAAACAGTAACATGAAGTTTAAGATAGTATAAATTTAGATTGGGCTGATTCTTTTTTATTTATTTCTTATTTATTTATTTTTGAGACGGGGTCTCACTCTGTCGCCAGGCTGGAGTGCAGTGGCGTGATCCTGGCTCACTGCAACCTCCGCCTCCTGAGTTCAAATGATTCTCCTGCCTCAGCCTCCTGAGTAGCTGGGACTACAGGCATGTGCCACCACGCCTGGCCAATTTGGTTTTTTTTTGTATTTTTAGTAGAGATGGGGTTTCACCATATTAGCCAGGATGGTCTCGATCTCCTGACCTCGTGATCTGCCCGCCTCGGCCTCCCAAAGTGCTGGGATTACAGGCGTGAGCCACCACGCCCAGCCTAGATTGGGCTGATTCTATCAGACATGATTTAGCCTTAAATCTCTGTGACTTTGCCCACTGATTTAAAACATCCCCCAGGACTATTCCCTTGCTGAGGGAATTTTTAGGTAGAAGCAAATCATAAAAACACCAAAGCAAACAAAACGTAATTATTTTTATAAAAATAAAAAATATGTTGCTCATTTCCCCAAACTCCTAAACAGTGTGTAAGGACCATAATTTAAATTTTTCTTGATGGATCAGAATAAACATATAGTTGCTATGTACTCTCAGGTAAGAACCATAATCATTTATTAAGAATTTAGGCTGGGCACGGTGGCTCATGCCTGTAATCCCAGCACTTTGGGAGGCCAAGGCGGGCAAATCATGAGGTCAGTAGTTCAAGACCAGCCTGGCCAACATGATGAAACCCCGTCTCTACTAAAAATAAAAAAAATTAGCCGGGTGTGGTGGCAGGTGACTGTAATCCCAGCTACTCGGGAGGCTGAGGCAGGAGAATCACTTGAAACCAGAAGGCGGAGATTGTAGTAAGCAGGGATTACACCACTGTACTCCAGCCTGGGCAAAAGAGTGAAACTCTGTCTCCAAAAAAAAAAAAAAAAAAAAAAAAAAAAAGAATTTAATTAGGCCAGGCGCAGTGACTCACACTTGTAATCCTGCCTGGGCGACAGAGTGAGACTCCGCCTTAAAAAAAAAAAAAAGAATTTAATTATGTGTTAAGAGCTTGATAAGTACCAGCCTCAGGTAATCCTAAAACCAACACACAAGATGGGTATTATTTCTTTTTCAAATGGGAAAACTGGGCATATGAGGTTAATTACTTGCACAAGTTCAGCCACCACATAAAGCAGTTGAAGGGGATTAGGAACCAGAGTCATGGAGCTAGAAGCAGATAAGAATTTGAAACTAGTCTTTTCTGACTCTAATACCTCTGATCTCTCCCCTAAAGAGCCTGCAGTTGGATTTACACCTAGGTATATATTTTGTTGCTACTGTAAGCGGCATCTTTTAAAAAAACTGTCAACTGTAATCCTTATACATCTTTTCTGATCCTTACACCTTATTGTTGTCACTGTAGGCTGGCTAGTACTGTGACCAACAAAGGTAACAGTATTACCTTGTTTCTGTTGGTAAGGGAAATGCTGTTACCTTTTCTCCATTAAAAATGGAGATACCCTTGGTGGGCACTGTGGCTCACACATGTAACCCCAACAATTCGAGAGGCAGAGGTGGGTAGCCTGCCTGAGCTCAGGCGTTTGAGACCAGTATGGGCAAAATGATGAAACTCCATCTCTATCACAAATATAAAAAATTTGCTGGGTGTGGTGGCATGTGCCTGTGGTCCCAGCTACGCCAGAGGCTGATGTGGAAAGATTGCTTGAGCCTCGGAGGTGGAGGTTGCAGTGAGCTGAGATCACGCCACTGCACTCCAGCCTGGGTGACACAGTAAAACCCAGTCTCAAGAAAAAAAGAAGGCTGGGCGCAGTAGCTCATGCTTGTAATCCTAGCACTTTGGGAGGCTGAGGCGGGCGGATCATTTGAGGCCAGGAGTTCGAGATCAGCCTGGCCAACATGGCAAAACCATGTCTCTACTAAAAATACAAAAAAAAAAAAAAAAAAAAAAAATTAGCCGGGCATGGTGACGGGCTCCTATAATCCTAGCTACCCGGAGGCTGAGGCAGGAGAATCACTTGAACCTGGGAGGCAGAGGTTGCCATGAGCGGGGATTGCGCCATTGCACTCCAGCCTGGGCAACAACAGCGAAACTCCGTCTCAAGAGAAAAGAAAAAAGAAAAAAAGGAGATACTTTATATCAATATCCCCCTCTCTTACTAGTTAGCAAATAATTTTTATCTTGAATGGGAACTGAAACAATTATCAAATGCATCTGCTGAGCAAATCATATGATTTTACTCTTATAATTTGTTACTGTGGTAAAGATTACTTTTATCTTTTCTAATCCTAAATCCAACTGTGTCCTTATATACTATCTTTTATACACACTGCTAGACAGTGTGCTTATATTTTGTGCAGTTTTGATGTCTAGGTTATATTAGATTCACAGGTTATGTTAGATTCACAGAATGAACTGCGGAGCTCTTTTTCTATTCTCTGCATGAGTTTATTTAAAATTCTGTTCCTTAAATGTTTGGCCTGGTATTTTCTAAGTGGGAATATTTCATTTTATTCTTTTTTTTTTTTTTTGAGACGGAGTCTCGCTCTGTCACCAAGGCTGGGGTGCGATGGCGTGATCTCAGCTCACTGCAACCTCCGCCTCCTGGGTTCAAGCAATTCTCCTGCCTCAGCCTCCTGAGCAGCTGGGATTACAGGCGTGCACCACCATGCCTGGCTAATTTTTCTATTTTTAGTAGAGACGGGGATTCACCATGTTGGTCAGGCTGGTCTCAAATTCCTGACCTCGTATTCTCTCTTTTTTTAAGAGACAGAGTCTCGTTCTGTTGCCAAGGCTAGAGTGTAGTGGAATAATCATAGCTTACGGCAAACTTGAACTCCTGGGCTCAGGCAATCCTCCTGCCTTAGCCTACCAAGTAGGTAGGACTACAGACATGCACCACACCACGCCCGGCTAATTTTTCTTTTTCTTTTTGCAGAGATGAGGTCTCGCTATGTTGCCCAGGCTGGTCTTGAACTCCTGGACTCAAGTGATCCTCCTGCCTCTGCCTCCCAAAGTGTTGGGATTACAGGTGTGAGCCAGCCTTTTTATTCTTGAATCCATTTTAGGTGCTTATTTTCTAGAAATCTGGTCATCTAAATTTTTAAATATATTTGCATAACGTTATTCACATTTTTTTTTGGGGGGGGGGGGCGGGGGACAAAGTTTTGCTCTTGTTGTCCAGGCTGGAGTGCAATGGCACAATCTTGGCTCACAGCAACCTCCGCCTCCCGGGTTCAAGCAATTCTTCTGCCTCAGCCTCCCAAGTACCTGGGATTGCAGGCATGTGCCACTATATGTATTTATAGTAGAGACAGAGAAAGTTTCTCCATGTTGGCCAGGATGGTCTCGAACTCCCAACGTCAGGTGATCTGCCCACCTCAGGCTCCAAAAGTGCCGGGATTACAGGCGTGAGCCACCAAGCCTGGCCTTATTCACACATTCTTTTTTAAAACTCTGTATGCTCTCCTCCCCGCCAATATTGTTTATTTATGCCTTTTTGACAATCTCACCTCAGACTTATTTTTATTAAGGGTTTTAACAGAATAACTTTTGATTTTATTGATCTTTCCTGTTAAAGGTTTCCTTTCTTTTCTTTTTTTTTTTGGAGGCAGGGCTGGAGTGCAGTGGTGGGATCACGACTCATTGTAGCCTCAACCTCCCAGGCTCAAGTGATCCTCCCAACTCCGCCTCTGGAGTAGCTACATATGGCTTATTTTTTAAATTTTTCTTGTAGAATTAGCTGGGTGTGGTGGCAAGTACCTGTGGTCCCAGCTACTAGGGAGGCTGAGGTGGGAGGACTGCTTGAGCCCAGGAGTGGAGGTTGTAGGGAGCCAAGATCACGCCACTGCTCCAGCCTGGGTGACAGAGGGAGACCCTGCCTTAAAAATTTTTTTTTTTTTTTTTGTAGAGGCAGGGTGTTTCTATGTCGAGCAGGCTGGTCTCAAACTTCTGGACTCAAGTGATGCTCCTGCCTCAGCCTCTAAAAGTGCTGGGATAAGAGGCGTGAGCCAGTGTACCAGCCTGCATTGTTTTAAGCCACTAAGTATGTGGTACTGTGTCAGCAGCAATAGGAAACAAATACTTACATGAAGAAGTGTGTTCAAATCTCTATCTTCATTCGTTTTCTGTTTAGCTCTTGAGAGAAGAGGGCTTCCAGACTAAGGGTAGTGTTTTGAATTTCTCTGTAAAGTTTCATCTGCTTGTTTTACATATTTTGAGCTCTTCTACAATTTAACTTGCTGATGAAATTAACCTTCTACCATCATTAGGCAATCCTTTTTATCTGTGTAATGATCTCTGTTTGAAAGTCCATCTTATCAAAAGTCAGTGTAGCTACTCTGGTTATTATTCGCCTGGTTATTATTCGCCTGGTGTATCTTTTAGCCATCCTTTTCTTTTTTTCAAGACAAAAGCCCAATTTTATTATTTTTATTTTTTATTTATTTTTTGAGACAGGGTCTCACTCTGTTGCCCAGGCTGGAGTGGAGTGGTGTGATCACTTCAGGCTCAACCTCCCTGGGCTCAGGATCCTCCCATCTCAGCCTCCCAAGTAGCTGGGAATACAGGCATGCACCAACACGCCTGAATAAATTTTGTATTTTTTGTAGAGACAGCGTTTTGCCATGTTGCCCAGGCTGGTCTTGAACTTCTGGGCTCAAGCAATCCTCCCACCTAGGCCTCCCAAAGTGCTGGGATTATGGGTGTGAGTCACCACACCTGGTCTTATCCATCCTTTTAGATTCAACTTTCTTATGTTTTTATATTTGATGTGTCTCTTGTAACCAGCCATATAACCTCTTTTTCTTCCCCCCAAGACAGAGTCTTGCTCTGTTGCCCAGGCTGGAGTACAGTGGTGTGATCTCGGTTTACTGCAGTCTCCACTTCCTCGGTTCAAGTGATCTTCCTAAGCCTTCCGAGTAGCTGAGACTACAGGTGCGCTCCACCATACCTGGCCAATTTTTTGTATTTTTAGTAGAGACACGGTTTCACCATGTTGGCCAGGCTGGTCTTGAACTCCTGACCTCAAGTGATCCACCCCCCTCAGCCTCCCAAAGTGCTGAGATCACAGGTGTGAGCCACTATGCCCGGCCGTGTGTCACTTTTATAATCAGTAAAAAACAATGCTAACAAGAAGATAATATTTTTTCAATTTCTGATAAGACCAGGCCCAATTTAAATAAAAAAATACTTAATTCTGTAGATCAATGTTTCAAAAAAGTAAATTTATACATAATAGCCTATAGTGATTATGAAATTTCTATAGGAGATTTAGTTAAAAACAAGATACAACTGGAGAAGTCTGTTGTGTAACATTCAATAATAAAATTGAGGCCAGGCGTGGTGTAATCCCAGCACATTCGGAGGCCGAGGCAGGTGGATCATGAGGACAGAAGTTCAAGACCAGCCTGGCCAATGTGGTAAAACCCCGTCTCTAGTAAAAACACAAAAATTAGCCAGGTGTGGTGGCGCGTGTCTGTAGTCCCAGTTACTCAGGAGGCTGAGGCAGGAGAATCACTTGAACCCGGCAGGCGGACGTTGCAGTGAGCTAAGGTCACACCACTGCACTCCAGCCTGGGCAACAGAGCGAGACTCCATCTCAAAAAAAAAAAAAAAAAGAAAAAAAAAAGAAAGAAAGAAAAGAATATACCAGAATAATTTAATGAAACAAATTTTATCTTTACACATAAAAAAATCTATAGTAAAGGGGAAAATATTATATCAAACTTAAGAGAAAGACAAGCCAAGAAGAAATTAGAGCATACTGAAAATATAAGCTAAAGCCTGAAAATCTAAGATGAATGTGGATTTCTGAGATTTTCTGATGCTTTTACTAGTACTCACTATTTATCATTATAGGTTTTAAACCAGGATCTGCTAAGTTATCAATTATTTTTGCAGAAGTATTATTTACCCAAATATGAGTTTTAAGACAAGATAAAGCATTAACCTTTTGATAGGTCTGACTACCAGAGTACAATCAAATGCAATAAAATAGCATGTACTTCCCAAACCAGCAAACCCTAGGCCAGAAAAAATCACTGCAATTTCATTTAGCTAGAAGGATCCACTAAGAAGGCATTTCGCTAGTCAAAACCTAATGCCTACCAGCTAAAGCAGCATCTTCTTCACTTTCTGAGCCATATTGAAGTGCCATTGTAATTGCTGATAAACGACCTCCTTGTACTGCTCTTTTATTACTACAAAAAAAAAAAAAGCAATTAGACAGGGAAGGATGTTATAATAATTAGGTTACTTTACAGGGAACAGGAACTATTAACAAAGTGTTAAGATGAAAGAAAAATAATTTCTATTCAATTGCCTCCTTAGTTTATCTCTGTACTTAATGGTTCTCATAATCAATCTTAGCCGAGGAAACTATTTTTTTCCTCTTAGAAAAGAGGGAGTGGAAAATAAGGACTCAGTCACAGTTGCTGATAATTATCTTCTAAGATGTTCATATTTTACAATACAAATTCTATTATGAGGCTGGGCGTGGTGGCTCATGCCTGTAATCCCAGCACTTTGGGAGGCCGAGGCAGGTGGAACACCTGAGGTCAGGAGTTTGAGACCAGCCTGGCCAACATGGTGAAACCCCATCTCTACTAAAAATACAAAAAATTAGCCGGGTGTGGTAGTAGGCACCTGTAATCCCAGCTATTCGGGAGGCTGAGGCAGGCGAATCACTTGAATCCAGGAGGCAGAGGTTGCAGAGATTGTGCCACTGCACTCCAGCCTGGGCAACGAGAGCAAACTTCGTCTCAAAAAAAAAAAAAAAAAAAACCAAAAACCAAACAAACAAAAAATTCTATTATGAATTTAAAAAACCTATTAGTATTTAACCTCACATTTTATTGGTAGCTAATATTAAACACTGCCTGCCTGAGAAACAATGCTTAAGCATCGTCTGAGAGGTGATATAAGGCCTACGTTAGTAATTCAATTTTTTTTTTTTTTTTGAGATGGAGTTTCCCTCTGTTGCCCTGGCTGGAGTGCTGTGCCACGATGTCGGCTCACTGCAAACTCCGCCTCCCGAGTTCAAGCGATTCTCCTGCCTCAGCCTCCCAAGTAGCTGGGATTACAGGCACCCGCCACCACACCCAGCTAATTTTTGTAGTTTTTAGTATAGATGGAGTTTCACCATGTTGGCCAGGCTGGTCTGGAACACCTGATCTCAAGTGATTCACCCGTATCAGCCTCCCAAAGTGCTGGGATTACAGGCGTGAGCCACTGTGCCCACCCTAGTAACTCAACCTTTTAAATAAACCATTTGACAACAGATTCTCATTAACAACCAAACTATACCCAAAAATATTCCTTCAAGATAGCCATTGGGCAAATACTAGTATGCCTATCTTTATAAGCACAGGTCAACTCTCAGACTAAACACTCTTTTTCTCACCGGTAATACTTGCTAGTGGGATTTCTCTCTTCACCAAGGCTGCCTTTACTGTGTGAAGGACCTGTCAGTCTGGCTGCAGCCAAGTTGGATGGAGTCCTATCCAGAGATAAGATAAAAAGCTTAGAAACTTGGTAGCTGAAATTAGAGTGCTGGGTAAACAAACACACACACAACCATTTTCTTCTCTTCTAAATAGAAATGCTAAAATACTTCTGAACTTCTACTATGCAGCAGACTCTGCTTCAGGCCCTGGGGACTCTGCGGGGAAGAACAGACCAGGGCTGGTCCTAGAGAGCTTTTGGTCACTGCAGTGACCAGAGGACCTGGTACTGAAACAATGTCAAGGCCAGAGGAAAGCTTTGAAAGTAGTCACCCAACCTTCCCATTTCAGGTAGGGAGAAATGCAATCCTAGAACTAAGACTAGTTCAAGATCACAGTCCTGGCCGGGCGCAGTGGCTCACGCCTGTAATCCCAGCACTTTGGGAGGCCGAGGCGGGTGGATCACAAGGTCAGGAGTTCAAGACCAGCCTGGCCAACATAGTGAAACCCTGTCTCTACTAAAAATACAAAAAGATTAGCCGGGCATGGTGGTGTGTGCCTGAAGTCCCAGCTACTTGGGAGGCTAAGGCAAAAGAATTGCTTGAACCTGGGAGGTGGAGGTTGCAGTGGGCCGAGATTGTGCCACTGCAATCCAGTTTGGGCAACAGAGTGAGACTCTGTCTCAAAAAAAAAAAATCACAGTCCTAGTACAAGGAAAAGCCAGGATGAGACTGGATCTCCTGATACCTGCTAAATAGCCTTACCAAAAATATGAATACATACTACTAATATTATATATAAATACCATACTATTATCTATTCTGTGTAATATTAATATATACCATATATTATATATGTATATTCATATTTGTACAAAGCAATAATATTTGTACAAAGTATATAGTGATGTAAAGTTTTAAAAAATGTTTCTAGTTAAATGAAGCCCTTCAGCAGCAAAGGTGCTAAGAGTTACTACTATCTTCAGAATTATAATATCAACTGTAAGTATCACCTTGAAATGCAACATAAACCGTGTTAATGTTTATTGATTTCACTACCTAGAAAACTCAGCAAATATAAAGGCATTAAGGGTTTTAGACATTTTCTTTTTTTTTTGAGACCGAGTCTCGCTCTGTTACCAGGCTGGAGTGCAGTGGTGCGGTCTCAGCTCACTGTAACCTCTGCCTCCCGGGTTCAAGCAATTCTCCTGCCTCAGCCTCCCAAGTAGCTGTGACTACAGGCATATGCCACCACGCCCGGCTAATTTTTGTATTTTTAGTAGAGATGGGGTTTCACCATGTTGGCCAGGATGGTCTCGATCTCTTGACCTCGTGATCCGCCCACCTCAGCCTCCCAAAGTGCTGAGATTACAGGCATGAGCCACCACGCCCAGCCTAGACATTTTCTTAAACCTACCTCATTCGAAGACTTGACTTAGCCATTTCATGATGTTCAATTTCAGCCTTTTTCATATAAAATATTTTTTTAATTGAATTTGCATCCTGTCAAGATAAAATTACTTGGTTTAAAAAAGGAACAGATAAAAGGACAGCTTAATGCCCCCAACTCATGCAATGGGCACCTTCTATGGCACTCTTTCTACTTGGAGCAGACTTCCATTCAATACCCACAAAGCTGCATCCTCCAACATTTCTACAAGCTTCCAAAATATCTATCTTCATAAAGTTGTCACTAATTAAATATAAGTTAAAATGCCTCCTAGTTCTTTCATGATTAGTCAAGTAATATTTAGACAAAGATCTAATGGTATAATACAGTAATGCCCCACTGTCCGTGGAGGATACATTCCAAGACCCCCAGTGGATGCCTGAAACCTTGAACATTGCCAAACCTGGAACACATTTCTGTCTATGTCTTCCATCCACAAATGTAATTCCTTTTCCATATTAATGAAGCACTTTTCATGCACTGTGGCTGTAACTTTTTGCAGTCTGAGGTGCAACAATAAAACTAGCAGAAACTTCTTTTTTTTCCTTCTTTACAATTTCATGAATAGCAGATTCATCTTTTTTTCTTTCTTTCTTTTTTTTTTTTGGTGGAGACAGAGTCTTACCATGTAGACCGGGCTGGTCTCAAACCCCTATCTTCAAGTGATCCTCCTGCCTTGGCCTCTCAAAGTGCTGGGATTACAGGCCTAAACCAGAGTGCCCAGCTGGGAGATTTGTTCTTACTGTAGATCTTAGCAATCTCAGCATACCTTTTTTTTTTTTTTTTCCTTTCTTAAGTCAAGAACTTTCACCTTTTCACTTAAAGGGAGCACTTTAAAGCTTCTTGAATTGCCAGCATCACAACTCTTGTGTTTTGGGGCCATTATTAAGTAAAATAAGGTTACTTGAACATAAGCACTGTGATACCACAGCAGTCGAGCTGATAACCGAGATGGCTACACAGTGACTAACGGCAGGTGGTGTATATAGTGTGGATAGACTGAACAAAGGAATGATTCATGTCCCAGGTGAGACCAGATAGGACAGAAGTGGATGGCATGAATTTCATCACAATACTCAGAATGGTGTGCAATTTAAACTTATGAAGTGCTTATTTCTGGAATTTTCCATTTAATATTTTCTGACCTCAGAACCATACGAAAGCAAAACCGCAGATAAGGTGAGGGACTACGGACAACTAACTCTACTTGTGTACGCTGACCTAAAAATCAAAATACAGATGCACTTCTAAGATTAAAGATTATATACACAAGTTTAGAATGAATGTACTTGCTTAAGTTTCCCTTCTCTTTAAAACTTAGTTAGAAAAAATAATTAGACCCAAAAGTAAAATTCTTAACTGTAACAACAAACAATTAGTACTGTATATTATTAAAATGTCCTATTAGGGACTAGGAATACAAGGACTTCATAGTTCATTCCTGATTTTCTCTCAGAATTTCTTAAAAGATGAAAAATAAAAGTTATCATTAAATACCAACAGCAATTTTGAGTATTTGAGTCAGCATTCAGAAAATTTAAATGATTTTATTCCCAAAAGATTTTCTGAGTCTCCTTTGGCAAATTCCCAATGATACACGATTAATTCAATAAATTTCTACAAGCAATTATTCATTACAGAACCATAAAACTTCTAAGATGGAATTTGCAAAGCAATGAAACAGTCATTTTACATTGTGTACTGCACTACACAGATTGCTTTTTATATTTATGAAGTTTAAATGCAGGGAATAAGTCAATATTTAACTAAAAAATGGATTCAAAACTAACCAAGTCTGGCATAAGGACAGAAATTTAGGTGAGTGGAATAGAACCAAGAATCTAGAAATAAACCCATACATCTATGGTCAATTGATTTCTAACAAAGTTGCCAAGACAATTCAAGACAATTCAATGGGGAAAGAATAATCTTTTCTATATATAGTGCTGGGATAATATCTCATATCAAAGAATGAATTTGGACTCCTACCTTACATGTACCTCACATATATAAAAATTACTTCAAACTGGATCAAAGATCTAAGTACGTTAAGAGCTAAACTATAAACTTCTTACAAGAAAACATAGGTGTAAATCTTTGTGATTTTGGATTAGGGAATGATTTATTTGATATGAC
The DNA here is from genome assembly GCF_000001405.40 of Homo sapiens. Taxonomy (NCBI): domain Eukaryota; kingdom Metazoa; phylum Chordata; class Mammalia; order Primates; family Hominidae; genus Homo; species Homo sapiens. Next base: position 52,646,873 of record NC_000003.12, read on the forward strand.
ACTTAAGCATTAGCAACCAAAGAAAAAAATAGATAAAGTGAACTTCAAAATGAAAAACTTCTGTGTGTCAACAGACACAATCACAAAAGTGAAAAGACAAGAGAATGGGAGAAAATATTTGCAAACCATTTACATGATAAGGGTATAATATCCAGAACATATAAAGAACTCTTACAACTCAACAACAAAAAAACAGTAACACAATTAAAAAATGGGCAAATGATCTGAACATTTCTCTAAAGACGTATGAATGACCTAAAAATCAAAATAAAGAATAAAATAAAAAGATGTTCTGCATCACTAATCATTAGGGAGATGTCAATCAAAACCACAATGCCATACCACTGCACACTCCCTAGGATATCCATAATAAGAACAAAAACAAAAATGGAAAACAAGTGTTGGTGAGGAAGTGGAGAAATGGCAACACCTGGATATTGCTGGTGGGAATGTAAAATGGTAGAGTTTGGAAAACAGTTTGGCGGTTCTTCAGAAAGTTAAATATACAGTTACCACACATGGCCCCGCAATTCCATTCCTAGGTATGTATCAAAGAGAAAAAAAAAAAAAAAAAAAAAAAAAAAAATATATATATATATATATATATATATATATATGTAGTATTTATATGTCCACATAAAAACGTATATGTGAACATTCACAACAGCATTATTTATAATAGCCAATAAGTAGAAACTATCCAAATATCTATCAACTGATGAATGGGTAAATAAAATACAGTGTATATCCCTATAGTAGAATATTATTCCGCAATAAAAAGAACATAGTACTGACACATGCTACAAAATGGATAAACCCTGAAAACATTACGCTAACTGAAGGAATCTAGTCGCAAAAAATCCATATCACATATTATACGATTCCATTTGTGTAAAATGGCAACAGGCAAACACAGAGACTGAAAATAGATTTGAGGTTGCTTAGGGCTAGAGAAGTTGGGGGGACATAAAGGGCGACTGTTAATTGACTGGAGTGATGGCTGCCCAACTCCATGAATATAATAAAAACCATTACATTAAATACTTTTTTTTTTTTCTTTTTGAGACAGAGTCTTGCACTGTCGCCCGGGCTGGAGTGCAATCTCAGCTCACTGCAACCTCTGCCTCCCGGATTCAACCGACTCTCCTACCTCAGCCTCCCGATTGGCTGGGATTACAGGCGCCTGCCACCACGCCCAGCTAATTTTTGTATTTTTAGTAAAGATGGGGTTTCACTATGTTGGCCAGGCTGGTCTGGAACGCCTGACCTCGTGATCCACCCACCTAGGCTTCACAAAGTGCCGGGATTACAGGCGTGAGCCACTGCGCCCAGCCTAAATTAAACACTTTTAATGGGTAAAGTCCATGGTATGTGAATTATATCTCAATAAAGTTGTTTTATAAAAATTACTGACCTTAAATTATCTACTATTACCAAGGAAAACAACAACAACAACAACAACAAAACTAACCTTGAATACTTGAGAGCCAGGCTCATTATAAGTTTTGGCATTTTTTGCGAGGAGATCTATATCTTTGGCCATTGCATGAATACTTTTGTAGCTTCCATTCTACAATAAACAACAAAATATAGCAGTTCCTTTTAATGAGAGTTCATCAGTACAACCTTTAAAAAAAGAACCCCACATATTTCTAAATTGTCACCATATTCCAAGACTTTATTGGAAAGTACACATATGAACAACATGTAAAGTCATTTTCTTTTTTATAAATTATTACTGTACCCATTTATAAGTAAGTTTTTGAGATAGGTAACAAAACCAGAGCTGCATTATTCTCATAAAAATAAATTACAATTTTTAAAAAGTCAAATAAGGTAGAAGTTTTATTTTACAAACACATAGTGCTTACTATGTGCCAAGCACAGTTCTAAGTGCTTCATGAATACTAATTCTTTAAAGTGGATTTAATAGTGTGAAGCAAAACTCCCCCTAGTTACATGAACCACTTGGGGTAAAATATGAAATCAGTCCAGCACAGAGGCTAACATTTTCTGAGTACCTACTGTGTGCTAGAGCTGTCATATCTTAAGGCTCACTCAATCCAAAACAACCCAGGAATACTCATATAGTTGCCTAAATTTACGAAGGAAATGAAAGACGGACACACTTTTAGGTAAGAGGCACACATGACTAATGGTAAGTACATGGAAATGAAAAAGACATGGTCTAGAGAGAGTAAGGAAACCAAACTGAGCGAAATGGAAGGTGGAGAAGGGTAGAGCCATAAGCACAGAGAGGGTAAAAACAAAAGAGGCAGAATCCAGAGAGCCAGGCAAAGGAGTGTAGCTATTTGCCTCGTGGGACTACCAACAACTACGCATCCTTCTTACACGGAGGGAATCAGCACAGGCATCGGGAGGGCTCTACCTCCCATAATGAGGATGTAAGTGGGCAAATGGTCACTTTGCCAGCAGCCTGGCAGCCAGGGCAAGGGGAAATAACCACAGGTCAGCTAATTCATGCTTGGGTCTAAAGGGATTAATGCAATGGCCAGGAATTCATTCCTGACTCCTGTAGAGGAGGAGAGTCTAGCAGTAGAGCAGCAAGTATCCAGGGACCACAGTGGCAAATTACAGTGGTAACAGCAATGGCACCACAAAGAGGCTGTGCATGATCTCAGCTGTGCCATGATGTTCCTGAGTTCTGCCTAGTATCCAAAGGCTAGTTCCTCAACCTTTCTTCTCAACATTTCTATGAGCTATCCAATATGCTTTTCAAAAATTCCTTTTCCACTTAAATTAGTCAGAGTTGGTTTTATTCAACTGGTACAAGGAGTTGTGACATGCTTTAGCAGGCATTGGAAAACAAGTGAATTAAGTCTCTGAGCACGGGACTGGCAGGAAGAAAGCCAAGGTCAGGAGCCAAGACACAGAAAGGACTAGAAAGTTTTTCATCAGAGAGGTAAAATAGATTATTCCAGTAATTTGGACATAAGAGGACAAGGACCTTGAATCGGGTGATGGCAAAAGGTGACTCTGAGACTTTTGGAAAGAAGAAAGGACAAAATAAGGCGAGAAGTCAAAAAGAGAAGACTGGGGCTGAGATAGAGATGATTAAAGATCTGATTCAATTTCCAGGATTATGAAAACATAATCCTCCTACACAGATGTTAGAAATTCCAGGGATTTAGGAGACTTGAGTCATTCTCAGTAACAGTTATTGGGCTGATTTAAAAACCTGATGAGGCCTGGCAGGGTGGCTCACACCTATAATCTCTATGCACTTTGGGAGGCCAAGGCGGGTGGATCACTTGAAGTCAGGAGTTCGAGATCAGCCTGGCCAACATGGTGAAACCCTGTCTCTATTAAAAATACAAAAATCAGCCAGGTTTGGTGGCAGGCGCCTATAATCCCAGCTACTCGGGAGGCTGAGGCAGGAGAATGACTTGAGTCCAAGAGGTGGAGGTTTGCAGTGAGGTGAGATCATGCCACTGCACTCCAGCCTGGGTGACAGGGCAAGACTGTCTCAAAAAAAAAAAAAAAAAAAACCCTAAAAAAAAAAAAAGATGATACATTAGGGAATCTGTATTTTATCATTCTGTGAAAATTTATCTGTGGTACTAGTAAGTAAACACTGTTACTCTTTACTACTCTCTTAGAGTTTAAAGTCAAAGAAGTTTCTCCTTCCTGGCAAACCACAGTGGCTATCAGTCTCATTTCTCAATGAAACTATGTAACACACTGTTTTCCTTTTTGCCTTACCTCCTGGGAGCAGCAAACCCTTCTTATCCTGGGAAGATCAGTAACTCACATTTATGAGGACCTCATGCTGTAGGTTCTATGTGAGATGCTTTATCTATATTATCACCAACCTCTATGACTCTGCAAAGTAGTGATACTACACGCAACATACAGCAGAGGAAGCAGGCAAATCACCTGACCAAAGTGACATAGCTGATTAAGTAGTAGAGCTAGAAAAACAACCATATCAGTTCTACTCTAAATACTCAATTTCTGGTACAATTTAGCTCTTTTTCCCTATACTTTCCCTTACTTCTAATAATCAAATTTTAAATCCTAGTCACTCAGTCACACAATTAATATTTATTAAGCACCTACTCTGTACAGAAACAGTAAGTGTAAGGGTTGAGAACACAGACTACAGCTAGACTGTCTGGATTCAAATCCTAGTTCTCCTTCCTAGGCGGTGATTTGGGCAAGTTACTTAACACTTCTGTGCTTCAGTTTTCTAACTTGTAAAATGGGAATAATAACAATACTACTCTGTGGAGTTTTAAGAATTAATTAGCTAATACACATAAAGCACTTAAAACAGTGCTAGGTACATAGCAAGTCTATGTGAGTGTTTAGTTGCCACTATTTACTGCCAGGGATACAGTGAAGGGGTAGGGTAGAGAGGGCCAAAGAGAAAAAAGTAGTATCTAATTCCACTGACCTTCCACTCTAACATCCGTTGTGGGTAGCTTTTATTCTAACGTATCCTAAAGCTATTTGGAAGCAGATAAAAATAAACAACAGGTTACCCCATCTACCCTGATGTGATTATTATGCACTGTATGCCAGTATCAAAATTTCATGTACCCCATAAATACATACACCTGCTATGCACCCACAAAAATAAAAAATTTAAAAATTAAAAATGAAATAAATCTTTTGTCACAAATGTATCTTTTATAATCAGAAATGTCGGTAACCAATGTGTTTTAATTTTTGTCCTAAGATGCAATCCAAAGCTACAATCAGTAACACTATTTTAATTTATTTACATGATTTGCTAATAACCCCTTACAGAGACAACTAGCTTCTCTGTTTTCTAAAAGCTTCTAGGAAAGATCATAGGCCAATCTGCTCTAAACCACAATCATTTACTTATGGTCATCTTCATACCTGTATCCTCTGGGCAATGGTCTTGAGATCTATAGGCTCCTTAATTATTGCATAATAATCTGGATATTGCTGGAAGACAAAAAACCAGGCATGCTCAATAAGTTAAACTATTCAGCTAATGAAAAGAGAAGGAAGTACATTGACAATCTGTTGTTCAAACAACCAGTGAAGCAGCTTTGTGAGATTCAAGACTAAAGACATGGCTGTACAGCACATTTATTATATCAGAACCATAAAGAATTTAATCTTAAGAAGCTTCATGATCTATCCAACAGCATGACTTAGGAGTTAAAACTTGGTATTTTGAGTGTTATTATGCAACTAGCATAAAATTTAATGTTTTAAAAAATTCTAGGCTGGGGCCGGGTGCGGTAGCTCACGCCTGCAATCCCAGCACTTTGGGAGGCCGAGGCAGGTGGATCACCTGAGGTCAGGAGTTCAAGACCAGCCTGGCCAACATGGTGAAACCCCATCTCTACTAAAAATACAAAAATTAGCCGGGCGTGGTGGCAGGCACCTGTAATCCCAGCTACTCAGGAGGCTGAGGCAAGAGGATCGCTTGAACCTGGGAGGCAGAGATTGCAGTGAGCTGAGATCGTGCCATTATACTCCAGCCTGGGGGACAAGAAAGAGACTTCGTCTCAAAAAAAAAAAAAAAAATTCTAGGCAGGGCACGGTGGCTCACACCTGTAATCCCAGAACTTTGGGAGGCCGAGGCGGGTGGTTCACGAGGTCAGGAGATTGAGACCATCCTGGCTAACGTGGTGAAACCCTGTCTCTACTAAAAATAGAAAAAAAATTGGCTGGGCATGGTGGCATACAACTATAGTCCCAGCTACTCTGGAGGCTGAGGGAGGAGAATCGCTTGAACCCAAGAGGCAGAGGTTGCAGCGAGCCGAGATCATGCCACTGCACTCCAGCCTGGGCGGCACAGCAAGACTCCATCTCAAAAAAAAAATAAATAATCTAAATTCGGCAAGGCGCGGTGGCTCACACCTGTAATCCCAGCACTTCGGGATGCTGAGGCAGCTGGATCACTTGAGGTCAGAAGTTCAAGACCAACCTGGCCAACATAGCGAAACCCTGTCTCCATTAAAAATACAAAAATTAGCCAGGCATGGTGGTGTGCGCCTGTAATCCCAGCTACTCAGGAGGCTAAGGCAGGGCAATCACTTGAGCGCAGGAGATGGAGGTTGCAGTGAGCCGAGATCACGCCATTGTACTCCAGCCTGTGCAACAGAGCAAGATTCCGTCTCAAAAAACAAACAAAAATTCTAAATTCACAGAATTATACAATTTTTCATTTAAGGTCCCAAGATATCTATGCCTAGAAATAAAGTAGAAGAAATGCTCTTTAGGAGTTTGTTACAAGCTCTTTTAATTTTGCAATCTAAATAACGTTATTATATAATATTCACATAAACTTTCATAAGGATCTGTAAGAAGTCAGGTTGCAAAATTTGTTAGCTTCATGTTTAACTTGATGCTTCTGCTTATTTCAGTCAAAGTAAGTTTTTTCAAAACAAAATACCTTTTGAATGAAACTTTGTTAAAGAAATGAAGCACGGCTGGGCATGGTGGCTCGCGCCTGTAATCCCAGCACTTTGGGAGGCTGAGGTGGGTGGATCACCTGAAGTCAGGAGTTCGAGACTAGCCTGGCCAACATGGTGAAACCCCATCTCTACTAAAAATTCAAAATTAGCCTGGTATGTTGGTGCATGCATGTAATCCCAGCTACTTGGGAGGCTGAGGCAGGAGAATCGCTTGAACCTGGGAGGTGGAGGTTGCAGTGAGCTGAGATTGCTCCATTGCACTCCAGCCTGGGCAAGAAGAGCAGAATTCTGTCTCAAAAAAAAAAAAAAGAAAGAAAGAAATGAAGCAAAATTCTGGTCAGGCATGGTGGCTCATGCCTGTAATCCCTGCACTTCGGGAGGCCGAGACGGGCAGATCACGAGGTCAGGAGTTCAAGACCAGCCTGGCCAATATGGTGAAACCCCGTCTCTACTAAAAATACAAAAATTAGCTGGGTGTGGTGGCGGGTGCCTGTAATTCCAGCTACTCAGGAGGCTGAGGCAGGAGAATCGCTTGAACCTGGGAGGCAGAGGTTGCAGTGGGCTGAGATCACGCCACTGCACTCCAGCCTGGGTGACAGAGCAAGACTGTCTTGAAAAAAGAAAAGAAATGAAGCAAAATTATTAGCAACTTCTGATTTATCAAATACTAGGTCATCCCAAGAAATTGAACATGTTGAGGAATGTCCTTGAAGCTTTCACAACAACCTAGAATCACTCACTGCACTCAGGCTTTCCTACAGATTTTCTTCCTTGGAGGAAATAACTGAAGTTGCCCAAATATCAAAAGTTGGTCTTATCAGATGGGAGAGGTTCAGGGGAAGTCAGATTGTGCTCTCCCAACTCTTCCCACCTGTTCAAACCCTACTGAAGCCCACGCAGCAACAACAAAAGCAGAAAGCCACAGCCTTCACTCAGTTACTGGGCTGAACAGATTATCTCAGTGTTGTTTTATCTCATCTGTCCCCTAAGCTTACCACTACTTTCTTAACCCTACTCCTTCCTTTACTTGGATGAATCTCCATTGCTGCCCCTTCTCTTCACCAGTTCTACTTCTGAGAGAAAGTTCAGAGGACAAATTATGGCAAGGCCACCCAGCATGGAGTACAAAGTAATTCAAAGTCATCCAATCCCACAAATTCCCAATCTATCTCTCCCATGCAGCCAGCTTGCTTGGGACGGACTTACTAAGGAAAGGTGAAAACTGTCCTGCCCCTTCAGCTGTCAATCCTTGTTGTCTTTCAAACTGTCACACCCTGAGAGACCAATAGAAACCTGCTTTTCCCAACCAGCTCCTTCAAGGTGACCTTGAAGGGGGAATGGGGGGAACTAATTATTGATGTTTCATTGCCCCATATCACTGTTGTTGATTTGACCATCACTGATTATCTCCTGCAGGGTAAGAATAAATCTTGAGCGAAGACAGTACTTCTATTTTGTGTGTATGTGTGCATGTGTGAATGAGAGTTGACAGAGAGCGAGAGAGAGAAAAAGAGACGGGGTCTCTTTCTGTTGCCTAGGTTGGAGTGAAGTGGCATGATCACAGCTCACTGCGGCCTTGAACTCCTAGGCTCAAGTGATCCTCCAAACTCAGCCCCACCAAACAGCTGTGACTACAGGTGCACACCACCATGACTAGCTAATTAAAAAAATTTTTTTTGTAGAGACAGAGTCTCAGCTATGTTGGCCTCTCAAAGCTCTGGGATTACAGGTGTGGGTCACTACACCTATCCTGTACTTCTTTTATAATTTTTTTTACTGTAATAAAATAAATTTCATGTAGTAACATGAAATTTGCCATTTTTAAGTGTACAGTTCTGTGGCATGAGGTACACTCACACTGCTGTGCAACTATCACTGACATCCACCTCCAGAACTTTTTAATCTTGCAAAATGGAAACTCTGTACATATTAAACAACTCCCCATTCCCTCCAGCCCCTGGCAACCACCATTCTAACTTTATGTCTCTAAGATTTTGAGTATTCTAGGTACCTCATATAAGAAATCATACAGTATTTGTCCTTTTGTGACTGGCTCATTTTGCTTAAAATAATGTCTTTAGAGTTCATCCATGTAGGATGTTTCAGAATTTCCTTCCTTTTTAACGCCAAATAATATGCCACTGTATGTATATGTCACATATACATTCATTCACTGATGGACACCTGAGTTGCTTCCATTTTTAGCTATTGTGAATAATGCTGCTATGAATATGGGTATACAAATATCTCTTCAATACCCTGCTTTCACTTTCTTTGGAGTATATATCTAAAGTGGAACTGCTGGATCATATGGTAATTCCATGTTTAATTCTCTAGAGAATCATCATACTGTTTTCTCCTTTTCTTAAAGTTTTAAGTCATATGACCAATATTAATAATTACATCTTTCTAGTAAGATTCACACATAGGACAGCAGTGGTCAGTTGCTTTATTTCTAATGTTGTAACTATCCTATAGCTAGTCAAGACACACCTTTAAATAACTATAGTCTTGCCAATGACTGATGAGGAAAGCTGCATGCTACTCATCAGTCAACAAGCATCTTGCATATCTATGACCACCCAGCATGGGGTACAAAGTAATCCAAAGTCATCCAATCCTTCGGATCGGGTTCCAGTTATAGACAGTAATACAAAGGTAAATTACAGCACAGTCACTGTCCTCAAGAAATTCAGGGAGTAGAAAAGAAGGCAGACAGAAAAGTAAATGATCACAATAGGGCTAAGTGCTACCATGGAGTACTTCTGAAAGTATATCCTTACCTAGAAATATGAGAATGCTGAGGCCATGAAAATGTTTGCAGTTTCATAGGCTAATGTGAGTCAAATCTATATGTTAATTATCTTTTGGGTGTAAAGGCATAAAGAATTCTGATACTTTTTAAAGGTCTTGCTTGTCTAGAAAACCTCTTCTTTTTTCAGGCAGAAGAGTACCTAATTCGTTTTTCTTTTTTCAGCATCACCAGGAGATCAAAGAGAATTAAAAGGAGGAAGAACTCATTTATCTTCCTCTTACCCTGTCCCCTACACAAAGAGAAAGTTTCCACTCTTAAAAATGCAAGGTTTAGGCCGGGTGTAGTAGCTCATGTCTGTAATCCCAGCACTCTGGGAGGCTGAGGCAGGTGCATCACTTGAGGTCAGGAGTTTAAGATCAGCCTGGCCAACATGGTGAAAGCTTGTCTCTACTAAAAAATACAAAAATTAGCCAGGTGTGGTGGTGCATGCCTGTAATCCCAGCTACTTGGGAGGCTGAGGCAGGACAATCGCTTGAACTCGGGAGGCGGAGGTTGCAGTGAGCCAAGATCACGCCATTGCACTTCAGCCTGGGTGACAGAACGAGACTCCGTCTCAACAATTAATAAATAAATAAAAAAGATTTAGTTAAAGTGCTTATTTTATCAATGAAGAATTACCAATCTTGGAAACAACCCAATGTCCATTGACAGATGAATGAGTAAACAAAATGTAGTAAGGCACGGTGGCACAAGCCTGTATACCCAGCTACTTGGGAGGCTGAGGTGGGAGAATCGCTTGAGCCCAGAAGTTTGAGGTCAGCCTAGGCAACACAGCAAGACTCTATCTCTAAACAAAACAAAACACCCCAAAAAACTTATAAACAAAAGGTATTATATAGAAATAACAAAATGCTATTCGGTTCTAAAAAGGAATGAAATTCTGATTCAGGCTACAATATAGATGAATCCTGAACATATGCTAAGTGAAATAAGCAGTCACAGGACAAATATTGAATGATTCTTCTTCTATGACGTACCTAGAATAGTCAAATTCATAGACAGAAAGCAGAATGGTGGCTGCCAGAAGCTGGGAGAAGAGGGGAGTGGACTTGGTGTTTAATGGGTATGGAGTTTTGGTTTTGTAAGACTAAAAAGTTCCAGATAGTGGTGATGGTTGCATAAAAATGTGAATGTACTTAATGCCACAGAACTGTACACTTAAAAATGGCTAAAATGATAAATTTTATGATACATATCCTTTACCACAATAAGAAACAAATAAAAATAATTACCAATCAAAAAACAAAAAACGTAAAAATAAAAAAATAAAATCATAACCTTCTGATCATGTAAAATGATAGACCGTATACATTTTGTGCTGCTGTGAGGAGGATCTCTTGGGGGCCTCCAACATCTTCCTTTTATTTATTTATTTTTTGAGATGGACTCTTGCTCTGTCACCCAGGCTGGAGTGCAACGGCATGATGTCAGCTCACTGTAACTTCCACCTCCCAGGTTCAAGCAATTCTCCTGCCTCAGCCTCCCGAGTAGGTGGGATTACAGGCACACACCATCACACCAGGGTAGATTTTATACTTTTACTAGGGATGGGTTTTCACCACATTGGCCAGGCTGGTCTCAAACTCCTGACCTCAGGTGATCTGCCTGTCTTGGCCTCCCAAAGTGCTGGGATTACAGGCGTGAGCCACTGCGCCTGGCCCAACATCTTCCTTTTCTTTTTTTTTTTTTAAATTTGAGACGGAGTTTCGCTCTTGTTGCCCAGGCTGGAGTGCAATGGCGCAATCTTGGCTCACCCACTGCAACCTCTGCCTCCAGGGTTCAAGCAATTCTCCTACCTCACCCTCCCGAGTAGCTGGGATTATAGGCATGCGCCACCACACCCAGCTAATTTTTTGTATTTTTAGTAGAGATGGGGTTTCTCCATGTTGATCGGGATGGTCTCGAACTCCCAACCTCAGATGATCCACCTGCCTCGGCCTCCCAAAGTGCTGGGATTACAGGCATGAGCCACCACACCCGGCCCAACATCTTCCTTTTGAACTTACTTTATTTATCAGTAATTAATACAATTCTTGAAGTACTAAAAACAAAACACTGACATGTACCTGTTTTTAACTGCATCACTTACCACTTTAGAAGGCAGTTTCTGAAAAAGTTCGCTAATGAGACGTCCTGATGGATTTGTAGCTACAACTATGGCTTCAAGAAGCTGCTCCAGGATCTCCTTCAAGTAAGCTGGAGAAGACTGGTAATGTGGAGAAAAAAGTACTTTCTAAGAGAAATAATAAAATGCTGAATATTACATAGCTTCTAAAATTGTAGAGCTAATTCAAAACAGCAACTTTTTTTTTTTTTTTTGAGATGGAGAGGCTGGAGTACAGTGGCACAATTTCAGCTCACTGCAACCTCCACCTCCTGGGTTTAAGTAATTCTCCTGCCTCAGCCTCCCGAGTAGCTGGGATTATAGGCATGCGCCACCAGGCCCAGCTAAATTTTATTTTTTTAGTAGAGACGGGGTTTCACTATGTTGGCCAGGCTGGTCTCGAACTCCTCACCTCATGTCTGCCCACTTCGGCCTCTCAAAGTGCTGGGATTACAGGCATGAGCCACTGTGCCTGGCCAAAGAAAGCAACTTCTAAGCAGTACTTATTTTAACTCCAAATTTCAAGAATACCCCATAATGTTCTGATGCTGGACATAGGCATTGTATCCCTAGAACAACCTATATGAACCTAATGAGGTGCCTTATATTATTTTTGCAATGAAATCCCTTGTACTAGGTCCTTCTACTGAACCTTTTTCTACAGTAAATATTGCAATGGCAAAGTTTAAGTGCTACAAATGTGAAATGAGCAACTGAGCAGGAGAAAGCATGTCCCATAATAGTTCATTTCTATATCTGCTGTTCACATCTATTGAAGTCTTACAGGACAATGACTACTTACAGGACAATGACTACTTACATAGAGTTGGGACTACATACTTTTAACCACGGGGTGCTCTACCAAGTCTAACTGAATTCAAATTAAGTCAAAACTAAACAGCGATTAAGTACATCAATGTACACCATTTCTGTTCTTTAGACCCACTGGTTTATACCTAGCTTAGTCACTGTTTCAACATAGGAAGTATATGCCCCAAAGAGTACTTGACCAGGGAGGGTCCAAGTCTGAAGCAAGTTTCTAGAATAAGCAATGGAATGTCTCAGTCAAGGATTAAATTATGCTTCTAGTCCAAATCATTTTTTGTACATATAAAATAAAGAGTAATTTTTTTTCTGGTTTAAATCATAAAAGTACTGGTATTGTGTCCTAATCCAACAGAAGCTCTTTTTATTTAGTATAGTCTCAATTTTAAGGTGCAACACTTTTTTTTCCTCCCCACTCTGTTGCCCAGGTTGGAGTGAAGTGGTGTGACCATGGCTCACTGCAGCCTCTAACTCCAGGGCTCAAGCAATCCTCCCACATCAGTTTTTCAAGTAGCTGGGACCACAGATGTGTACCACCATGCTTGGCTAATTTTTTTACTTTTTGTAGACATGGGCGTCTCACTACATTGCCCAGGCTGGTCTCAAACACTTGGGCTCAAGTGATCCTCCAGTCTCAGCTTCCTAAAGTGTTGGGATTGCAGGCGTGAGCCACCGCACCAGACCCAAGAAAATCATCCTTGATTTAAAAATTAGAAACCTGAAAATTTCTTCTCCCTCCATGAGAATCATTGAGTTATAAAGAGTCTTGGGGTCTGGCATGGTGGCTCATGCCTGTAATCCCAAGCACTTTGGGAAGGTGAAGTGGGAGGATCACCTGAGGTCAAGAGTTCGAGACCAGTCTGGCCAACATGGTGAAACCTCACTTATACTAAAAATACAAAAATTAGCTGGTGTGGTGACAGGCATCTGCAATCGCAGCTACTCAGGAGGCTGAGGCAGAAGAATCGTTTGAACCCAAGAGGTGGAGGTTGCAGTGAGCTGTGATCGTGCCATTGCACTCCAGCCTGGGCCAAAGAGCAAGACACTGTCTCAAAAAAACAAAATTTGAAAGAGGCTTGGGAGGTATAAATGTGAATGTACAAGACCCTCCCAATTTCTCATCAATTATGCGTTACAGAAGTACGGGCAAGTCCTAAATACAGGCATTTTAATCTTTTGACTAGAGCCCTGAAGGCCTACACTAAGGGTGGGGCCTCTGCAAGCAGTGTTCTACCGAAGAAAGCATGGGCTGCTTCTCCTGTATTCATATTAGAGAGTAAAATTCCAGGAAATTCCTATTTTTAGCCTTCTATTTAGTTCCAATCACTTAACTACTTAAAGAAACTGACAAGCTGCTGAGGAACTATATACATATATTTACATATCATATATAAAATATAAAATTTTATACATATAAAATATATGAACTACATGTATATGTGTGTATATATATTTTGTGTATATCTATCTATCTATCTATCTATATTTTTTTTAGACAGAGTCTCATTCTAAGACCCAGGCTAGAGTACAGTGGCATGATCTCAGCTCATTGCAACCTCTGCCTCCCGGGTTCAAGCGATTCTCCTGCCTCAGCCTCCCGAGTAGCAGGGATTACAGGTGCCCACCACCATGCCCAGCTAATTTTTGTATTTTTAGTAGAAATGGGGTTTCACCATGTTGGCCAGGCTGGTCTCAAACTCCTGACCTCAGGTGATCTGCCTGCCTTGGCCTCCCAAAGTGCTGGGATTACAGGGGTGAGCCACAGCACCTGACTAGGAACTGTATTTTGAGACTCTAAGAAGTAATTGTATTTTTGAGAAATTCACCCATCACTGCTTCTCTGTATTCCAGCAAAAGGCCTATGTAGATAAGTTACAGAAGAAAGGGGAATATTCTGCAATGTGCTTCTCACAATTTAGCTGTAGAAAAGAGTTGTGATCCCCTCTACTATTCTTTTTTCTCTTTTCAAACATGTCTTTTTATTTTCTGTCTTTCATTTTTTTTTGAGATGGAGTCTCATTCTGTCGCCCAGTCTGGAGTACAGTGGCGCCATCTCGGCTCACTGCACCCTCCACCTCCTGGGTTCAAGCGATTATCCTGCCTCAGCCTCCAGAGTAGCTGGGATTACAGGCATGTGCCACCTGCCTAGCTAATTTTTGTATTTTTGGTAGAGACAGGGTTTTACCATGTTGGTCAGGCTGTTCTTGAACTCCTAACCTCAAGTGATCCTCCCGCCTTGGCCTCCCAAAGTGCTGGGATTACAGGTGTGAGCCACCTCGCCTGGCCATGAAGCATGTGTCTTTATTTAGTAAATATTTATCAGCACCTACATGTCAGGTATAGTGCAGATATGAGGAATAAATGAACAAAAAGATACCTGCTTAGGAGCTATCATTCTACTTGGGGAAAGAGAGAAAAACATGTAAACTAGTATGTTATTTCACATATAGTGACATTATAAAAACTGAAGACAACCCTGTGATGACAGGGTGGGGTAGGGGCTGAAAAGGAGGAAGGCGGAGCAAACAATGGAGATAGGGTGGTCAGGAAAGTCCTGTCTCAGTAGACACCATTTTAGATGGTGTTAGAACAATAAAAAAGAGCCAGTCACGGGAAAAGTCAAAGGAAGCACTTTCTATGCAGAAGAACAACTGCAAAATTCCAGAGGCAGAAACACACCTGGGAGGTTCTAGGAACAGTAACTATTCTAACCTACAGAAATATTCCTCACTAAGGTGATTACATTCCAACTTCTAATCACAACACTGCCTTTCCTTACATGATGTCTCAATGTAGCAATACTGGACTAATCCTTGATAATATCAAGATTCTCTTTAAAACTGAGCAGGAAATATGCATTAATGTAAGTACAATTCATGAAAATTACCACACATGGCACACGTTGTCCAGGATATCCTAGGATCCCTTAAAAATGGAGTGGGGCTCTCTGGCTGAATGTCCTTTTATCCTCCCAGTTACCAATACAATTGCACAGGAATTCTAGTTGCCCACAACAGCCCAGAGGGAATCACAAGCAGGGGCCCTCTCTGCCTTCCAAGAGCCCATCCATCACAAGTTCCAGCTACACACTTACTCCTTCAGTCACTGTGCCCTGATTGTCTTGCCCATCTTCATCATCATCTTCGTCATCTGCTTCTCCTTTCTGAACAAACTCATTTCTTGTTCGAAGGTACAAATCCCAGAGTTTGCAAGCGGCTTTATATTCAGGAGAATCTGGCTGTATGTTAGCAAAGAGAAAAAAAAAAACACTTTAGTAATGTATTGGAAATTAGTTGCTACTTTTAAAGCACCTGTTTCAGCAAAGACCAAAAATTGTTACAAATTTTAACATCCTCATGATTAAAACATATATGGGTCCAAATCCCGCTTCCAAAAAATTAAGTGTATGTTTTAAAGACATTCTGAAATCAAATTATTTAGGTCTTATCTCATTAAAGAAAGACTTGAGGCAGAAGACAAATGATTTGCTAAATTAAAAGTAATTATGACCGGGCACAGTGGCTCATGCCTGTAATCCCAGCACTTTGGGAGGCCAAGGCAGGTGGATCATGAGGTCAAGAGATCGAGACCATCCTGGCCAACATGGTGAAACCCCGTCTCTACTAAAAATACAAAAATTAGCTGGGCGTGGTGGTACGCACCTGTGGTCCCAGCTACTTGGGAGGCTGAGGCAGGAGAATCACTTGAACCAGAGAGGCAGAGGTTGCAGTGAGCCGAGATTGCGCCACTGCACTCCAGCCTGGTGACAGAGCAAGACTCTGTCTTAAAAAAAAAAAAAAAAACACCAAAAAACCCAAAAAAACTAATTATTACTAATACACTAAGAAAGACAACTTAAAGGATAAGATTTGATTTAAAGGATAGAAGCTAATGACGGTTCTGATGTTATTAATACTTGTGGTTTGAAATTCTTTAATACCTTGTTTCAAAATGTCTGCTCATGAAGTATAGTGGGCATAATAAACTCTTGACTGAAATCTTCTAGTAAAAACAACGTTGGATGCAATGTTCAAAAAATAAAATAAAACTTTAAAAATGCATACATGGGATGCCAATAGGAAGTAAGGATGTTCACAAAATTAAAGGAATAAAAGTAGGAAACCAGATGAAAACCCACAACACTTAAGTCAAATGTTCACTTTGAGGGCATTTATTTATGATAAAACCAAGCTTTCATTTCCAAGGCTTCTCTGGGCAGCGAGGAGGGAAGACAAAGGTCAGGGTCTACCAGAAGCTGGGAATCCAAAGGCCATGGCTGCACCATTAGTGGGAACTCAAATCAGTTTCTGTACTGCCAGGGAGCAAGGACGACTGCCCATCTCAACCTCTACCTATCTAAATTCATGCCTATCTCAAACCATGGCACTGAGAGGAGAGGAGAGGCATGAAATGAATCTCTGAGAACTCTTCATCGTAAAGTTAGCCTTAACAAAGACAGGCCAGTCATCCTGGACAAGAAACAAATCATTTCTGGATGAAACCAACTTCAATTTAATGCTCCAATGATCTCTACAGATAAAGTTCCAAGAAATATTGAGTCCATAGTAAAAAAATCATGAGGCACATAAGAATCAAAGAATCACGAGAAAGCTAGCAAAAATGACAGTGACAACAAATATATGTATTAGATATTGGAATTCAAATAATTAGATTATCAGAATAATCTACCATAGAATAAAAAACAGGTGTGTTAAAAATGTTTAAAAGTTGGGCATGGTGGCCAGGCGTGGTGGCTCACGCCTGTAATCCCACCACTTTGGGAGGCTGAAGCAGGGGGATCATGGGGTCAGAAGATTAAGACCATCCTGGCTAACACAGTGAAACCTCATCTCTACTGAAAATACAAAAAAATTAGCTGGGTGTGGTGGTGGGTGCCTGTAGTCCCAGCTACTTGGGAGGCTGAGGCAGGAGAATGGCGTGAACCGGGGAGGCGGAGCTTGCAGTAAGCCGAGATAGCGCCACTGAACTCCAGCCTGGGTGACAAAGCCAGACTCCGTCTCAAAAAAAAAAAAAAAAGTTGGGCACGGTGGCGCACACCTGTAGTCCTAGCTACTTAGGTGGCTGAGGCAGGAGGATAACTTAAGCCCAGGAGTTTAAGGCTGCAGTGAGCTACAACTGTGCCTGTGAATAGCCAGTGCACTCCAGCCTGGGTGACAGAGCAAGACTTTCTCTCTTTAAAAAAATAAATAAATAAATAAAAAGTTTAAAGAAACAATGAGTTTGAAAACAATGAGCAAAGTCCTACAGACTCTAAAAAAGACGCTACTTCCTATATGTAGAAAAATTAAAATGCAAATACTAAATTTATATTTAACTAATTTAAGAGATTTCACCAAGAAAATTGAAAGAACTGAAAAAAAAAAAAAAAAAAGATTATCTAAAAAGCAACACAGACGCTGGGCGCGGTGGCTCACGCCTGTAATCCCAGCACTTTGGGAGGCTGAGGCGAGTGGATCACCTGAGGTCGGGAGTTCAAGTCCAGCCTGGCCAACGTGGTGAAACCCTGTCTCTACTAAAATACAAAAATTAGCCGGGCATGGTGGCAGGCGCCTGTAATCCCAGCTACTCAGGGGCTGAGGCAGGAGAATCGCTTCAACCCAGGAGGCAGAGGAAGCAGTGAGCCAAGATCACACCACTGCACTCCAGCCTGGGCATCAGAGCCAGACTCTATCACAAAAAAAAAAAGAAAAAAAAAGGAAACACAGACACAAAAGCAGGAAATATGAAAAGTTAAGAGAAATGGAGACCTGTGGGAAGTCTAATATGACACCCAATCAGAGTTACTACAAGAACAGGGCAAAGGCAAAATGCAAAGACATGGCTAAAAACTTTCCAAAGATGATGAGAAACACCAATCTAAGATTTATGAAGCATTACTACTCGCAAATTCTATAAAGATATCCACATCTAAATATATCACAATGAAACTACAAAATACAAAAGAGAAAAGGATACTAAAGACAGCCAGAAAAGAAAAGACAGATAACCTTTAAAGGAACTACAATCATACTGGCGGATGACTTCTCAATAGCAAAATGGAATGAAGAATAAAGAAAGTAGTAATAATGAATGGTACTGACTCCACAAATCAATATTATTATTATTATTGTTTTTAAAGACAGGATCTCACTGTTGCCCAGGCTGAAGTGCAGTGGCATGATCATAGCACATTACGGCCTTGAACTCTTGGGCTCAAATGATCCTTCCACCTCAGCCCCTCAAGTAGCTGGGACTACTGGTGCACGTCACCATGCTCAGCCAATTAAAACAATTTTTTTTTTTTTTGTAGAGGTGGGGTCTTAGTACACTGCCTAGGCTGGTTTCACACTCTTGGCTTCAAGCAATCCTCCTGCCTCAACCTCCCAAAGCGCTGGGATTATAGGCATGAGCCATCATGCCTGGCTGAATAGTATTTTATGGCAGGGGTCCCCAACCCCCAGCCCACGAACAACTACCAGTCCATGGCCTGTTTGGAACTGGGCCGCACAGCAGGAGGTGAGCAGCAGGCAAGACAGCATTATCGCCTGAGCTCCTCCTGTCACATCAGCAGTGGCATTAGATTCTCATAGGAGTGTGAACCCTATTGTGAACTGAGCATGCAAGAGATCTAGGCTGTGAGCTCCTTATAAGAATCTAATGCCTGATGACATGAGAAGGAAGAGTTTCATCCTGACCCTGCCCCCTACATCCACTGCTGTCCATGGAAGAATTGTCTTCCGCAAAACTGGTCCCTGGTGCCAAAAAGCTTGGGGACCACTGTTCTATCAGATTCAAAAATTGCCACAAAAGAACTAAAGTACACAGCACCAGCATTATAAATAAGGAAAAGAGTGATCAGAGTTGAATTATTCTAAAGTCTTCGTATTGTTTGGAGGATTAAGATCCTGATTAGCTTCTGGCTTTGAATAAGTTAATTATGCATATTAAAACTTCTTAGATAAGAACTAAAAGATTATCTATAGATGTTACAATTTCCAAATTTTAGAGGTAATAAGAGGAAAAAAGTTTTGAAAAAAATGAAATCAAAAGAAGGCATAGAGAAAAAAATAACAAAATGCACTGAAGAGTAAAATAAACTGAGCAAGGTGGTGTGTACCTGCAGTCCTAGCTACCTGGTAGGCTGAGGTGGGATGACTGCTTAAGTCCAGGAGTTTGATTCTGGCCTCGGCAACTTAATGAGACCTCATCTCTTAAAAATAAGGCCAGGCATGGTGGCTCACGCCTGTAATCCTAGCACTTTTGGGAGGCCGAGGCAGGCAGATCACCTGAGGTCAGGAGTTCAGGACCAGCCTGGCCAACATGGCAAAACCACGTAAAAATACAAAAATTAGCCAGGCATGATGGTGGGTGCCTATAATCCCAGCTACTCGGGAGGCTGAGGCAGGAGAATGGCGTGAACCTGGAAGGCAGAGCTTGCAGTGAGCCGAGATCGCGCCACTGCACTCCAGCCTGGGCAACAGAGCGAGACTCCATCTCAAAAAAAAAAAAGAAATGGCAAAGGGTCAAGTATAATTAACCTACTTTCTAACCAGAAAAAGAAGTATAAAGCAAGCTGGGCATGGTGGTTCATGCCTGTAATCCCAGCACTTGGGAGACCGAGGCGGGTCAATCGCTTGAGCCCAGGAGTTCAAGACTAGCCTGGGCAACACGGTGAAATCCCGTCTCTATCAAAAATACAAAAAATTAGCCATGTGTGATGGTGCGCACCTGTAGTCCCAGCTAATCAGGAGGCTAAGGTGGGAAGATTGCTTGAGCCCAGGAGACAAGGGCTGTAGTGAGCCAAGATCACACCACTGCACTCCAGCCTGGGCAACAAAGGAGATCGTGTCTCAAAAAAAAAAAAAAAAAATTATAAAGCCAAAGTAATTAAGATAGAAATAGAACGGCCTAGTAACAGATAAACTGGCCTGTGGAACAGAATAAAAGGACAGAAACAGATCCATGAATACATGGAAATGATGACAGCAACGATTGCGAACAAACGCAGAGAGAATAGTGTTGGTTATACCTGTGGGAAAAAAATTGATTCCTACCTTATAAAAGACAAAAATCAATCCCAGCTGCATTTATTCCTACCTTATAAAAGACAAAAATCAATCCTAGCTGCATTAAAGGCTTATATGAAAGACAAAACTATAAAACTTTAAGAAAAGCATACTAATAGAAGAATATCTTGGGCAAGAGGAATCTCTGAAACAAGATACAAATAAACCCAATTTAAAGATTGATAAATTTGATTAAACTAAAATAAAACATTTCTGTTCATCAAAAAATACCATGAAAGGTGAAAAGATATGCACACAGTGGGAGAAGATATTTGAAACACACAAAATCAAATAAAAAAAATAAAAAAACTGAAACACATATAATCAAAAAAGGTTTACTATCCACAATAATTAAAAAATTTCTATGGCCAGGCATGGTCGCTCACGCCTGTTGTCCCAGCACTTTGGGAGGCCAAGGTGGGTGGATCACTTGAGGTCAGGAGTTCAAGACTAGCCTGGCCAACATGGTGAAACCCCATCTCCACTAAAAATACAAAAATTAGCCAGGCATGGTGGTGGGCACCTGTAATCCCAGCTACTCAGGAGGCTGAAGCAGGAGAATCACTTGAACCTGGGAAGAAGAGGTTGCAGTGAGCTGAGATCGTGCCACTGCACTCTAGCCTGGGCAATAGACTTTGCCTCAAAAAAAAAAAAAAAAAAAAAAAATTTCTAAAGCCAGGAGTGGTGGCTCATGTCTGTAGTCCCAGCTACTCATGAGGCTGAGGCAGGAGGATCACTTGAGGCCAGGAGTTTGAGACCAGCCTGAGTAACATAGGGAGACTCTGTCTCTAAAAAAAAAAAGAAAAAAAAATTCCAGAAATATGAAAATGACTAACAAACCAAGAGAAAAATGGGCAAAAGATTTGAGCAGACAGAGAAATAAGAATAGTTCATAATCACATGAATGTGGGTTGGGCACAGTGGCTCACGCCCATAATCCCTGCACTTTGGGAGGCCAAGGCAGGCAGATTGCTTGAGCCCAGGAGTTCAAGACCAGCCTGGGCAACATGGTGAAACCCTGGTCTCTACAAAACATGCAAAAATTAGCTGGGCATGGTGGCACGTGCCTATAGTGCCAGCTACTCAGAAGGGTGAGGTGGGAGGATTGCTTGAACCTGGGAGGCGGAGGCTGCCATGAGCCAAGATCTCACCACTGCACTCCAGCCCGTGTAACAGAGCAAGACCCTGTCTCAAAAGATAATAAATTAAAATACGTAAATAAATAAGAAATAAAAATCATATGAATGTCCAGTCTCTTTACGAATAAGACAAATGCGAACTCAAGCCACAAAAAGAAACTACTACTCACCTGCCAGGTTTATAAATATTAAGAAGCCAATTATCAAATTGGTATCTTCCAATTGGTATCTTTCCAAATTTCATAATTTCTTACCTTATAATAGGACTTTGCATTGTTAAAAAGAAGCTGGAAGTCAGCAGTCAGCAAATTAACATCATCATACTCTTCCATTTTTAGTTTCTGTTGGATTTTCATCAAGTCAATGGGCTGAGAAACCACTTCATAATAGTCTGGTTGATTTCTGTTATAATTTAAATTTTTTTAAAGGAGATTAATCTGAAGCTTACAAAAAGTTTTATTTCAAAACTATTTATGGTAATGTTCAACATTCCAAGTGACAGAGCATATTAGAATCTTTCATGGACTTTGAAGCTTACTTAAAAAAAAAAAAAAAAGAAAAAAATCTGCAAAAAAAGAAAAAGAAAAGCAAGATGCACACTCATTCCCTTTTCAAAACATACGTTAATGATATAAAAACCTAAATTAACACCTGTGATGGTCTTTTATATGCTAACTGTTTAATGTTTAGGGCACCAACGCTAAACCCATGTCAATGGTATCCTTTATAAATGAAGATGACTTACCTTTCATAGTGCTCAAAAGTGTGAAAACAGAGATATGTCTCAATACTCTTTATAAACTTACAAAACAGATTCTTTCTTCAGTAAGTGACCACATAAATTTTTTCTGCCAAGTACTATCAAATGCCTATCATAAATGCTGCTACAATAGCAATTACTAAAATTACAAGGGAGGAAGATGAGCCCTTGGCTTACGTAGCTTAACAAAGATGAATGGACATCAGATACATCTAAACACAACCAAACTCTTCGGAAAAAAAAAACCATGGGACTAAGAAATACAAAATTTGGCTTAGTGGTTATACCTTGCAGGAGAGGGGTAGTGAGGAACACACAAGAAACTTTGTAGGTAATTATAATGACAAAATTTCTTAAAATAATTAAGTAATTTCCTTCTTTAATTCCTTAAGTAATTTTAATGACAATTTCTTAAGTTCCCAAAATAACTTCTTGGGTTTAGGGTTCATGGATGTTTAGTATTTTTTCTGGCTTTCTTCAAATGAAGTTCCAGGAGACAAGTAAACCTACTGAAAAACGATGTGACTATTTTCTCAATTCTCCCACAGGGGTAGGTATTCAGCCCCATTCTAGATGTGTAAGAGATAAGTTATTACAAATAACATCATGGCGATTAAGGCTTAAATCTCTCTTGGAACCTTAGCTGACAGGTTATAGCCATTCTTTTATTACGTATAATATATTTAAATTATTTTTAAATTTGTATTCTGACATAAAAGTTGCAAAAATAGTACTTTTTTTCTGAACCATTTGAATAAGCTCTGACATGATGCCCCATCACGCCTGATAATTTAGTGTTTGTTTCTCACAAATAAGGACCACAACTCAACCATCAAAACCAGGAAGTGAATGTTAATACAGTACAGTTGACCACTGAACTGTGCAGGTCCACTTATATGGGAACTCTTTTCAACCAAAAAAATCAGAATATTGAGAAATCAGAGAAAAAGCAGAAAGAATACTGATGTTGTCAGTGGTATCAAGGAACCTTCTCACAGCACACATTAGGGCTCTGATAACTTAATATCCAAGATGGTCCTCTCCATCTGGGCCTACAGGACCCACAGTCCAGTGCTCCTTGCTGAGGCAGGACCCCAGCAGTGTCTCAAGCTAAGGGGACTATCTGTAGACAATTGAGAATTCAATGAGAACATGTGCCTAGAAAGGACACTATCCCCCAGAATCACTGCTACAAGGTTCCTCACAAACATTTTTAGAATTACCACAAAGACAAAAGAAAAATCAGGATCCCAACCTCTCACTCTATGTCATATGGTCAAAACAGGGTCCCCCCATTTCAAAATGAAATACTTCTAATTTCTAACAGTACTAATTTTTTCTGAAATCAAACATACAGAAAACCATCAAAAGTAAGAATCATCCTTATAATCCAGAATAAATAGCACCATTTGCATTTTTATAGACATTCTTCCAGACTTCTCTATAGGCACATGTACACACAAACCAAATTTAACATAAACAGGATTATATTGTATGTTCTTTCAAAACAACTTTTCTCTTTCAACAATAGATGAGGGCAGTCTGGCATATGGCTGCAAAATAACCAAAATGCAAAGTTTTAATCAGAATAATGAGAAACACTAGCCCTGGTGTGCAGACAGCCTGCCGGCTACTCCCTACCCCATTTTCCCTTCTTCCCAGGATGACAGCATTCTAAGCTGCTGCATGGCTACTAAAGACTATATTCTCAGCCAGCATGGTGTTGCATGCCTGTAGTCCCAGCTACTTGGGAGGCTGAGGGAGGACTGCTTGAGCCCAGGAGGTCAAGGCTGTAGTGTGCAAAGATGGTGCTGGTGAGTAGCCTGCATTCCAGCCTATGTGACATGGTAAAACCTCGTCTCTAAGGAAAACAAAGCAAAACAAAACCTTAAAGACCATATTTATTCTCCAGCCTCACTGCAGCTAGATTCTAGCCAATACGAGAGCTGAAGTGTGTCATATCCAAGTCATGTCCTTAACATTCATTCTTTTTCCATACTGGCTGGAAGGCAGTTGTGGTAGTGAGTCATCTCAGACCATGCAGGCAAGGGTGATACCACAAAGACCGCAGAATAGAGTTGGCTAATACTTGTACCTTGACAACTTCACAGAACAGGACTTTTACACAAGAGAAATAAATTTCTCTTTTGTTTCAGCCATTGTTGATTTGCATGTCCTAGCACAAAGCAGACTAATACAGTAACTGAAACAAAGTATCAAAAAGATATTCACAAATTGTGTAGCTCTGAGCAATACTAATTCTCATAAATACTTGAGAAAAAAACATACATTCCACAGAGGAGCGTCAGAAAAAAGGCACCATTATCTTCGAGGTTGTAACATGACAGTGGTCCAGCACCCAAGGTGTGTATCCTCTGCCCCTCAGCACTCGCCTGCCAGCAAAAAGGAGGCAGCAGAGGGACGGTATCTTCTATAAAAGTTGTTTTGTATACTTCAGTGTGATGCTGCTACTCTATACCACATAATGGTTAAGAGCACAGGCTTTGGAGTCAGAACGACTTTAGTCTGAACACCAGTTATCTTTTAGTAGTTACAAGAACTTGTGCAAGTTCTCACCTATAAACTGTGATAACTCAGAATTTTAAATAAGATATGATTGGGAAAATGCTTGGTATTGTGTCTAGAATGTGGCAAACAATAAATACATGCTTTTACTACTTTATGCTAATTAAATGACAACTTTCAGAAGACTATTATTGATAAACCAACTCAAATATGGAGACAGTTACCTCATTTTAAAAACAATGCTTCCTTTTTGGCCATGGCTAATTTGCTAATTTACAGGGCTCTCCTAATTCAGGATGATGACACTGCATTCTCAGTGGCTTGCTCGTTGAGGTGAGAAATTTGCCTCCAGTTCAACTTAGAGCTTGGTAACTACCCACTGTAGCATCAACAATCATGAATGAATCTAAATCTTTAGTTAACTCACAGCTTTCTACAGCTGCTGTAACAAATTACCACAAACTTCAGGGCTTAAAACAAAACCCATTTATTATATTAGTTCTAGAGGTCAGAAGTCCAAAATGGGTCTCACTGGTCTAAAATCAAGGTATTAGCAGGGCTGCATGCCGTCTGGATGTTCTAGTACGGAGCATCTAGCGAAAAAGGTTTCCTTGCCTTTTTCAGCTTCTAGAGCTCACCTGCATCCCTTGGCTTGTAGTCTCCTTCCTCCATCTTCAAAGCCAGCACTACAGCATCTTCAAATCTCTGACTGAACTTGTCTCCCTCTTCCCCATTTAAGGACCCTTGTGATTACACTGGACCCACATGGATAATCCAGGATAACCGCTCCAATTCAAGATCAGCTGATTAGCAAACTTAATTCCCCTCTGCCATGTAACACAATATATTCACAGGTTTCAGGGATTAGAATGTGGAAATATTTGGGCACCAGTTTTCTGACTAACACACTCATATACGTTTTCAGAACAAATAACTTCAATTTCCAGAGGTTTTTTTTTGGCTTTTTTTTTTTTTTTTTTTTGAGTCAGAGTTTCACTCTTGTTGCCCAGGCTGGAGTGCAACAGCGTTATCTCCGCACACTGCAACCTCTGCCTCCTGGGTTCAAGTGATTCTCCTGCCTCAGCCTCCCGAGTAGCTGAGATTATAGGTGCACACCACCACGCCCGGCTAATTTTGTATTTTTAGTAGAGATGGGCTTTCTCCATGTTGGTCAGGCTGGTCTCGAACTCCTGCACTCAGGTGATCCACCTGTCTCGGCCTCCCAAAGTGTTGGGATTACAGGCATGAGCCACCACGCCTGGCCAATTGCCAGAGTTTTGAAGAGAATAGTGATTATATTTTGACAGCAAGAGAGGAAAGATGTTCTAGTTAGGGGAACATACCTTCCATAGGAAGTTGTGTGCAAGATGCCTCTCTGTGTAATTTAAAAAACTGATCCCTTTTAACTATCACTGTGACAACTTCAATACAGTCTTAAGAGCTATTAATTTTTTTTATTAATTTTTAATTTTTTTGAGACGGAGTTTTGCTCTTATTGTCCAGGCTGGAGTGCAATGGTGCAATCTCAGCTCACTGCAACCTCCGCCTCCCGGGTTCAAGCAATTCTCCCACCTCAGCCTCCCAAGTGGCTGGGATTACAGGCACCCACCACCACGCCCGGCTAATTTTTGCATTTTTAGTAGAGACAGGGTTTCACTATGTTGGCCAGGCTGGTCTCGAACTCCTGACCTCAAGTGATCCACCCGCCTCAGCCTCCCAAAGTGATGGGATTACAGGCATGAGCCACCGCGCCCAGCCATAAGAACTATTAATTTTTATACTGCCTATGTGAACCAGGTGTTAAAAAACAAAATGAAACAAAAAAATTAAATAATTTAAAAAACATGCTTCACTCTCGGCCAGGTGCAGTGGCTCATGCCTGTAATCCCAGCACTTTGGGAGGCTGAGGCGGGTGGATCACCTGAGGTCAGGAGTTCGAGACCTGCCTGGCCAATATGGCAAAACTCCGTCTCTACTAAAAGTACAAAAAAAATTAGCCAGGCATAGTGGTGTATGCCTGTAATCCCAGCTACTCGGGAGGCTGAGGCAGGACAATTGCTTGAACCCAGGAGGTGGAAGTTGCAGTGAGCCAAGACTGTGCCACTGCACTCCAGCCTGGGCAACAGAGTGGGACTCCATCTCAAAAAAAAAAAAAAAAAAAAAGCTTCTTTCTCAAGGAATTAGAGAAAAGAAGAGCAAACTAAACCCAAAGCTAGCAGTAGATAATAAATAGAAAGGAGGGCCAGTGCAGTAGTTCATGCCTATAATCCCAGCACTTTGGGAGGATGAGGTGGACAGATCACTTGAGGTCAAGAGTTTAAGACCAGCCTGGGCAACAAAGTGAAACCCTATCTCTACTAAAAATACAAAAATTAGCCAGGCATGGTGGCACACGCCTGTAATCCCAGCTACTTGGGAGGCTGAAGCATAAGAATCACTTGAACCTGGAAGGCAGAGGCTGCAATAAGCCATGATCACGCCACTGCACTCCAGCCTGGGCAACAGAGCAAGACACTGTCTCAAAAAAAAAATATATATATAGATATATATATAGAATGCAGATAAACGAAATTAGAGAATAGAAAAACAATTTTAAAAATTAAACAGTTGGTTTTTTTAAAAGATCAACAAAATTGGTAAACACTTAGCTAGATTAACTAAGAAAGAAAGAGCTGAGCACGGTGGCTCACGCCTGTAATGCCAGCACTTTGGAAGGCCAAGGTAGGCGGATCACCTAAGGTCGGGAGTTTGAGACCAGCCTGACCAACATAGAGAAACCCTGTCTCTACTAAAAATACAAAATTAGCTGGGCGTGGTGGCCCATGCCTGTAATCCCAGCTACTCGGGAAGCTGGGGCAGGAGAATCGCTTGAACCTGGGAAACGGAGGTTGTGGTGAGCCACAATCGAGATCGCACCACTGCACTCCAGCCTGGTGCGAAACTCCATCTCAAAAAAAAAAAAAAAAAAGAGAGAGAGAGGCTGGGTGTGGTGGCTCACACTTGTGATCCTAGCACTTCGGGAGGCCAAGGTAGGAGGATCACTTGAGCCCAGGAGTTTGAGACCAGCCTGGGCAACACAGGGAAACCCTGTCTCTACCAAAAAAAAAAAAAAAAATATATATATATATATATATATACACACACACACACACATATATCTCCTTACCTAACATTACATACGTTATTTTTTAATATGTATGTAGCGTTAGGTAAGAATCCAGCATATTTTTACATATATAAATAAAAAATACGTTATATATACAATATATATATTTTATGTGTTTACTATATACATACACACGTATATATAACATATATATTAGCCAGGTATGGTAGCATCAGGTGAGAGGACTGCTTGAGTCCGGGAGGTTGAGTCTGCACTGAACTGTGATTGCCACTGCACTCCAGCCTGGGTGCCAAAGCAAGATCCTGTCTCAAAAAAAGACAGAAAGGAGGAGGGAGGGAGGGAAGAAGTAAGGGAGAAAAGAGATGCAAATAACTAAAATCATAAAGAGGAGACATTACAACCAATGCCACAAAAATAAAAAGGATTATGAGAGTTCTAGGAAAACATGTATGCCAACAAATTAGATAAACTAGAAGAAATGGATAATTTCCTAGAAACACACAACCTACTAAAGACATACAAAGCCTGAGTAAACCTATAACTAGTAAGGAGACTGAATCAGTAATAAAAAATCTCCCACAAAGAAAATCCCTAGACTGATAGCTTCACTGATGAATTCTAACCAGACATTTCAAGAACTAACACACCAAGCCTTATGAAACTTTTCCAAAAAATTGAAGAGGCGAGGTCACGTCCTAACTTATTCTATGAAGCTAGCATTACTCTGATACCAAAGCCAGACAAAGATACTACAAGAAAACTACTGATCAATATCCCTTATGAATACTGATGCAAAATTTCTCAATAAAATATTAGCAAACTGAATTCAGCAGGATATTAAAAGGATTATATACCATAACCAGGTGGGATTTATTCCACAGTGAACAAGGTGTTGAAGTGGTGAAAGTGGGCATCTCTGTCTTGTTCGTGATCTTAGAGGAAAAGCTTTAAGTATTTTGCCACTGAATATGTTGTTCACAGTAATCAAAATGTGTGCTACTGGTATAAAAACAGACACAGGGACCAATGGAATAGAATGGAGCCTAGAAACGACCCTCACATACACGGTCAAGCAAATTTTGACAAAGGCGCCAAAACCATTCAATGAGAAAAGCACAGTCTTTTCAACAAACGATACCGGGAAAACTGGATACACACATATAAAGAATGAAGCGGGGGCCGGGCGCGGTGGCTCACGCCTGTAATCCCAGCACTTTGGGAGGCCGAGGCGGGCGGATCACGAGGTCAGGAGATCGAGACCATCCCGGCTAAAATGGTGAAACCCCGTCTCTACTAAAAATACAAAAAATTAGCCGGGCGTAGTGGCGGGCGCCTGTAGTCCCAGCTACTTGGGAGGCTGAGGCGGGAGAATGGCGTGAACCCGGGAGGCGGAGCTTGCAGTGAGCCGAGATCCCGCCACTGCACTCCAGCCTGGGCGACAGAGCGAGACTCCGTCTCAAAAAAAAAAAAAAAAAAAAAAAAAAAAAAAAAAAAAATAATGAATGAAGCGGGATCCTTACCTAAACACTACTTATAAAAATTCAAAATGGATCAAAGGCCTAAATGTAAGAGCTAAAACTATAAAACTCTTAGAGGAAAACCAATACAGTTTGGCTGTATCCCCATTCAAATCTCAGCTTGAATTGTTATCTCCTAGAATTCCCACATGTTGTGGGAGGGACCCAGAGGGAGGTAACTGAATCATGGAGGCCAGTCTTTCCCGTGCTATTCTCGTGATAGTGATTAAGTTGCATGAGATCTGATGGGTTTATTAGGGGTTCCCACTTTTGCTTCTTGCTTATTTTTCTCTTGCCACTGATGTAAGAAGTGCCTTTCACCTCCCACCATGATTCTGAGGCCTCCCCAGCCATATGGAACTGTAAGTTCAGTTAAACCTCTTTTTCTTCCCAGTCTCGGGTATGTCTTTATCAGCAGTGTGAAAACCAACTGATACAGTAAATTGATACCAGTAGAGTTGGGCGCTGCTGAAAAGATACCCGAAAATGTGGAAGCGACTTTGGAACTGGATAACAGGCAGAGGATGCAACAGTTTGGAGGGCTCAGAAGAAGACAGGAAAATGTGGGAGTTTGGAACTTCCTAGAGACTTGAATGGCTTTGACCAAAAGCCTGATAACAATACGGACAATAAGGTCCAGGCTGAGGTGGTCTCAGATGGAGATGAGGAACTTGCTGGGAATTGGAGTAAAGGTGACTTTTGTTATGTTTTAGCAAAGAGACTGGGGCATTTCGCCCCTGCTCTAGAGATCTGTGGAAGTTTGAACTTGAGAAAGATGATTTAGGGTATCTGGCAGAAGAAACTTCTAAGCAGCAAAGCATTCAAGAGGTGAGTTGGGTACTGTTTAAGGCATTCAGTTTTATAAGGGAAGCAGAGCATAAAAGTTTGGAAAATTTGCAGCCTAGTCCTGTCCAAGAGAACCCTGATTAATACAAAAACATAGGGGAAAAGCTTCATGATATTGGATTTGGCATTAATTTCATGGATATGACACCAAAGGCACAGGCAACAAGAGAAAAAGACAACATAAACTTCATGAAAATTAAAACCTTTTGTACATCTAAGGACACCGTACAAAATGAAAAGGCAACCTACAGAATGGCTCTATCACCCAGGCTGGAATACAGTGGCGGGATCTCAGCTCACTGCAACCTCTGCCTCCCAGGTTCAAGCAATTCTCCTGCCTCAGCCTCCCAAGTAGCTGGGATTACAGGCGCCCCACCACCATGCTCGGCTTTTTTTTTTTTTTTTTTTTTGAGATGGAGTTTCACTCTTGTCACCAAGGCTGGAGTGCAACGGTACGATCTCGGCTCACTGCAACCTCCACCTCCCGGGTTCAAGTGATTCTCCTGCCTCAGTCTCCCAAGTAGCTGGGATTACAGGCGCCCACCACCAAGCCTGGCTAATTTTTGTATTTTTAGTAGAGACGGGGTTTCACCACGTTGGCCAGGCTGGTCTCAAACTGCTGACCTCAGCTGATCCACCCGCCTTCGCCTCCCAAAGTGCTAGGATTACAGGAATGAGCCATTGCGCCCAGCCTTGCACCTGGCTAATTTTTGTATTTTTTAGTAGAGACAGGGTTTTGCCATGTTGGCCAGGCTGGTCTCGAACTCCTGGCCTCAGGTGATTTGCCCACCTATAGACCTCCCAAAGTGGTGGGATTACAGGCGTGAGCCACTGTGCCTGGTCAGTACTCTTTTTTAAATATTTATTTTTAGGCAAGCTCTTGCTCCATCACCCAGGTTGGAGTGCAGTGACACTCATGGCTTACTGCAGCCTCAAATTCCCAGGCTCAAACAATCCTACCACCCCAGCCTCCCTAGTAGCTGGGTCTATAGGTGAGCACCACCACACCTGGCTAATTTTTCAAAAAATTTTTTGTAGAGATGGGTCTCACTATGTTGCCCAGGCTGGTCTCAAATTCTTGGCCTCAAGAGATCTTTCCGCATAGGTCATTTTTTTTGTTTTTGTTTTTAAGAGACGGGGTCTCATTATGTTGCCCAGGCTGGTGTCATACTCCTTGGATCAAGCAATTCTCTTGCCTTAGTCTCCCATGTAGCTGGGATTACAAGTGCATGCTCCTGTGCCTGGCTCAAAAAATCAAGTAGCTGGGATTATAGGTGCATGTTACTGTGCCTGGCTCAACAGATTTTTAATTTAAAAAAAGCTTCACTACAGCTTGATTACTAAAGACTAAAGACTAAAATTGGACCCCAGTATCATTTAAGCCATTCCTGCCAACAAAAAGCTCAATTTCCAAACACTTTAATACACATGGACTCTGGACCAAATCCCCCGCAACTGTACTGATGTGCTTCGAACTCACCTTCGCTTTGGTGCCCTAATGAAGAGCTCACAGAGAAGTCTGCCCTGTTCATCCTTATAGTCTCGGATGGTATTATAGAGTTCATGGCACACGGCAATCTACACATTAGCAAAGGAGAAAAAAATCACTAAAAAAGTGAACAGAAAGCCAGTGTAGACATAAGAATTATTTTCTACTCTTCAATAAAAGGCAAGTAGAGAAGAAAAATGATGACTCTCAATATTACCAAACATGCTAAAGTCTGAAATATGCTGACAATATGTCTCCTTTCAAACAACTGAGTTGACTAACTTTTTGGTATCTTTCATCAGATTTATGCTCCTGGTGATTTTGTCTTCTAAACTATATCAGTTCATCACTTTCTTGCTTAAAGTCATCCAATTGAAGGGTTTTCTTCTTTGAAACTAAATCAGTTTATCACTCTCTTGCTTAAAGCCATCTGACAGAAGGGTTTATCACTTCACAGAGAATAAAATCTAAACTCCAAACATTGCTTGTGTGGGCCCTACATACTCTGAATGGGTGGAGCTTGCCAGTTTCCTTCTCCTTCCTGACCATCCCCTGCTCTGTAACCAAGACACACAAAACTCATCCCTGACCCAACCCCTCTGCACTGGTTCTGTCTGGAACTCTCTTCCAGCGAATTCAGGCCAAAACAGCCCAAATCACCCAAAATTTTCTTCTTAGCACTTATTACTAGCTAAGGATACATTATTCTTTATTCGTTTACTTGTTTACATTCTACTTCCCCCGCCTGGAATCTAAGTTCCATGTGAAAAATGGGCTTGTTTCCACATGGCTATATCCCAACCATGAGAACAGTGCTTGTCACATGATAGTCACACAGTTATTTGCTGAATTAATATATGATGTAACATACTGAAATTATTCATAAGATCACACTATTACTCTAAGACTTAGCTGAATACATAATGTTCATAAAAGAAAAGACTATTAATCAAGAGAATCTTAAAAAAGTGGAGATGCCTTGCATCGTAACAATTTTACCATTAAAGGGAAGATAGGGGAATTGTGGGAAGAGCAGGCAGAAACCATGTAATCCAAGTTACTCACAGGATCTACAGTTGGAAGATTGGAAAGTCTCCTCCTTTTCCTGCTTGGGCCTGGTGTTGACACAGAATGGTGCCCATCATCAAAGTCCCCGCTGACACTGCTGGAAGGGGAGGTAGCTCTTCTTCTCTTGGAACCCATGGAATCCAACTTCTTCTATAAGAAATAATCAGCCATGTTCTTACATTTAAATAGACTCTGTCACCAAGTCTTCAGCTGGACACCTGCTACCAAACTCCTGGCTCACTTAGGAG
Source organism: Homo sapiens (assembly GCF_000001405.40). NCBI lineage: Eukaryota > Metazoa > Chordata > Mammalia > Primates > Hominidae > Homo > Homo sapiens. The sequence continues at coordinate 52,679,825 of NC_000003.12, forward strand.
GATATTTTAACGTGTTGTAGTTTAACTAGCTATAAGTTTTTTTTTTTTTTTAAGCCCTGGACTTCCTTGTTTTAGTCTTTCACTTACCAGAATGCTATACTTCCAATTTTGATGGGACAAATTCAACAAAAGCATATTCATTTGTATATCAGCAATCTTGAATGACTCAACTTCTGGCTCCAAATTTGGCCTAGAGTTTCCCAACCTATATGTAGCAGTACATTAGTGTGCTGAAGGTATTAAGCCTTCAGCCCATGAGGCAGTCAGGCAGGCCTGGGGTACAGAGGCCCCAAGGTATCCACCTCTGGAGTCAGCACCTCATCTGCTTCTCTATGTGCCTTACAATTATGATCATTTGCTAGGTGGGCCATCATGTGGAAAAGAGCAAGAAGCAGAGCCCAGGACAAATGAGTAGTGCAAAAAGGTAAGGGGACAGAGGACAATTAACCTTCTAGCACTTTAGATGTACTCTAAAATTAAAACCCTGAAAATGAATGTTCTCCATTCATTAAAACAGGATCCACAAGACATATCCCTGGAAAACACTTAATGAGACTTGCTATACCTAGACAGAGGTACAAACTATCCTTTGAAACTCTTCTGTTAATTCAAACTAATCACCTTTTAGTGATATGACATACTCTAACTATAACACGTACTCTATTTAACTATAACAATTTTAACTATAACTCTATTTACAACACAAGAAATGCAACCACTGAATGATCTGCTACAGATAGTATATACCCAAGAAAGTCCTGCAATGCTTATATTGCAATACAATCTAACAATACTATCAAATAGTATATTGTGATTTGAAAGGCCTTTTTCTTTCTTTCTTTCTTTCTTTTTTAGGTGGAGTCTCGCTCTGTCACCAGGCTGGAGTACAGTGGCACGATCTCTGCTCACTGCAACCTCCCTCCACCTCCCAGTTTCAAGCGATTCTCCTGCCTCAGCCTCCAGAGTATCTGGGACTAAGGCGTGTGCCATCACACCCAGCTAATTTTTGTATTTTTAGTAGAGACGGGGTTTCACCATGTTGGCTAGGATGGTCCCAATCTCTTGACCTCGTGATCCGCCCGTCAAAGGCCTTTTTCTAAAGCTAAAAGAAAAAAAAAGATCCCAGTTTCACTCATCAACACTGAAGGTATTGATCCTTCAGCCCCTGAGGTAGTCAGGCAGGCCTGGGGTTCAGAGGCCCCAAGGTATTCACTTCTTGAGTCAGCACCTCATCTGCTTTTCCATGTGCCTTACAATTATGAGGAACCTCATAGAACTAGAGTACCTCATAATTGTAAGGCACATGGAAACACTGAATTTCAGGACACTACGACACCAGCAGCTGAATGATTAGAACAGGAGAACACTGGTTGCCAGCAGTATGGAAAGAAAGGTTGGGGATCTCCAGGAAACAGAAAGAAGGAGCAAAAGAATCACATTTGAAAATCCTGGTGAGCAATTAAGGAAAAAGAGAAGTCTCAGATCTCTTTTTCCAAACTAAAGTCCACATGGTGTTTAAAACAAAATCTACCACGATGATGTTCCTTACTCTAGGCTTCGGTTTGTTATACAGTATTATTAGTTTGAAGTTGGCTAAAAGTAGTTAAAATCGTCAAAAGGCTTAGCCAAAACTTAGCCAAGTTTTGCTGATTTTTGTTCATTTTATAAAAAGCTGATCAACAGGACTCAATTCATTAAGATAAATTAAGGACCAATCCCTTTTAAACAATCTATGACAAAGACACAAGTGAATTTGATGAACATAAGGAGGGAATCTTTGTGGAAAGGATAACAAAAATTTAAGAAAGGTGGAAGGAAAAAGTCAAGGAAGGACAGAAAAGGGAAAGGGTGTAGATAATCAGTAATTTACCAGCTTTACCAGAGCACAACCAGCGCCTCGAAAAGCCAGTCTCCTCATTATGTCTGAAAGCCAAGTGAAGCCAGTGGGAGAAGGAAGGGCTTTAGAAGTGCTGATTCAGTGTTAGTATATTCAAAACTGAAAAAGAAGAACAAGGCAGAGAAGGGGGAAATAGAAAAGAAGGGTCAGAAGGAGTAAAAATGAGTACGAATAGATAGAAAACATTCAAATAGAACTGCTAAAGAAAGATAAAGAGAACTGGAGAAAACAGGCATATCAGTTCTCTTGTACCTATCAAACAAACTGCTGCAAAGGCTCAGGCACTAACAGTACCTGACAGTTCTTCCATTTTAAAACCAAATGCTTTCATATGTTTAAAGATGTCTCATTGAGGTTCCCCTTTACTCACATTAGGAATGACTGTCAATTCCAGGAATGAGGCATGCCTGCCCAACTGCCCCCTAGTCAATAAGAGCAGAGTTCAATCACAGAGCTGGAATGGAGAGTGAATACATGTGGGAGGCTCACATGTGACACCAAGTGTTGGCAAGCTGGAACAAACCAAGAATGGCTCATGTGAGCAAAAGGTCTGGAAAACACCCTCCCCCACAAAAAAAAAATTCAGAGAAAGAACATTTATTTCCAAAAGTCCTATCTGCATTGGAGACACCATATAAAAATTTGACAAGGTTAAAAAAAAAAAAAAAAGGGCCAACCATTTTGGCAGGAGTTCAAAATTACTTTTATAAATAATCCACTGAAAATCAAATGACAAAAAAATACATTATCAGCATGTGTATGTCGTTCGGATGACACAATATCCCAATATCCTTGAATCATTAATTTACTTTGGTAAGATAAGAAAAAGTTTCAACTTAAGGATAATTTTCAAGTATTTTCTTATCCATGGGACACATTTTAAAATGTATTTTGAAAGTCTGACAAGAAGGGCAATGTTATAAGGTGGGAGAAACAACAGGACCTTTGCTCCTAAGACCAGAATAGGAGTCCTAAGTCTTCCACCTCTGATTATCAGCTTGATGTTGTCTGATTAGTTGATGTAACCTCTCAGATCTGTTTCATCTCTAAAATAAGAACGTAATGCCGGGAGTGGTGGGTCATGCCTGTAATCCCAGCACTTTGGAAGGCCGAGGCCAGTGCATCACTTGGAGTTCGAGACCAGACTGGCCAACGTGGTGAAACCCTGTCTCTACTAAAGAAAAATACAAAAATTTAGCTGGGTGCGGTGGCTCATGTCTGTAATCCCAGCGCTTTGGGAGGCTAAGGCGGATGGATCACCTGAGGTCAGGAGATCAAGACCATCCTGGCTAACACGGTGAAACCCCGTCTCCACTAAAAATACAAAAAAAATTGGCTGGGCTTGGTGGCACGCACCTGTAATCCCAGCTACTTGGGAGACTGAGGCAGGAGAATCGCTTGAACCCGGGAGGCGGAGGTTGCAGTGAGCCGAGATGGCACCACTGCACTCCACCCTGGACGTCAGAGCAAGACTCTGTCTCAAAAAAATAATAAAAAAAAAAATTAGCTGGCTGAGGCAGTGCATGCCTGTAAACCCAGTTACTTGGGAGGCTGAAGCATGAGAATTGCTTGAACCCAGGAGGCAGAGGTTGCAGCAAGCCGAGATCATACCACTGCACTCCAGTCTGGGTGACAGAGCGAGACCGTCTCAAGAAAAAAAAAAAAACAACATAAAGTGAAATCACTTCTGCATGTTCCCCAGGCACAGGAACAGCATATTCATTTTTGTAGACCTGTCTTACAGGATAGTATTTGGTATAGGTTATGTGCTCAGTTTATCTTTTAATAAATGTATTAAAAGTGCACTTAGGGCCAGGCACAGTGGCTCATGCCTGTAATCCCAGCAATTTAGGAGGCTGAGGTGGGCAGATCACCTGAGGTCAGGAGTTCAAGACCAGCCTGGCCAACACGGTGAAACCCCGTCTCTATCAAAAATACAAAAAATTATCTAGGCAAGGTGGTGGCATGCACCTGTAATCCCAGGCACTCGAGAGGGTGAGGCACGAGAATTGCTTGAACCAGAGAGGCAGAGATTGCAGTGAGCTGGGATTGCGCCACTGCACTCCAGGCTGGGGGACAGAGTAAGACTGTCTCCAAAAAAAACAAAAAAAAAGTGCACTTGAGACCTTCAAAAAAAAAAGTTTATTTGTATAGTTTAAAAGTCCTCAGCCAGGCACAGGGGCTCATATCTGTAGTCCCAGCACTTGGAGAGGCTGAGGCAGGATGACCGCTTGAGGCAGAGAGTTCAAGACCAGACTGGATAACATAGATTGATCTTTTCTCTACAAAAATTAAAATTAGCTGGGTGTGGTGCTGCACATCAGTAATCCCAGCTACTTGGGATGCTGAGGTGAGAGGACTGCTTGAGCCTAGGAGCACAAGGCTTCAGTGAGCCATGATCACTTTACTGAACTCCAGCCTGGGCAACAAAGTCAGACCTTGTCTCAAAAAAAAAAAAAAAAAAAAAAAAAAAATGCCTGTAAGCATCCCTTCAGCAATTTTGTCTTTCCATGAAGAGGAAAGACAGATTCCAGAGTTCAATGCCAAGTTTTAAAATGGCCTTGATTACAGTTACAAGTTCAAAAGTCTAACAATCAATAATTTATAGTGGACAGTTAAGAATACTTAATAATGTGCAACTGGGAGAATATCGACTTACTATAGACAAACAGTGTATTTCGACCGTTTATGAACTTTAGCCCTCTCCTATATTTCTAGTAATATTTAGCAATACAATACATGTTTAAAACAAAATCTTGGAAAACAGGACTCAAAGGAAAAAAAACACCTATAAACCTACTTCCAAGAAAAAAACCACTCTTAACGTTGTCATTCGGTTTTTGGTATTTATGCCTTAGTTACCTATTATTTTTTACCAAAATGTTAACAAACCACATATATTATTCTACAGCCTGTGTTTTAGTGAAGGTTCTTCCAAGTCAACATTCTTCCTCATGATGTTTGATGACTTGATAGTAATCTATCATATAGATACACCACAATTTACTTATCTTGGGAATTTTGGTAGGATATTAACATTTGAGGTATTTTGTACATTCCCAAAGCCAAAGAAAGCGGTCAAGGCCCTTCCATTCATCCACACATAAACTCTTTATTGTTTTAATTTGAAACACCTCTTCAAAACATATTTTCCAATCTTCCATTTTGGAGCTCAAAATCAAATATGGGCGACCTGTAAGTAATAAAGCAAAAATTATGCTACTCTTTTATGTGCATGAGTCCAATTTGCACTTTTTGGGGAAAAGCACATAGCCAAATGGAGAAAAAAATAATACCTAAAATTATTTGTCAAGAATCCTGTGTTGGAAAGTAAGTTAATTAAAACAATTCACCCCAACATACGCTTCTATAATTATTGTAAGAATTTCTATATCCACTATACCGTGTACTTATTTTTCAGGGCTTTTTCTATATTTTTGCAACTCTTTCTTCCCCTTTAAATTAAAACTTATTATAATAACAAAACTGTGCTTCCCCAAACCAAGAAATATACACAGTTCCCAAAATCCCGGATTCTTTGTGGTGTTGAGAAGCTGAAATATCTGGCCTCTACTATAAATACAAGTCCCATTGATTAAAATACCCGGAAAAAATACGGAAAGAAAATCACTAAGAGTTTGTGTCGAACCGTCAAGAAACCACAACAAAAAAAAGAGGCCCTGAGCAACGGAGGAAATGAAGGACTTTCCCGACCTGTCACTGGTATTGGGGACTGAGGGAAACGTTGACAGCTTTGAAGCTGCCCCGCGACGAGCGGGAAAGAGGAGCGCGGGGAGTTTCCGACCCGTAGTGCGCCTTTGTCCCTGCCGGCAGGTGCGACAAGGCTACTGGGCCCATCCGGAGGCCAGCCGCCGCGCCCCGCCCAACCCCGCGCGCCCGGCCCGACCCGCGCGTCCCCACGGCCGGGGCGGGGCTTCCGCCGCGGCTCCCGCCCGCCCGGGCCCACACAAAGGCCCGGCAGCTGACCAAGGGGGAGCGGCCCCACCCGCCCTGGGCCCGGCCTTACCCAGCCGCTCCGCCGCCTGCAGCCCCGGCCGCGGTCACCGACCGCCGCGCCCCGCCCCGTGGCCGCCACGGCTGCTGCTATTGCTCCTCCGGCCGCGGCCGCTGCCGTCGCTTCGGCACCCGCCGCCCTCACCTCCCTTACCCCTCCCGGTGCCGCCGCAAAACCAGTCCCGCGGCCGCCAAGCGATCCCTGCTCCGCGCGACACTGCGTGCCCGCGCACGCAGAGAGGCGGTGACGCACTTTACGGCGGCAGCGTAAGTGCGTGACGCTCGTCAGTGGCTTCAGTTCACACGTGGCGCCAGCGGAGGCAGGTTGATGTGTTTGTGCTTCCTTCTACAGCCAATATGAAAAGGCCTAGTAAGTGGGGTCGGGAGGCGGGCGTGGAGGGACCCACGTCTGGAAGTTGCTGCAGCCACCACGACGCTCTTCTACGGCTACGGCTTTGTCTCTGCTGGTATGGGGGTGGGAGCCTACGCGTAGGCCTTGGCCCTATTTCCTGGTAGAACCGAGAGTTGGAAGTCCCTACGGCGATCATGTTAACCGCGCGGGCTCATTCTGCGGAACGAAGCCGGGCAGAGGGTGGGGAAGACTAGGCTAGATTTTCGTAAGGAAGCAGCGTCTGAGCCAGGTTTGAGGCCCAATATTTTCTTTCCGTGGCCACGTGCAGACTGGCCCAGGTGAGAGCTGAGAATCGCCTCCCAGACTCAGTGTTCCTCTCCTGCCTTATGATTCGTGCTGTTTGACACGAAGTGGTTGTCGTTTTGTGTCTCATACGCTGTTGTGTATGATCCCATTCTAATATTGTGAGGGTAAGTGCAGGGAATTTTGACTCCATTCTGGATCTACTGAATTTAATTCTCTGGGATTTGAAAGTAGCACGTATGTTTGCATTAGGCATTTCGCATTAGACTTAACGTTAGGTTTGGTAGCCAATAACACAAGAAAAGGATATAACTCCATAGTGCGTTAACCCAGAACTAATCATTTGGGTTAACAGATTTGTGATGTGTTTCTTTGTAGAGTTAAAGAAAGCAAGTAAACGCATGACCTGCCATAAGCGGTATAAAATCCAAAAAAAGGTAAGTGTAGTGCTTGAGAGAGCTGTACCAAACACATTGCTAAACTGATTTTGCCCTGTTCCTTTGCGGGAAAGTCTGGGTTAATGTGATTTGGTTTTGGGAAATGGCATTGGATAGACTGACCATGGGCACAAGCTCTTAGGCATCAGGAGTGCAGCTGTGAGAAAGTGCAGTGATTTGGTGATAAGTCTCTAAATTTGTTCAGCATGTTAATCTCTGCATAGAGAGCCTTCTAGTTACAATTTCTTGCTGTTTTATACTTACATATGCATTACTTTGTAAGATTCCAATTAAAGCTCCATTTTCCTAGGACATTTTATAGGCATAACTAAATTGCAGCCAGATTGGTTTCTCACTTGAATTCTGCTTAAGTATAAAGATATTTTTGTAAGCAGACAAAATCTCTTTATTTTAATAGGTTCGAGAACATCATCGAAAATTAAGAAAGGAGGCTAAAAAGCGGGGTCACAAGAAGCCTAGGAAAGACCCAGGAGTTCCAAACAGTGCTCCCTTTAAGGAGGCTCTTCTTAGGGAAGCTGAGCTAAGGAAACAGAGGGTAAGTTATGTTAGCCAGAATTTTCATTGAGTGGTGTAGTGTGTTATGTGTGATATTTTTCAGAGTAAGGTAACAACACTAGTCACTGGTTCACCTATTTCCCTTATGGCTCTGACAGCTTGAAGAACTAAAACAGCAGCAGAAACTTGACAGGCAGAAGGAACTAGAAAAGAAAAGAAAACTTGAAACTAATCCTGATATTAAGCCATCAAATGTGGAACCTATGGAAAAGGTATGATTAGGTCTCTTTATGAATGAGAGATCAGGGGTTTTGATTTTGGTTTTTTTGCTTGGGCCTGAGTGCAGTGGCACAATCACAACTCACTGCAACCTGGACCACCCAGGCTCAAGCAGTCTTACCACCTCAGTCTCCAAGTAGCTGGGACTACAGAAGCACACCATCACGCCTGGCTAATTTTTTTTAGCAGACACGGGCTTTCACTATATTGCCAAGGCTGGTCTCAAGTGATCCACCCAACTCAGCCTCCCGAAGTTTCTGGTATTACAGGTGTGGGCTGTTGTGCCTGGCTGAGAGATGAGTTCTGATGCAGAAATAAAAGCACATCCACAGGCTGCTGAGCTTCTTGGGAGGAAGACAACTGAGTTCAGACTCCATCTTACCTATTTAACAACTGCAAGGGCTGCTACTCAGCTGTGGAAAATGGAGTTAGAGGTTACAGTTGCTCTACTTCTAATTTTGTGTTATTTCCCCCTTTATCCTCTAGGAGTTTGGGCTTTGCAAAACTGAGAACAAAGCCAAGTCGGGCAAACAGAATTCAAAGAAGCTGTACTGCCAAGAACTTAAAAAGGTATCTTAGCCTAGGTCAGTGTCTGACAGTAGTAATGAGGTTTAAAAGACTCAAGTCATTTTTTTTTTAACCTTTTAAGATGAAGGGTGCATGTGCAGGTTTGTTATATGGGTAAACTTGCGTCATAGGGGTTTGCTGTACAGATTATTTCATCACCCAGGTATTAAGCCTAGTACGACATTAGTTATCTTTCCTGATCCTCTCCCTCCTCCCACCTTTTCACCAACAAATCATTTCGTGACTCGACTCTAGCTTATGCTGTTTAATGCCTTTCCTGCTATGTTTACCTGACGGAAATAGTTTCTTTGGTTCTAAATATTTGCACAAAACTGGTTCTGCCTGTAAGCATGATTTACAACATTAAAAAAAAACGTTGACATAGTGTTGAGATTGAGAAAGGTACATTGGAGTAAGCAGTGTCAGGCTAAAGGTCTCTAAAGTACTCTGTTGAAACCTAAGTGAAGGAGGACAACTTGGTGTAGTTGCTCTCCAGCACTCCCATCCCCAACATCCATTTTCCCAAGCTCACTCCCCCATGGATAGAACCTGACTGCCCCTCAGCAGCTTTTGGCAAGGCCAGAAGGACCTATCAAACTATATAATTCACTATGGGAGGATTCAGACAGGGATATTTGCATTTTTGAAATCCATCTTGATCAGAGACTGCTGAGCAAGCCTATGTTTTACTTTCCTGTGTGAGAAATGATGAGGGTCAACATTCTTCATACCAAAGTGAAGACATGAGATCCAACTCTGAGCTCACCCTGTTGCTAAATGGATAATGCCAGTACTCTCTTGTGGAAGGTATTACCAGAACAAGGGATGTAGTTCTGATCATTTTCTCCTTGATAATGTAGTTCTGGTCATTTTTTCCTTGATAGGTGATTGAAGCCTCCGATGTTGTCCTAGAGGTGTTGGATGCCAGAGATCCTCTTGGTTGCAGATGTCCTCAGGTAGAAGAGGCCATTGTCCAGAGTGGACAGAAAAAGCTGGTACTTATATTAAATAAATCAGGTGAGTAAAGAGGGTACCCTTTGTCTTCTGTGTACATGGGTGAGGTACGAGGAAACAGTCTGATAGTCACTGAAGACTGATTAGATCCAACTCTGATCTCAGCAAAGCCAGAGTACGTGCACTTTGCCAGAGACAGTGCTAGGCAGTGGGGAGCCAGGTGACTTTTACAACTGACTCAACTGGTTTCTACTATTCTTTTGCCATTCAGTATTTACCATCTTTTAAATAAAGAGTGTAAGCTGCTATACCCAGCTTATTGTGTAGTATATTTCATCTAGGAAGTGATGACAGTGTGACAAATTCCCCACACCTACACAATGTCGGGTATTAGTTCAAGAGTGAAATAAATTGGAACGTATGTGACAAAATATTTAAATGAAATGCATAATTATGCATCTGAGTTTGAGCAGCAGGAAAAAGAAAACCCAGAACAGAGAATTACAAAGCAGAAAATGGGAATGAGATCTAAAATTGTTGTTGGGGTTAAGAAACAATTGGCTGCTTGGGAGGCTGAAGTGGGCACATCACTTGAGGCCAGGAGTTCGAGAAAAGCCTGGCCAACACGGCGAAACCCCATCTCTACTAAAATACAAATATTAGCCGGGCATGATGATGGGCACTTGTAGTCCCAGCTACTCGGAAGGCTGAGGCAGGAGAATTGCTTGAACCCGGGAGGCGGAGGTTGCAGTGAGCCGATACTGTGCCACTGCACTCCAGCCTGGGCAACAACACTTCGTCTCAAAAATGAAGAAACAATTGGCTGCTAGCTAAAGGTAAATTCTGGAAACATAGCTCTAGGGTTAGTAGGGTTGTAATCCAGACGTTGAGTCTGTCCTGAAGTTTTCAAGTGAGCAATACAAGGGGAATTGAAATAGAGAAGTGCAGATGCTGAGCTCTGTTAAGATACGGGCAGTATGGTAGGGGAGCTTACCCTGCCCTGATTTTCTAGTTAAATCCTTTTGAAAGGACTGGGAAAATGTAAACCAGAGTAAAATCTATAGTTGCCAGATTTTGCAAATGCATCTCAACAAAATAGCCACATTGGAGCAAATGTCTTTTTCTTTTTTTCTTTTTGAGATGGAGGCTTGCTGTGTCACCCAGGCTGGAGTGCAGTGGCGCCATCTCAGCTCACTGCAAGCTCCACCTCCCGGGTTCACGCCGTTCTCCTGCCTCAGCCTCCCGAGTAGCTGGGACTACAGGTGCCCACCACCACGCCCAGCTAATTTTTTTGTATTTTTAGTAGAGACGGGGTTTTATCGTGTTAGCCAGGATGGTCTTGATCTCCTGAACTCGTGATCCGCCTGTCTCGGCCTCCCAAAGTGCTGGGATTACAGGCGTGAGCCACCGTGCCTGGCCGCAAATGTCTTATTTCTAATTGCTATCAGATCTGGTACCAAAGGAGAATTTGGAGAGCTGGCTAAATTATTTGAAGAAAGAATTGCCAACAGTGGTGTTCAGAGCCTCAACAAAACCAAAGGATAAAGGGAAGATAACCAAGGTATCCTTTATTAGTGGTAAGAAATGTGATTCTTTCAGATTTTGGTTGAAATATGATGAGTGTACAAAATCTTGATTTAAGTGAATGAAAAATTACAAGATCCAACTCTGATTTCAGCCAGAGATCATCTGAAAGGCAATGTAGTTATCTTAAGAGCTGGGCTCTGGAGCCTGATTGCTTGGGGTTTGTTGAAATTTATCAGGTAAGTTGCCAGAATAATTCAACTATTTGGAATTTTAGCGTGTGAAGGCAAAGAAGAATGCTGCTCCATTCAGAAGTGAAGTCTGCTTTGGGAAAGAGGGCCTTTGGAAACTTCTTGGAGGTTTTCAGGAAACTTGCAGCAAAGCCATTCGGGTTGGAGTAATTGGTGAGTTTCAGTTCATTACTTTTTACTTTTTAAGTGTTGAAATAGTTAAGAAGTTTAGCCAGCTCTCCAAGTGCCCAAGCAGCAGTGTATGGAGTTGTTGTCAAGTAAAAGGCTCACTCAAATACTAGCTTCTTGCTTATACCTTACTGAAAGCACATAACCACACACAATTTAAAGAAAAAAACTTACACAACTGCTGCCAGATTCAGGTTTTTTGTTGGGACTGATTACTGTAGGAAGCTGGTTTCTAAAAGTTCTTGGTTTGTTTGAATTTATAGTATTTTCCTGCCTTTGCATTACTTGTGCAAGAAATGAAGAAACTAAAATTGGTCTTAGTATTGAAGTGAAGACACTGAGATCCAACTCTGATCTTGCCCTAAACATCAGGGAAATGGAAAATTAGGCAGTGAAAATTTCATAAGTGCCAACATATAATGCTTTTTATATCTGGATTTCCCATTTATTTGTAGGTTTCCCAAATGTGGGGAAAAGCAGCATTATCAATAGCTTAAAACAAGAACAGATGTGTAATGTTGGTGTATCCATGGGGCTTACAAGGTAAATGGAGGTGTCCATAATTGTAATATTATAGTGACACACTATTTTATTTTGGTTATCTCAAGGAAGGTGATTTTTTTTTTTTTTTTTTTTGAGACAGTTTCACTCTTGTTCCCAGGCTGGAGGGCAATGGCGCAATCTCGGCTCACTGCAACCTCCACCTCTCAGGTTCAAGTGATTCTCCTGCCTCAGCCTCCAGAGTAGCTGGGATTACAGGCATGTGCCCCCACGCCCGGCTAATTTTGTATTTTTAATAGAGACGGGTTTCTCCATGTTGGTTAGGCTGGTCTCAAACTCCTGACTTCAGCTGATCTGCCCGCCTCGGCCTCCCAAAGTGCTGGGGTTACAGGCCAAGCCACCGCGCCCGGCCTATTTTTATTTTTTAAAGCTTTTGGTGAAAGCAGAGATTTAAGCCAGTGCTAGAACTGATTGGAGTGGGACAGCTGCCCACAATTTAGTTTGAAAGACAAGTTCAGCAGATAGATTGAGAGAGAGGAAAGCTCCCTCAGAGGAAGTGATGTTTGAACCTGGCCTTGAGAAATTAATAGAAATTTGCCAGATAGAAGTCTGCCACCACACCTGGCTAGTTTTTGTATTTTTAATAGAGATGGGGTTTCACTGTTGGCCAGGCTAGCCTCAAACTCCTGGCCTTAAGTCATCCACCCGCCTAGGCCTCACAAAGTGTTGGGATTACACTTGTGTTGGGTGGCATGAGCCACTGTGCCTGGCCAACTTTTAGATTTTTTTTTTTTGGGAGATGGAGTCTGTCTCCCAGGCTGGAGTACAGTGGTGCTATCTTGGCTCACTGCAACCTCAGCCTCCTGAGTAGCTGGGATCAAAGGCACCCGGCTAATTTTTGTATTTTTAGTAGAGACAGGGCTTTCATCATGTTGGCCAGGCTGGTCTCAAACTCCTGACCTCAGGTGATCCACCCACCTCGGCCTCCCAAAGTGCTGGGATTACAGGCGTGAGCCACCGCGCCCAGCCAGAAGGTGGCATATTTATAGCAAAGGAAATAGCATGTGTTTTGGTTGATGTAAATATATAAGCTATAACATGTAGTGTTCTCTTTAGAACAGTCGGGTATGCTGTTACAGTTTTAGATAAATGTGAAGCAAATGATGATAAACTGGATCTGACTGACTGTGCTGAGTCTGTTCAATCCAACCCTGAGCTTCATGTTCTGTCTCTTAACCTCCAAATAGACCAATGCCCCCATCAATTCCATCGCTCTTCTTTCAGGAGCATGCAAGTTGTCCCCTTGGACAAACAGATCACAATCATAGATAGTCCGAGCTTCATCGTATCTCCACTTAATTCCTCCTCTGCGCTTGCTCTGCGAAGTCCAGCAAGTATTGAAGTAGTAAAACCGATGGAGGCTGCCAGTGCCATCCTTTCCCAGGCTGATGCTCGACAGGTAAAAGGACCCCTTCTCATGAGCTCCTTGGAGCCATCTTCTTTCATCATAAGCATTTTGAGTAGAAAAATCTTGGAAGTGTTTTAAAGTACTGGCATGTCAGATGAAGGACAGCTCCTTTGTTTGGTTTTTTTTTTAAGGTAGTACTGAAATATACTGTCCCAGGCTACAGGAATTCTCTGGAATTTTTTACTGTGCTTGCTCAGAGAAGAGGTATGCACCAAAAAGGTGGAATCCCAAATGTTGAAGGTGCTGCCAAACTGCTGTGGTCTGAGTGGACAGGGTAAGCTTTCTTTTCTGTTGGCATTTTGGTGACCACTAGAATAAACCTTCTTTTGACACATCTTATTTTTAATATCAGTGCCTCATTAGCTTACTATTGCCATCCCCCTACATCTTGGACTCCTCCTCCATATTTTAATGAGAGTATTGTGGTAGACATGAAAAGCGGCTTCAATCTGGAAGAACTGGAAAAGAACAATGCACAGAGCATAAGAGGTGAGAATTGTGTGTCGCTGCTGTCTTCATCAGCTGACAGGCCAGTGGAGCTCTTACCTGTTTACATGGGCTTGCTTTCTTTCCCAGCCATCAAGGGCCCTCATTTGGCCAATAGCATCCTTTTCCAGTCTTCCGGTCTGACAAATGGAATAATAGAAGAAAAGGACATACATGAAGAATTGCCAAAACGGAAAGAAAGGAAGCAGGAGGAGAGGGAGGATGACAAAGACAGTGACCAGGAAACTGTTGATGAAGAAGTTGATGTAAGTGTGTCCTCCATGAGTTAAAACTGAAGTGAGTTTTCTAGCATTATAATACATAATGGAAGGAACTGAAGATAGGAAATATTTGAGGCTTGTGATCCATTAGCCTTAATTTTGCACATCCCGTTATATGTACCTCCAAAGAGTTAATTTTTCAGGTACATAACTACTTGGATTAAATGAGCAGACAAGGGCTACTAATCCAGCACTATTTTTCTTTGTCACACAGGAAAACAGCTCAGGCATGTTTGCTGCAGAAGAGACAGGGGAGGCACTGTCTGAGGAGACTACAGCAGGTGAGGCAGGCAAAAGGGGTTCTAACGAAGCAGCATGGTATAGAATCACTTTTACTTTTTGAAAATCTCTTTATTTTCCTGCAATATAGGTGAACAGTCTACAAGGTCTTTTATCTTGGATAAAATCATTGAAGAGGATGATGCTTATGACTTCAGTACAGATTATGTGTAACAGAACAATGGCTTTTTATGATTTTTTTTTTAACATTTTAAGCAGACTGCTAAACTGTTCTCTGTATAAGTTATGGTATGCATGAGCTGTGTAAATTTTGTGAATATGTATTATATTAAAACCAGGCAACTTGGAATCCCTAAATTCTGTAAAAAGACAATTCATCTCATTGTGAGTGGAAGTAGTTATCTGGAATAAAAAAAGAAGATACCTATTGAAAAATGTAAGTTTTATTTACAGATCAGGCCACAGGTTACAAAATTAAAACCAACAGCAGTTTTGAATTATCTGTACCAGCTAGCTGAACTAGCCATATCAGTTCTTCTTTCCAGTCATTCAGCATTGTAGTAAGAAAACACTTGGTAAGGCAGATGGAGACATATTTATAGTCTATAGTCTGTCTGGGAAGCTGACTGCCAGACAGGGCAGTTTGTCATCTTTACCTAGCTGACACATCTTTTTCCATGGCTTGCTACCGATAGGCATTGAAGCCTAGCAACTGTTACTTCCCACGCATGCTATCTTCCAGGACTTCCTGAGAAATGCTTGCTTACAGTTCAAATTCTGTTTCACTTTATGTTTGAGATCTCGGTATATCTTCGGATTAGGTTGAATTTGCCTGTTGGGTCTGGAATATACCATTTTTCCCAAACATCAGTATATGAAGCAGTCCTTCCCCATGGCTTCAAATGTCCATTCCAATGGAGTAACTTGGCAGCCTTTACAAACTGAGGTGAATATCGTTTTCCAGCACTGGAACCTTACATTTGAGACAAAAATAGCCACATCGTTGCGCCATGTGAAATTGTGCAGAAAACTTACTTAAGGGAAACAAAGAATATACCCCATCCCTGAGGATAGTTCTTTAGATACCAATTCTTTACTAGCTTATGCCACTGGTTAATTCTACTTACCAAGGTGGCGGACATTCCACATAGGATCGATGGTAGAGTGCTGTTGATAAAATACGATAAGCAGAGGAGGTGTTGTGATGCTACCAGCCAGGGTTCTGCTATACAGTCCCTCTCTTGGTGGGACAGAAAACAAATGTTTGTTAGTGAAAAGTACTGACTAACTCCTGTTAGTCAAGACTCTAGGAATTGAAATACAACAGTTTTTCACAGCTAGGCCAGTTACATACTTACTCTACATTGAGTTTCATCCATTTTTCCAGTTGGTTAGTTATATTCTGTCGTTTCCATTCCGTCAGGTTTGCAACAAAAACTCCAGGATTAAATGAGCAAGTGCTGGCTTTCATGGAAAGCTTACGAATTCTTTCCTTTTTATAGTCAAGATAGCCAATGTAATTGTACTAAAAACACAAATAGGATATATGTACTTACTGCTTCAAACAAAATAGATACAATTTTATAGCCAGTAGAGAGAAGAGCTGTTAAACTGACTTCTTCAGATTAGAAAATAAATATTTGAAATTCCAAGTTAGAATAGGAACCTAGATGTTGACATAATAAACCAGATGTTCAAGAACAATTAGGCTGTCAAGTCCATGAAGAAGTCTACAGAAAAGCAGGCTTGAGTTTTGGGATGAAATGATTGGGGAGTGTAAATTGCAGCAAAAGAGTTCCCTGAATTTGCAACCTCTTCCCATTAAACAATATTGTAGGAAGAGGGGTGTTTGGTAAGCAATTTACCTGGTTTCCTGCTCCACGGATGACAACTTTAGTAGAGGCTGAATCACAATCTTCTGAAAATGCAGCTGCATGTCCTGGCTTCAGTGCTGTATTGTAAAGGGCAAGAATATCACCTGAAATAGACAAGATGTTAAGATTTACATTTCCGTTGCCTTGAGAGTTCCCTGTTACTCCCACTTCTCCCTATGGTGACCTTTTATAGAAGACCATAAATAAACCACTACAGCCCACTGTAGCCCATTGTTTTATTTAGCAATTGTACCCAATCTGGGTGGAGAACAGCACTCATGGTGACATTTTTGATACCTTGCACAATTACATCATCATCCATGTATATGGCCTTCTTTGCGCTGGGAACCAGAATTGGCAAGTAGAACCTTGCAAAGGTTAACTGGAAAAGGAAAGAATAATTGGCATAGGATACCGCACTAGCTGTGCTTTTATTTACACAGAAACTCCTAGGATGCTTTCAGTACCCATTCAGGAGAAGAAAGGACTCTTAGAACCACCCAGGCTTGGTCCCCAGGAAACTACTTGCACTATACCCACAGATACCCAGGTATTCCATTATTTCCTAATACTGCCAAGTGCAAAGAAGGATGCATGGAACTCACAGGTTTCATGGATTCCCCCTGGTCAGGATCCTCCTTTACTTTTCCTTCCAAAAGTTTAGGGTCAAAATTGACAATTTTGTATCTGATGCTTTTCAGGGAATCACTGTTGAGCCAGGACCTGATGAAGATAAAACACTACATTTTAGTTTCAAATAATGTCTCCAAACCAATGAGGGAATAATGCAAAAGAAACCCTATGGACCAAATAGGTGTTTTCAAGCTCCTTTTATCTCTGAGCTTTGGTTTCCTCGTCTGAAGTGAGGGTAATTCCCACCAAAGTCCCTCCCTGAATTAAGATTGTATGGTAATTATCTTCTAACACTAAAACTACTCTAGAAAAACTATAGAATTAAGAACATTTCATCACCACCTGGACTATCCAACTCTTAACTGTGGTGACCCTAATTCCACCACTCAAGTCTGAGGCACTACCTGTAAGAAAAAACTGTTTGCTAAAGGAGTACTGCACATTTTTTCTAGGTCAGTTTCAAATCAGTGTTTTGTGGCTACTTAGTGTTATTTCTGTAGTCTATTTTTATACAGCTTCTGTTTCTGTATTTTAAATGCGTTCAGAATTTACAGCTTTAAAAACTAAATATGAACCATGCAGAGGGCCACAAGGACCAAAATGTTTCAGAAATTTGACAACTGGTTAATTTGTTAGACCAACAAATTTGGAGTAAGTTTTATAAGTCTTATTCATTTTCAAAATGGATTAGACTATCCAAGTTTCCCCAGATCACTCTGGGCCAGGATTTGGATCAGGATCTGTGATCAGCATCACAACACTACCTTGCCATTGTTGCTAAGTCCCTTCCCACTCTAGACCAGAACTGCTCCGAGCATGTCCATGAAATAAGGAACTTGTGACTTGTAAATCAACATTTACTGCTCCCTTCACTGAGAAAGTATTATTATCAAAACACCATCAGGTGGGGTTAACAGTTCAGAGTGACAGCTGACTTACTTCCTGGCATGAGCTCCTTGTATCACTTCTCCTATTATGGGGATATGCTCATAATACAGTCCTAAAAAAAATATGTCATTTGTACAGTTTATCACTGGTACAATTTCAATTGTATAAAACAACATACAAACCACAGAAAAACAGATCCTGGATTGGCAGCTGGCCTGCTCTAAATCATCCTCTAGAAGCAGAATCACATAAGCAGAGCTCACCGGAGATGGTCTGCTGTATTGTTGAGAGTAACAATGTAG
Source organism: Homo sapiens (assembly GCF_000001405.40). Lineage (NCBI taxonomy): Eukaryota > Metazoa > Chordata > Mammalia > Primates > Hominidae > Homo > Homo sapiens. Next base: position 52,697,760 of record NC_000003.12, read on the forward strand.
AAAATCACATTGGAGCGAGTGTTGTGCTGAATGCTGTTTATAGCTGCAATGGCCCCCCCAAGCCTGTCTTCAGATGCAGCGATGACCACAGGAATCTCCTCTTGTCTCCCATCTACTGCATGTCGGAGAGCATTTGGGACAAAGTCTATAGGTTGAGGCCCTACAATTCCTGAATCTGAAAACACAAGGAAGGCACTGTGATTACAATCTCATGGGCTTTTGATATAGAGTCCAAGACATGGAAAAAGGGAAGGTAAGGATTATGGTACTGATCTACCTCATTCTCCCCCATTAAACTGAAGCATATAGCCCTGAAACTTTCCCTGTATGTAAATAAGCTTTTGGAAAAGTGGAGGAAGCATTTTTTAAAATACACTGACAGCACTTTGGTACACTACTGGTAGGAAAATAACAGAACCTGTTAGAATGTATTATGGCAATTTGTATCAAGAGTTTCCTAAGGACAAAATCTGAAATATAATCAAAAGAAAGAATTTTATTTAAATTGTGAAAACTTAGCAGCAAACTAAATCAATGTTTTTCAAGTCACGAATCACAAGTAGGCATGAAACCAATTGAGTGAGTCACAATCAATTTATACAGAAAAAGTTTCTGGATTGCAATAGAAAACTGAAATAGAGGCCGGGCATGGTAGGTCACGCCTGTAATCCCAGCACTTTGGGAGGCTGAGGCGGGTGGATCACTTGAGGTCAGGAATTTGAGACCAGCCTGACCAACATGGTGAAACCTCATCTCTACTAAAAATACAAAATGAGCCAGGTGTAGTGGTGAACACCTGTAATCCCAGCTACTTGGGAGACTGAGGCAGGAGAATCGCTTGAACTCGGGAGGTGGAGGTTGCAGTGAGCCAAGACTGTACCACTGCACTCCAGCCTGGGCAGCAATAGGAAAACTCCATCTCAAAAAAAAAAAAAGAAAACTGAATTAGAATACCAAAGAAAACATAGTGTATCACACAAGGAAACTGCAATTACTGTCCTGTATGCATTCTTGCCTTTCATTTTTTTTTTTTTATTCCTCATTGAACCCTGGTATTTACTATGTGCCAGGCAATATCTAGGCACTGGGGTTACAGCCATGAATAAAACATCCCTAACTTTCTGAGGATAGACAGCCAATAAGCAAATACACATGTATGTACATGTGCTACATGTAATGTATTTCCTATTGTAGGGCTGCCATCAAAAAGTCTGAAAGCTGTTGTAGCAAAAGATGTTATCCTGTGGAAACAAATTAATAGACATTAAGATTATGTATGAAGAGTTTCTACCATCACAGTGACATGATATACAGAAAAACATGTCATGTACAGTTTATATATAGTACAATCTCAACTGTACAGAAAAAAAGATGTGTAGGAAAAAACTGGAAGGTACTAAGCCAAAATTGTAAATGAAATCATTCAACCAACTAATATTTATTGAACAGCTAGTATCAGCCATCATCCATAGGCACAGAAGATAAAACAGTACACAAATTGCCTTCATGGAGCTTAAATACTGTTGTCTCTTTTTTTTTTTCTTGAGACGAAGACTCACTCTGTCACCAGGCTGGAGTGCAGTGGCGTGATCTTGGCTCACTGCAACCTCCGCCTCCTGGGTTCAAGCGATTCTCCTGCCTCAGCCTCCCGAGTAGCTGGGACTACAGGCGCATACCACCACGCCCAGCTAATTTTTGTATTTTTAGTAGAGACGGGGTTTCACCATGTTGGCCAGGCTGGTCTTGTACTCCTGACCTCGTGATCTGCCCACCTCAGCCTCCCAAAGTGCTGAGATGGTCTCGATCTCTGACCTTGTGAGACGCCCACCTTGGCCTACCAAAGTTTTGGGATTACAGGCATGAGCCACTGCTCCCGGCCGCTGTTCTCTTTTTTATAAACTTTCCTACCAGGAACATGCATTACTTTATATGTATCATACATATATACACGTGATAAAACATGCTATCAGAGCACTCCGTGAAAGTCAGGGGAAAGCTATTACAGTCTCTCACTCTGGTCAGCTATGGTGGGTGGCAATCCAAAAATGATTTTTGACAAACACTCAAGCCTCAAACATTTCTCAGTACCAAGGGAGAACAGTATGAACGACTAATTCAATATACTGTGCGATATATTATACAACACAGTGATTTTTAAAAATCACTTGACAAACTTTTATTGCTACAGTCCCACTGATGCAGCTGCACAGCTGAAGGAAAGTAACTAGACTGACACTCTAGTGACTAGAGCAGGCATCAAACACCAAGGACACTGGTATGCCCTCACTTTCTGAAGCCCTGTCCTGCTGACATGTGAACAGATGGCAGCCCTCAGAGGCTCTCCTAAGGCCTCTGATTTGGTGAAAAGGAATATTCTGTCAGATCAAACCCTTAACAAACAACTGCTAGTACTACCGGAAGAAGAACAACTTAGGATGTGTGACACAGAGAATACCAGGTCCGCAACAGATTCTAAGGCATTATTAATAAGTGCTCGCATACCTGTAACCTCATTCCTTAACAAACTGCTCAAGCTGAGGAAGTTATGGTGCAAAACCAGTAAGAAGAGAGCAACAGCCAGGACCAAGATGATGATGTTTACTGAAATAGATAGGGAAAACCTATGTTATACCTCTTTATCTTTGACCAGGTATAAAAACAACTTAACTTGTAGAAAGAGCATACCTTTACGGAATGACATCTTTTTCTTCTGTCATATAAATATTAGTTTTTAACCCTACAAAACAAAAACAAGCCCCCAAAGTCAGTAAGCACATGAGAAGGGACATCAAAATGCCCTAACACTTTTTTTTTTTTTTTAATTCAGGAAGAAACAAGAGGCATATACAGTATTCCGCCAGAAACTCATTTTGAATTCACAGTTCCCAAGAACCCAATTTGGGATCTGAAATTTTTGTGGTACTCATTAATAAAAAACTTAAAAATAAGTTGGAGAAACAGCCTTAGCCTTGTACATTATACATCACAAGATGAAAAGCAAAAGAAACATTTAAGAATTAAGTTTCAGCCAGGCAGGGTCTGGCCTATAATCCCAGCACTTTGGGAGGCCGAGTGGGGTGGATCATGAGGTCAGGAGTTCAAGACCAGCCTGGCCAAGATGGTGAAACCTCGTCTCTACTAAAAACTGCAAAAAAATTAGCCAGGTGCAGTGGCAGGGGCCTGTAATCCCAGCTGCTCAGGAGGCTGAGGCAGGAGAATCGCTTGAACCTGGGCAACAGAGGTTGCAGTGAGCCGAGATCATGCCATTGCACTCCAGCCTGGGCGACAGAGTGAGACTCTGTCTTTAAAATAAAAAATTACATAACATAATTAAGTTTCTACTTAAAATTCCTAAAGTAGACATGGATTCACGTTGTCTATGACCAAGTAACCTGAGGTCTTAGCCTCATCAGTAAAAACATGCCTGTTCAGAGTTGTATCCCATTCACCTTTAACATGAGTGTCCTCAGAGAAAAGAATATTATCCAAATTCACTTGACAAACCCACAGCACAGAAAAAGCTACAAAAATTCACAAAATCCAATCGATATCAAAAGTGTGGAGTACATTTCTAGCCATTGTAACTAGCAAAAAAAAAAAAAGGTTTATTTTAGTTTATTATTTTTTGAAACGGAGTCTTGTTCTGTCGTCCAGGCTGGAGTGCAGCGGCATGATCTCAGCTCACTGCAACCTCTGCCTCCCGCATTCAAGCGATTCTCCCGCCTCAGCCTTCCCAATAGTTGGGATTACAGGTGTGCGCCACCACGCCCAGCTAATTTTTGTATTTTTAGTAGAGATGGGGTTTCACCATGTTGGCCAGACTGGTCTCGAACTCCTGACTTCGTGATCTGCCCACCTCAGCCTCCCAAAGTGCTGAGATTACAGGCGTGAGCCACCACGCCCGGCCAAAAAAACATTTAAGGTGCTATTCTCAAAAACCATCTCTGTTAGCTAGCTATTCATCTCTTAAGAAGGTGGTGTCTAATTGTCACAATGTCCTGGTTGGTCCTCCTCAGCTCATCTGACCTTCACTTTTTCAAAACAATTCAGTGGAAACAAGATAGTAGGTGGAACTAAATTTATTTAAAAAATAAATTCCTTCAACAAGCTCTGGATAAAATGTTTCCTTAAAGACATTTTACCAACCAAGATATCGTGAACCTACCTTTTAACCCTTTCTTACTTCATCTTCACCCATAGTAGTACCCAACCCTTACATAAGGCTATTAATTTTACAAAGCACTTTCAAACATAGCGTATTGCAATGCAAGTTAGTTCATTTGTTTTTTTAGACAGGGTCTCACCATGTTGCCCAGGCTGGCCTCTAACTCCTAGGCTCAAGCAAGCCTCCTGCCTCAGCCTCCCAAGTAGCAGGGACTACAGACAAAGTAAGTTTGAATTAACTTCATCCTGGGAAAATTGTGTGCCTACCAGGCACTTAATTTCTCAAGGCCTTTGTAAAGAAGAGAAATATGTTGAAAAACTGTTTAAAAAATTGGGGGCTGGGCACTGTGGCTCATGCCTATAATCCCAAAATGAAAACAACAAGGCTAACGCGGGCAGATCACCTGAGCTGAGGAGTTCAAGACCAGCCTGGGTAACATTGTGAAAGCTCATCTCTACAAAATATACAAAAATTAGCCAGGCATGGTGACGTGCATCTGTAGTCCCAAGCATTTGGGAGGCTAAGGCAGGAGGATCCCCTGAGCCAGGGAGGTCAAGGCTGCAGTAAGCCATATTCATGCCACTGCACTCCAGCCTGGGTGACAAAGCGACACCCTGTCTCAAAAAAATAAAAAATAAAAAGCAATAAAAACTGTGGATCAGCCAGGCACTGTGGCTGATACCCATAATCCCAACTATTCAGGTGGCTGGGGTGGGAGGCTGCCTGAGCCCAGGAGTTCCAGACCAGCCTGAGCAACATAGTATGACCATCCCCCAACCCCATATCTAAAAAAAATTTTTTTTAAAAATGGGATCACAGGCCAGATTACAAATTAGGGGGAAAATACACATCTTTCTTTCTTTCCTTTTTTTTTTTTTTCGAGACAGAGTCTGGCTCTGTCAGCCAGGCTGCAGTGCAGTGGTGCCGTCTTGGCTCACTGCAACCTCTGCCTCTCAGATTCAAGCAATTCTTGTGCCTCAACCTCCCGAGTAGCAGGGACTACAGGTGTGCGCCACCACGCCCAGCTAATTTTAATAGAGAGAGGGTTTCACCATGTTGGCCAGGCTGGTCTCGAACTCCTGACCTCAGGTGATCCACCTGCCTCGGCCTTCCAAAGTGCTGGGATTACAGGCCTGAGCCACCAGGCCCAGCCCACACACACCTTTCCAAAGCAGTATATATGAAGTACAACGTGTCAGTGAACTTCTTCTCATATACATCAGGGCGCCGTGGCTCACGTCTGTAATCCCAGCACTTTGGGAGGCCAAGGCAGGTGGATCAAGAGGTCAGGAGTTCGAGACCAGCCTGTCCAAGATGGTGAAACCCCATCTCTACTAAAAATACAAAAAATTAGCCAGGCATGGTGGCAGGTGCCTGTAATCCCAGCTATTTGAGAGGCTGAGGCAAGAGAATCCCTTGAACCCGGGAGGCGGAGGTTGCAGTGAGCTGAGACCGTGCCACTGCACTCCAGCCTGGGCAACAGAGTAAGACTCTGTCTCAAAAAAAAAAAAAAAAAAAGAGAAGTATATACATCAGTATATACCCTAAGTCATATGCCTCTATCACATTATGGGCTGACCTTATCTACAGAAGCTGGCAGAGGGGAGCTGTTCGGACAAAGCCCCAACATCTGCCTGCGATGAGGCAACTTCCACCACCACTGAGAAAACGATCTTGCACTCAAATAAATCCCACTTAATTAATGGTACAAGAGATAATGTTTTTAGTTTCTTGACTTCCAGTTAGCAGTTACGGGATCAAGAGGCACACTTGGCTGGAAACAAGAAAAACACAATTCTATCAAGTATCTGACATACTTAAGTAGACTGGCAAGGCAGAAACCAGTTGCTCCTAAAACTTCCACAGTTACCTACATGCAAAACGCCAGTTATCATGGAGTACGTCTAATCCATATTGTCTTTCCTGGGGCTATTCCTGGTAAGAGAGCTTTCCTGATCTGGTTAGAAGGAATTCTCAAAACGAAATTGCACACAGACGCTGGATCTGTAATAGTTAACTACATTTTCGTAAGAGTATATAATTGTGTACAATTTGATTAGCAACACAGTTGGTCCTCAGTATCAGTCGGGGATTGGCTCCAGGACTCCCCATGTATACAAAAATTCACGGATGCTCAAGTCCCTTATGTAAAATGGCATATTACAGTCAGCCCTCTGTATCTGTAATTTCAGTCCGTGGTTGGTTGAATCCAAGGATACAAAACTGTGGATACAAAAAAAAAAGACCGCACTGGCCGGGCGCGGTGGCTCATGCCTGTAATCCCAGCACTTTGGAAGGCCGAGGTGGGTGGATCACTTGAGGTCAGGCGTTTGAGACTAGTCTGGCCAACACAGTGAAACCCCGTCTCCACTAAAATCACAAAAATTAGCCGGGCGTGGTGGCGCATGCCTGTAATCCCAGCTACTCAGAAGGCTGAGGCAGGACAATCCCTTGAACCCAGGAGGCGGAGGTTGCAGTGAGCCGCGATCGCACCACTGCACTCCAGCCTGGGCAACAGAGCGAGTCTTCGCCTCAAAAAAAAAAAAAAAAAAAAAAAAAGACCACACAGAGATATATCTATTTATACACACAACAGAAAGTCTCTTCAAACACACCAAGAAATACAGAGCATGAGAAGGAAACAGGAATAAACTCTTGCCCATCCCTCTTTCTGCCTTCTACACGTCCTGAGTCCTTCTGAGGTCAGAAAAGTGTCAAACGTGTCTGCATTTTACTGTTTGGTCTCTGCCACGTGCAAGGATGAAAGGGCACTGAGGATATACAAACACTTTCTCCTACCCTTTCATCTGGCTGGCTCCCACTTGGCATTCAAAGGTCAAGGTAGCCTCCTCCAAACTCCACGTTGAGCTGCACCTCCCCTGAGCTCCCACATCTGGGCCTCCCTCTCCCAGGGCTAATCCAGCTGTCATGTATTTCTGGCGTGATGTGGCTGTCTCCCTTGACACGCTCTGGGCTCTTCCAAGGCAACAGCCTGGTCTTGGTAACAACCGTGTCCTCGGTCTGCTGTCTGGCACAAACAAGGTGCCGTGAATATTTGCTGGTTGCATGAATGAGGACAGCAGTCCCACCCTGTCCCGGGAGTGCCTAGAATTCCACTGTTTGTGGCCAACCCAGAATACATAACCTGGGGGCCGGAGAGCCAGCTGGGACCCAGAGGCCCGGGTTCCTCAGAACGGTTTCTCTCCAAAACGTGGGCATCCCACCTGGCTGACGGTAACGGAGGAGGGTCTAAGATTTAGAGATACACCAGCCTTGAAAGAGAGGCTGAGTGAACCTTTGGCTGGCCTCTATCGGGAGGGCCCAGCCTGGGTCTGTGAGGGTCAGTAAAGCCGGCCACAATGTGAGAGGGCTGAGTTCGGGAGCCCCCAGATGAGGGACTTTCTACGCGGATGAGAGGGACAGCCGAGCACCAGGGTCCCCTCTCCAAGGGAATTCTCTCTGTTGTGGATGCCGCCTAGGGTAGCCCCCCTAAATTCCAAGGGTCAGTAGGGCCCCCCTTACACTTTGAAGTGATCGGAAAGTGATGTGACGCTCCGGGGATCCCACCAGGCTCAGAGATACCCCTGGTTAGGGCTCCGACAAGTCGTTCCCCTCAAAGGCTCGCCGCGGCCGCCCTTACTGCAGGCGATGGAGGAGATGCGGATGCAGCCCGCGCCCCGACCCGCCCTGCCAGCTCAGCGCCCGCGCCGCAGGCCCCGGAGCCCAGCCCGTTGTCTGGCCGCCCGCGTTCCCTGCACGCTGGGCCGAGCACACTTGCCCTCTAGCTCCGTGGCAGCCGCGCAGCCCCACTACGCCCAGCCAGCCCGCAGCGGTAACCGCTAGAGCGTCGCGCCAAGCAGGCGCCGCGGGGCAGCCCTGCCGCCGGGGTCCTCGCAGGGAAAAAGGCCGTCGCCATGGAGACGCGGGGGCGCCGGCGGCCGTTGGGCCGCGCAAGTACTGTCAAGGACAGTTTTCGGGACGGGGGACGCGGCTCCAGGCACCCAACAGCACTGACGGCGAACACTTCACGGGCGCGCGATGCCTCGACAAGGCGGCCGCCACCACCACCTCAGCTGCCCTCGCGGGCAGCACGGCGCGGCAAAAGCGCACGTCGCCTAGCGATGGCGCGGGGCGGGGACACGGGCTGTACCGGCCCGTCGGAGACTTCCGCTTCCGGGGCCGCCGCCATCGCTCTCCCGGGCTTAGAAGGCCCGGCTACTGACGCGCAGTGCCAGACCTTACCCCTCACGGTCCTTAAGTCTCGGTCGCCCTCGCCTCGCAGCCTGCCACCCGCGCTCAGCTGCCCGCCTCCTCAGCCAGCCATGCTGGAGCATCTGAGCTCGCTGCCCACGCAGATGGTGAGGGCGCAACCCGGGGACCTCTGCACGCCGTTCTTGTGCCTGGCAGCTTCGAAGCCCATGTTGGAGCACCGACCCGGTGCTGCGCTGTTCCGGGCCCGGATGGTTACCGTCCACCCTCTTTCCCGAATTGCCTCCTGGGTCCCCTTCTCTTCTACTCCGCGAGAATCTCCTGTCCATTCTCCGTGAGGGTGTTTCAGTTCCTCCCGGGAAGCCCAGAATTTAATATCTTGCCCAGGCCCTTAGGAGAGCGGGAGACCCTGATGTTGGGGTTACCCTGTGCCAGAGTTGTGAGGTCAGGGCAGGAATTGTATGTTCTCGGCGGTGGAACCAATTCTTTTTTTCCTCTGCTTCACCCCAGGATTACAAGGGCCAGAAGCTAGCTGAACAGATGTTTCAGGGAATTATTCTTTTTTCTGCAGTAAGTATTGGTTTTACATTTAATCTCCGCCCCCGCCTCCCTCCCAACCCTCAGTTTGAGTGTGTTTAATATACTTCATTTGTCTCTAGATAGTTGGATTTATCTACGGGTACGTGGCTGAACAGTTCGGGTGGACTGTCTATATAGTTATGGCCGGATTTGCTTTTTCATGTTTGGTAAGAAATTTGTGGGTATTAGTGGCAGCTTGGGTTTTGTGAGTCGGGTTGGTTTGGTTAGACCTACTCAGTAGTGAGACCCAAAGCCAACGTTTCCCTCATCCTTCCAAACAGCGTTTCCCTTTGCTATCATTGGAAAAGTAGAATGCCAAAATAGTGTCAGATGGTGCGAACTATATAAAAGGACACAGCTTATTTCCTTTGGCGGCTACTCTGGCTAATAATCTTAAGGTCAAAGCCAGCAGGAGTTTTCATGGTGCTCACGTTGTCCCTTCACCTTTTATTTATTTATTTATTTAAATTTTTTGAGACGGAGTTTCACTCTTGTTGCCCAGGCTGCAGTGCACTGGGGCGATTTCGGCTCACTGCACCTTCTGCCTCCCGGGTTTAATAGATTTTCCTGCCTCAGCCTCCCGAGTAGCTGTGACTACAGGAGCCCACCACCACACCCAGCTAATTTTTGTATTTTTAGTAAAGACAGGGCTTCACTGTGTTGGCCAGGCTGGTCTCAAGCAATCCGCCCACCTTGGCCTCCCAGAGTGCTTGGATTACAGGCGAGAGCCACCACGCCTGGCCCCCACCTTTCTTTTAGGTCTTAAAGCCATTTGTATAGGCAGTGAGCCTGTTCCCATCATCATACAGTATTTTGCATGGATGGTGGCACAGAGCCTTTATAGGAATATGGATTTTTTTTTTTGTTTTTTTGTTCCCTCAGCATAGGAGTCATTTGGGAACCTGGCATTATACGTAATGATTTTTTAAACTTTTAATAGCTATAATTTATGCATTTCCTCTTTTCTGGCCCAGCTGACACTTCCTCCATGGCCCATCTATCGCCGGCATCCTCTCAAGTGGTTACCTGTTCAAGAATCAAGCACAGACGACAAGAAACCAGGGGAAAGAAAAATTAAGAGGCATGCTAAAAATAATTGAGGTTTTCATGATTCAGCACCTGCTTTTGTTTCTGTGAGATGAGCTAAATTGCTTTCATACCCCAGATAAGAGCTAAAACCACCTAATGCTCTTATGGCACAGCTGTGTATAGATTTAGTTCTCTTTATACTTCATTTCTAGCCCAGTTGGGTTTTGATTTATATAAGTAGTTTAGACCTTCTCTTCATAATCTTGCTCTGAGATGGGGAACAGAACACACAAGTATGAAGTTTCTTTCAGGTGTAAATAATGAAAAATAAATGCCTCATAAATGATAGTACAATGTAACTATCAAAGTTTTATAATTCATTATGAGTTAACCATTTTAATGTTTCCAATTAAACCTCATAGTGCAAGTTCTTTGTCTAAAGGGTCTTCTGTTGATTATTCTGCAAGGAAGATAATTAATAAAAGCCTAAGTTAGAAGTTCGTGCTTCTGGCCAGGTGCAGTGGCTCTCACCTATAATCCCAGCACTTGAGGAGGCTAAGGCAGGAGGATGACTTGAGCCCAGGAGTTTGAGACATTTCATGGTATGTAATTAATAGTTGTCATTAGAACATTAGTTCCATGAGAACGGGGACTTTGTTTTGCTCACTGCTGTCTACCCAGTACATAGAAGAGTACACGATGCATTGTTAAGTACTTAAGATTTATTGAATGAGAACTGCATTGTACAATATGGTGCCACTAGACACGTCTATTTAATTAAAATTAAAATATAAAACTCTAAAACTAGCCATGATTCAAAGGTTCAATAGCTATATGTGACTAGTGGCTACCATATAAAACATTTCCATCACAAAGTTCCATTTATCAGATCTTATATAGAACCTTGAATAAAATTTAATAGACAAGTGATTTTGTATTTAACATTTCACCTTTATTGAATGCCTATAAGGCCATTTGAATAACGGATCATGTACAAAGCAACAGGAAAAAAAAAACTGCAAGCAGTAAAGGTTGTGCAGGTGATATTCAGTAACACTGCAGTGTAGCCAGAGCAAGGACATAAAACTTCCTTAGCTTTGTAAGTCTGTGGAAATCAAAACTTCTAAAAGAGAAAACCGAAATCAGAATTACTGACACTTTAGGCCAGGCATGGTGCCTCAAGCCTGTAATCCCAGCATTTAGGGAGGCCAAGGCAGGCAGATCACCTGAGGTCAGGAGTTCAAGACCAGCCTGGCCAACATGGTGAAACTCCATCTCTACTAAAAATAACGAAAATCAGCCAGGCATGGTGGTGTGTGCCTGTAATCCCAGCTACTCGGGAGGCTGAGGGAGGGGAACTTGAACCCAGGAGGCGTAGGCTGCAGTGAGCCAAGATCGCACCACTGTACTCCAGCCTGGGCAACAAGAAGACTCCATCTCAAAAAAAAAAAAAAAAGAATGATTGACATTTTAGAACCAATGCCAAAAGAGTAACACATCAAAGTCTCTGAACTGTGGCCAAAGGTATATTCGGAAGAAAATTCACAGTCTTAAAGATGAGTTTTTAAATTAATTTAGGAAGATGAATTAAGCACTCAAGTAAAAACGATAAAAGTGGGAAGAAAAGATGTTTAAACAAAATAAAAATATACAGTATGGTAATTAATAAGAAAGTATGGGGGAAGTCAGGTGTGGTGGTTCATGCCTATAATCCCAGCACTTTCAGAGGCCGATGCAGGAGGACTGCTTGAATGCAGTTTGAGACCAGCCTGGGCAACACAGACTTCCTCTCCACAAAAAATTTTAAAAATTAGCCAGGTGTGGTGGTGCATGCCTGTGGTCCTAGCTACTTGAGGGGCTGAGGTGGGAGGATCACTTAAGCCCAGGAGGTCAAGGCTGCAGTGAGCTATGATCACCTCACTGCACTCCAGGCTGGGTGACAGAGCAAGACCCTGTCTCAAAAAAAAAAAAAAAAAAAAAAGATATGGGTGAGATTCCTTTAATTCTAATAAAATACCTACTTTATACCAATACATTAGAAAAATTAAGTAAAACTGATGACTCTCCAGAACGATGTGGATTTCCAAAACATGCACGGAAAGGTGAATAGCTCAAGGATACCAAGTTTGCCAAAGATTTGTTCCCAACTGGGCATTGGGACTTGATGGTTTTGCAAGTTGAGTTCTAGCAAACCCTTCAAAGTGAAAATAAGAGTTATCAGAAACCAGGCTGTGAGCACTGTAAAAGGGCAGGAAGTATTGTTTTATTCACCACTATATCCCCAGCTCCTGGCAGAGAACCTGGCACACAGTAAACTCTAAATAAAAATCTGTTAAGTGTGCCGGGCGCGGTGGCTCACGCCTGTAATCCCAGCACTTTGGGAGGCCGAGGCGGGCAGATCACGAGGTCAGGAGATTGAGACCATCCTGGCTAACACGGTGAAACCCTGTCTCTACTAAAAAAATACAAAAAAATTAGCCGGGCATGGTGGCGGGCAACTGTAGTCCCAGCTACTCGAGAGGATGAGGTAGGAGAATGGAGTGAACCTGGGAGGCGGAGCTTGCAGTGATCTGAGATTGGGCCACTGCACTTCAGCCTGGGTGACAGAGCAAGACTGTGTCTTAAAAAAAAAAAAAAATTGTTAAGTGGCTGTAAAGGGAACATTTCATTAGAGTATTTGTGTGTGTGTGTAATTTTCAAAGATAGATATATTTTTAGTTATAGAAACTGAAAACAGGGCTGGGCACAGTGGCTCATTCCTGTAATCCTGGCACTTTGGGAGGCTGAGGTGAGTGGATTGCTTGAGCCCAGGAGTTCTGAGATCAGCCTGGGCAATGTGGTGTAACCCTGTCTCTACAAAAAATACAAAAACTAGCCAGGTGTGGTGGCACACGCCTGTGGTCTCAGCTACTAGGGAGGCTCAGGCAGGAATACCACTTGAGCCCCAGAAGTGGAGGTTGCAGTGAGTTGAGATCATGCCACTGCACTCCAGCCTGACTGACAGAGTGAAACTCTGTCTCAAAAAAAAAACACCTGAAAACATTTCTGGAGCAATATTTATTTTTAGAGTCCCTCGAATACAGAAGTGAAAATGTACTATTCAAGACTTGTATTTAACTTCATAAAATTTCTTTCCTAGATGGGTATTACCTCTTATTAAACAACTAATAAAATATGTGCTATATAATCATACATTTAAAACATGGAAAGACAACTAATATCTTACAGTACATGAAGACAAACTTCAGGAGACAAACATTAAATATATCCAAAAACTAAATGGACCTGGACTTTGCTTACAAATTGCTTAAATGGAAATGAAATTTGTGTTTAAGAAATGTTTTCACTGATGGAAAAATAAATCTAACAAAACCATTATGTAAAAACATACTGATTTACAAAGCCAATGTGTCTCAGTTTTAATTTGTATATACCCTAGATGAGGTTTATATTAAATGAGAATAAAATATTAAAAGTCCATCAATGTGTAGAAAAGAAATACAGCTGCTCAAGTACTAGATAGAACTTCATATTCTTTAAATCTATTTCTAGAACTGAATTGACTTTTTAAAATTTTATAATTTATCAACTACTCCTTAAGGTTATTAACAATAGCAGGAATTATGACGACATATTATGTCATTTGTTTCTCCTACTGCTTTTATCTCTACATTACAATATAAAATTTTCAATCCAGCATTTTATAGCTCTGTGTTTAAGTTAATTAGTACCTTAAAAAAATAAAATTCTAAATATAAACTTGGTGGATTAAGGCTCAGTAAACAGTAATCAAACAAACAACAGATTTGTCCTCACAAAGAGAATATGAAAGCCAAAGTTTTTTTTCTTTTGTGATCCTGCTTCATATTATTCTGTTCTGTCCAATTTCTTTTCTGTAGGGAAACGCCAAAGAGATATAAAAAAGAGATATAAAACAGTGGTGAGTGGCTTCCAAATGACTGTTTGCCCTTGCTTTTTAAGCCAAAATCCTCTAAAAATAGGTCTTTAATTCTGGCAGCAGATTAGGACAAATGCTCAAAAATTCATGTTTTCTTCAAAAAATTTCAACTGGCGAGCTTTCACACTGTAAGTTGTATACTTTTCACCCATGTGCTCCCGCAAACGTACCTATTTGAGAAACAAAAAGAAAATCAATCAGTATGTAGTAGGAAAAAATATTTCTGTAATCTTAGAGGAAGGGCTTTTCTAAGCATGGTATCCAAGGTGGAAACCATACAGGAAAATACTAATAGTTCAGTTTACATAAAACTTTTAAACTTCAAGATGTTTCGAAAAGTCGTAAGAAATTAAAGAGCAAACAAACAATAAACTAGGGAAAACATTTGCAACATTCATGCCAAAGGATTAATAGCATTCGTATATAAAGAGTTCTTTGAATCAATAAAACCCAACAATATTAGAATAGGTAAAACAAAATCAATTTCATAGATAATTCAGCAAATTCATTTATATATGTATGTAAATGTAAATCCCATATATTTACAAAATAATCATATAAATAACCATTTAGTGAAATGGGAAAAGTTCCCTTGTCCCCCTCGCAGGGCGTGCAATGGGGGTGTGGCTCGCTTCTTCAGTGCCCCACTGCTCAAACCTCTAGGGGACCATACAGACAGGCAGGCTGTGGGGCTCTGACCCCATGGTAGTGTCTAGTGGTGAATGTTTACAGCTGAAGCCCCAGTGGGTGTGTGTTACAGGGTGCTCTTTTAGTTTAGCCATCTGTAGGCAGCTTGTGTTAGCTCAATTAGACCCTTGCCCTATCTCAAGGACAGAGGGCTTTTGTATCCCAGGGTTCTTGCCTTGGTGTACCGGAAGAATCAGATCACACGTGGGCTTGGAGAATGAATGCAAGGTTTTATTGAGTGAAAGTAGCTCTCAGCAGATGCGGGAACCAGAAGGAAGATGGTTTTCCCCTGGAGTCTGGCTGCTCGGTGGACCGGGTTCTCCCCCAGCTACCCTGGCCAAACTCCACCTCGTTCTGCTGGTCGATGGCCTGCTGGCATGCTGGCATCTGTCAGTGTGCTTTTCCGCTGGCATGCTCCCCTCGATGTCCTCTCAATGTCCAGCTGCTTGTGTCTTCTTCTGCTAATGTGTTCCTCTCAACATCCAACCTCTTATCTGTGTTCCTGCGAGGGTCTCCGGGGTTTTTATAGGCACAGGATGGGGGAGTGGCAGGCCAGGGTGGTCTTGGGAAATGCAACATTTGGGCACGAACCAGCAGTGCCTGTTCTCGCCTAGGTCCATGGGCACAGATCTGAGGGTGGAGCCCTAGCCAGAGGCCACGCCCTCCCTTACCCAGTACTTCCCTGTCCCCCTTCCATATCATTAGCATACATAAAATTCAACCTGACCAGTAATAAAAAAAGTACTATGTGACATTCAATGTATGCTTGTGGAAAGAACTGTTCAAAATTAAAATAACACCTAGTATGTTAAACAGATACTGTGAACCTCCTGATACAATGCACTGAGGGCATATCACTTCTGTGGTATTCCTGCCAAAAATGTATAACCTAAATCTATTCATGAGAAAACACTGGAAAAATCCAAACCAAGGGACATTTAATAAAACACACAGCCTAGGCTGTCTCATCCTTATGAGCAGCCTGCCCTGAATCCTCTCTCTCTCAGGGTGTACTGCCTATTCTGCACTAACTTTCAAAACATTATTTTTCTTTTGCAATAAATTATTCTATGCTGCAAAAAATAAAATAAACATATGGCCCCTATTCCTCAAAAATGTCAAAGTCAGCCAGGCATAGTAGCTCACGCCTGTAATCCCAGCACTTTGGGAGGCCGAGGCAGGCGGATCACCTGAGGTCGGGAGTTCGAGACCAGCCTGACCAACATGGAGAAACCCTGTCTCTACTAAAAATACAAAATTAGCCGGGCATGGTGGCGCATGCCTGTAATCCCAGCTACTCAGGAGGCTGAGGCGGAAGAATCGCTTGAACCCGCGAGGCGGAGGTTGCGGTGAGCCAAGATTGCACCATTGCACTCTAGCCTGGGCAACAAGAGCAAAACTCCCTCTCAAAAAAAAAAAAAAAAAAAAAGTCAAAGTCAGGAAAAACAAAGTGAGGAAATGTTTCAAATTTAAAAAGACATAATTAAATATAAAATGTAATCCTGTTTGGTTCCACATCCAGCATGACACCATAAGGAGCTCTGTAAACCTCCCACCACCCTCAGTGGCCAGGTACCATGGCTCACATCTGTAATTCCAGCACTTTGCAAGGCCAAAGCGGGCTGATCCCTTGAGCTCAGGAGTTCAAGACCAGCTTAGGCAACATGGTGAAACTTTGTCTCTACAAAGACTACAAAAAATTAGCCAGGTGTGGTGGTGTGCACCTGTAGTCCTAGGTACTTGGGAGGCTGAGGTGGGAGAATGACTTGAGCTGGTGAGGCAGAGACTGCAGTGAGCCGTGATCATGCCACTGCACTCCAGCCCGGGCTACAGAGCAACTCAAAAAAACAAAGTCTCTGGAAACGGTGCTAAGAGAAAATGACATTCGAATTTTTAAATAAAAATTATAGGAGGCCATTGTTTTGGACTAAACTCCTGCACTACTGATGGCAGTCACGGGCCATCCGGAGCAGCCGCTACCATCGCGCTGGCAGCAGAAGGGAGGTGTGAGCGGTGATGGCAGGAGCAGCTGCAGAAGAGCAGTGGCACCACTGGAACCTGTGCCCCGCGCCCCTGAAGCAGCTGACCAGGCCACGCCCACCTTCGCATGGTCGGGACCCGCCCCCAGGCCCGGACCCTCCACCACTCCGGACACCTGCTTCAGCTGTGGGGAGGGCAAGGGGAGGAAGCAGACAGTCCCCAGAGCCCGCCCCTGGGAGCCCCGCCCAGAGCCCACTGCCCTGGAGGTTGCTAGGATGGGGCCAGGCTGTCACCTGCCGCTGGGGGAGCAGCGTGGTCGGGCGCAAAGGGGCAGGCAGAGAGGTGCCCCAAGGCAGAGCCAGGCCCGAGCGGCCCCAACTGCCCCCGCAGGCTCGGGGGTGTCTGTTCCCACTGCCTGGCCTCTCCCTATTACCCCCACCCCCAGCTCCAATCTCAGAGCGGGGTAAGCCCAGGCGCGGTCAAAGCCTGGCCAGGTGTGCGCATGTTTGGGGCAGCAATGACACACCAGCCCCCTGCCACTTTGTCCCCCTCCGGACTTTGGGCTCTAACAAGCGCAGGATGGGGAAAGTAAGCTGAGGGGGAGTGGAGGGCAGCTTGGCACTGGCCTGCACGTGTACCGTGGCATGAACAGCCTGGGCCCCGGGCAGGAGGCAGACAGGCTACTGGGCAGAAGGGGGCGGGTCCCCGGTGAGGCCCCACCTTCCGGCCAGGGAGGGAGCAAAGGCCGGGTACCAGGCTGCTAGTCCCATAGACCAGAGTGGGAACTTGTGGTGCCTTTTCTGGGCCTACCCATGGACAAATCAGCAGGTACTTCCTGCCGTTTAAGTCCCCTAAAAGCCCTGGGCTCAGCCAGAGCAGAACAGACAATGGGACGGCCAGCTGCAGAGAGGAGCTACCCTCTGCTGAGAGCTCAATACTCATCAAGATGAGCGGGGCTAAATACTCCACGAGACACCCTGTCTATGGAAAGGAGGTGCCCCCTGCGGATCTCCTCTGAGCTGTTCTCTCTCTTTTTCTGAGACGGAGCCTTGCTCTGTCACCCAGGCTGGAGTGCAGTGGCACGATCATGGCTCACTGCAACCTCTGCCTCCTGGGTTCAAGCGATTCTCTTGCCTCAGCCTGCCCAGTAGCTGGGATTACAGGCACATGCCATCAGGCCCAGCTAATTTTTTTTGGTATTTTTAGTAGAGACAGGGTTTCACCATGTTGGCCAGGCTGGTCTTGAACTCCTGACCTCATGATCCACCCACCTCGGCCTCCCAAAGTGCTGGGATTACAGGCGTGAGCTACCACGTCCAGCCTGAGCTGTTCTCTCAAAGAAACTCCTCTTCCTCTTGCTTACCCTGTATTTGTCCACATACCCCTTCCTGGTCACAGGACAAGAATTCGAGACCCATGAATGGTGAGGCTAAAAGAACTGTAAACAAACATGTTAGGAGCTGAAACATGCCCCTTTCTCACCACGTTGCATGTGAAGAGGAGAGAAGAGCTGTGGCCCTTCAAGGAGCCCAGACCTGGGAGCTCCCCAAGCCAGGGCTGTGACTTCCTCTTTGGGGCACTGTGGTTCCTGGCATCTCCAAGCTTCCCCAGTGTCCCCTGGTGCCAGCAGTGGAAGCTGCTTGAGGTGCACCTGGTCTGGCCATAGCTTCGCAGAGGACCAGTACCCATGCCGGCACCTGGAGCTGCCCGCCCCGCTGCAGCAACTAGCGTGTCTGACTGCACAGTGGCTGGACCCCATGCTCACTCCCACACCCCTCGCCGCTCCATGCCTGACTCTCCCTTGGCAGGCATGGGATACAGGTTGGTAATATAGTGCAATGCCAGGCCATGGACAGAACAAGCCCAGTGGGCCCAAGTAAAACTCAGGCAAAGGCGCCATCAGCCACAGACGTTTCTGGCTGGAAAAGTGACACCCCAAAGATCTCATAACACCAGGCCCAACTGTCCAGACTAAAAATTATAAAGGAGTCACTCATGCTCACCAAACCGAAATTGAGCTGTCAAGAAATCGAGAGAATGAATTTCCCAAAGAGGCCAGTTTCAACTGACGTCGTATGAAGCTCTCTCTGTTTTAATCTTTCATCTGAAGTAACCTGATGTTAACCAATCAGCTTATTTTTCCATTATTCTATCTCCCTGTCCCCACCCTAAAATGACCAATCCACTTTTTTTCTGGAGCAACCCTATTAACTGAGACCAATCCACTTTTTGTTCTTTTTTTCTTCTTTATCCAACCCCTTTTCTGTCTATAAAGCCAATCTCCTCTGCTTCACTCATTAGAACACTTATTCTATTTTATAGAAGGAAGTGTTGCCCAATGCTAGAATCACAATAAACCCAATTGAGATCTTTAAACAAAATGTGTTATAATTTTGTCTTTTGACAGAAGAAACATTTATTTGAGAAAATCTAGACTTTGGTAAGAATGGTAAGAGTCAGTGGTATGCGAATCATGACCAACTGCCACCTTTCTCCATCCCGCCTAAGTGAGACAAAAATTCTACTCCAGGCCAGTGAAGGCAAGAACACAGGCCTTTGTTTCCCTGCAACTTCCAGTTCAACGGTTATCTTCTTGGGAGGGCAGGCCATTGGCAGATCTCATCCTGCTGCCTGTTGTTGAGGCTATATTTCAGGAGGGTGCAGGCAAGAAGTGGGAGCTCCCTTCTTCCACCTAGCCCAGGGTACTAGGATGTAGGTTCTACTTTGGGTACAGGACTGCTAAAAATTATGGGGCCCAGGCCAGGTGTGTTGGCTCACACCTGTAATCCCAGTACTTTGGGAGACCGAGGTGGGTGGATCACTTGAGGTCAGGAGTTTGAGACCCAGCCTGGCCAACATGGTGAAACCGCATCTCTACTAAAAATACAAAATTGGCTGGGTGTGGTGGTGAGTGCCTATAATCCCAGCTACTTGGGAGGCTGAGGTAGGAGAATCACTTGAATCCAGCAGGCAGAGGTTGCAGTGAGCTGAGATCGCACCTCTGCACTACAGCCTGGGTGACAAAGCAAGACTCCATCTCAAAAAAAAAAAAAAAAAATTATGGGGCCCCAAATCACCTCTTCCCCAGACCATAAAGTGAAGATTCCATGTTAGTGAAATGCCAAGAAGTATGCCAAGTATGCCAAGAAGATGAGAGGCTACTGCCCCATCTCCCTCCAAAACCGGGTGCTAAGTTTCTAAAGTGGGGGTATCACTCGGAAGAGTGCCATTGTCTCCACCCACAGCTCCATAGCCATGCTCACAAACTTTGCTTGGGAATAGAAACAGGCCATAAAACAGAGCACCAAATCTCTTCCTAAATGAACTGACTTCATTTGCAACAGAATATGGAGTTAAAGCCTCAGAGTGCTTTCAAAAAGAGTGGAAGTGTAACTGAGTACCTCCACTTTAATTAAATTATTATTATTATTATTATTCTTTGAGACAGAGTCTCTCTCTGTCATCCAGGCTGGAGTGCAGTGGCACAATCTCAGCTCACTGCAACCTCTGCCCCCTCCCTGGGTTCAAGCAATTCTCATGCCTCAGCCTCCCGAGTAGCTGGGATTACAGGCGTATGCCACCACACCAGGCTAATTTTTGTATTTTTAGTAGAGACGGGGTTTCATCATGTTGGCCAGGCTGGTCTCAAACTCTTGACCTCAAGTGATCTGCCCACCTCAGTCTCCCAAGGTTCTGGGATCACAGGCGTGAGCTACTGCACCTGGCCTCAATTATTTAATTATTTTTAAATTCTTTGTTTTCTCTCTCTTCTTTTCCTCCTTTTTCCCACTTCCTACTTAGCTCTTTAGAAATACAATTATAGGCTGGGCATGGTGGCTCATGCCTGTAATCCCAGCACTCTCTGGGAGGCCGAGGCAGGTTGATCACCTAAGGTCAGGAGTTTGAGACCAGCCTGGCCAACATGGTGAAACACTGTCTCTATTAAAAATACAAAAATTAGCCGGGCATGGTGGCAGACGCCAGTAATCCCAGCTACTCGGTAGGATGAGGCAGGAGAATCGCTTGAACCCGGGAGGTGGAGGTTGCAGTGAGCCGAGATCATGCCACTGCACTCCAGCCTGGGCGACAGAGTAAGACTCCGTCTCAAAAAAAAAAAAAAAAAAAAGAAATACAATTATAGCCTTTTACCTTCTCTTCATCAGACAATCCCTACAGGGATAGTTCAACTACGTGCTTAGAAGCTCCAGAGCAGAACTCTTACCCACTAGGAGGTTGTCTCGAGAGATAACAGTAGATTCACAACCCAATGCCTGCCCACAAAGAAACCAGCAGTCACCACCTTGATCACCTGGTAGATAAGCCACCAAGCTAGCACGCAGACCCCTACAACTGCTCGCTTCCCCGCAACCCGCCATGTCCCATTCATGTTAGGCCCTTTTTTTTGAGACGGAGTTCCGCTCTCGTTGCCCAGGCTGGAGTGCAATGGCACAATCTCGGCTCACCGACCGTGACTTCCGCCTCCTGGGCTCAAGTGATTCTCCTGCCTCAGCCTCCCAAGTAGCTGGGATAATAGGCATGCCCCACCACGCCTGGCTAATTTTGTATTTTTAGTAGACACAGGGTTTCTCCATGTTGGTCAAGCTGGTCTCGAACTCCCAACCTCAGGTGATCTGCCCGCCTTGGCTTCCCAAAGTGCTGGGCATACAGGGATGAGCCATCGCGCCTGGCCTACACCCCCTTTAAAAGTGCTTGCTTTCTGCTCCAAAGGAGGAGTACTCTTAAAGGCAGAAAGCCTCTACTTCCACTAAGCTAAGCTTTGGAATAAAAAGTCACTTTATACCAGACCTTGCTCTTGTTAATTGGACTCTGCAAGCAGCAAGCAACTGAACCTGTGTTTTAGATACAGCAGTAGAAAGGCAACTGGGAGGAGATAAGCCAATTCATTGGAGATGTAAACTAAACTATAGGGTGGGCTAGTTTGCAGAGACGATTACAAAGCTGGGAGGAGGCCTCTTGGGGTCAGAAAAAAATCTCAGATACTGACATTGGAGTACAAGACCAGCCTGACCAATATGGTGAAACCCCGTCTCTACTAAAAATACAAAATTAGCCAGGTATGGTGACACGCACCTGTAGTCCCAGTTACTCGGAAGGCTGAGGCAGGAGAATCGCTTGAACCTGGGAGGCGTAGGTTGTAGTGAGCGAAGATCACGCCACTGCACTCCAGCCTGGGTGACAGAGTGAGACTCTGTCTCAAAAAAAAAGAAAAAAAAAAAAAAAGATTTCAAAGTAGCCATTATAAATATGTTCAAAGAACAAAAAGGAAACCATAATTTAAAAAGTAAAGAAAGGTATAATGACAGTGTCATATCAAATAGAGAATATTAAGAAACAGAAAAAAATTATTAATTTAAAGACCCAAATGGAAATTCTAGAGCTAAAAAGTACAATAACTGAAAAGAAAAATTCACTAGAGGGGCTCAACAGCATACTTACACTGGCAGAACAATTAGCAAGCTTGGGGACAGACCAACAGAAATTATGCAATCCAAATAATGGAGAAAAAGCTAAAATGAAAAATGAACAGAGACTCAGAGAAATGAAGGGCACCATTAACTGCACCAAATATGTATAAAGAAAACACCAGAAGAGGAGAGACAGGAGCAGAAAAAAGTCCAGGCTTGGTGGCTCACACCTGTAATCCCAGCACTTTGGGAGGCCGAGGTGGGCGAATCACTTGAGGTCAGAAGTAAAAGACCTGCTTGGCCAACATGGTGAACCCCCGTCTCTACTAAAAATACAAAAATTAGCTGGGCGTGGTGGCATATGCCTGTAGTTCTGGGTACTTGGGAGGCTGAAGCAGATGAGTAGCTAGGACTACAGACAGCTAGGACTACAGACACACACCACCATGCCAAGAACCCAGGAGATGGAGGTTGTAGTGAGCTGAGATCGCACCACTGCACTCCAGCCTGGGTGACAGAGCAAGACTCTGTCTCAAAAAAAAGAAAGAAGCAGAAAAAAAAAATTTTAAGAAATAATGCCTGAATACTTTACAAATTTATTGAAAAACATTGATCTACATGTCCAAGAAGCTAAATGAACTTCCAAGTAGGATAAACTCAAAGAGATCCACAGACAGACACATTAAGGTTAAAGTGCTGAAAGTCAAAAACAGAGAAAACCTTGAAAGCAGCAAGATGAAAATAACTCATCAGAAGGCAACACCAATAACATTCACAGCTAACATCTCCTCATAAACAATGGAGGCTAGAAGGCAGAAGGATAACATTTGAAGTGCTCCAAAAAACTGTCAAACAAGAATTCCATATCTAGCAAATCTATCATTCAAAAATAAAAGTGAAATAAGGAAATTCCCAGATAAACAAAAGCAGAGAATGTGTGGCTAGCAGACCCACATTACAGGAAAACGAAGTGAAGTTCATCAAGCTAAAAGGATGAGACCCTACACAATAACTCAAAGCAATGTGAAAACACAAGAGTGCTGGTAAAGGTAATTATAAAACACAATACAAACACATTTTGCCTCTCCTTAACTAATCTGAAAAGCTACTGTATGAAACAATACTATAGAAGATGGCAGAGTAAGAAGCATCAGGAATTCATCTCCTCACTCAAGCAAAAATTGTATCTCTTCACTCAACCAGAAATTGTACTGACAGAATCTCTTTTACGTAACTATTTAAAAACTCTGGATTCTCTTGAAGGCTGGAAACATCTGGCGGAAGTCTTAGAAGCTAAATTGTGGTTCACTTCAGCCCCAAGCACTCTGCACCCAGTGGAGACAGTCATGCTGTTCCTGAAGCAGCTTGCATGCTGCTTGCAAGAACCAGGGTAGGCAATAAGAAACCAGTCCTCCAAGTATCAGGGATCTCTGTACTGATAGCTGATTGCTGCTTCTGATCACTGAAGTACAGATATAGAAGCAGGAAACCAATGTTGCAACCATCACTGACACTGTTGCAAACCTCCCTCCCTCTAGCTGAAGTGACTTCCTGGGGATTTAAAAGGCTGGTGCCTTTATTTCTCCCCACTTTATTTTTTTTCTTTTCCCCCTTTTGGGGGCCATACATTGAAGGAGCAGGATGTTCCAAAGCCACTGGGCACGGTGGCTTATGCCTAGAATCCCAGAACTTTGGGAGGCCAAGGCAGGAGAATTGCTTGAGCCCAGGAGTTCAAGACCCGCCTGGGCAACATAGGGAGACTCTGTCTCTACCAAAAAAAAAAATTTTTTTTAATTAGCTAAGTGTGGTGGGGCACGCCTATTGTCCAAGCTACTAAGGAGGCTGGGACAGGAGAATTGCTTAAGTCCAGGACGCAAAGGCTGCAGTGAGCTGTGATTACACCATTGTACTCCAGCCTGGGTGACAGAGCAAGACCCTGTCTCAAAAAAAAAAAAAAAAAGTAACCACATTTACAGGGGAATTTGGAAAGTTACCATGCATGTACATGCCCAGGGGAAAACACAGATTCAGACATGAGAAGGACCTTAAGTTTATACCTGTGACTAATCCCTGGTGATAGTGACAGGAGGTGGCCAAATACCTAGGCAGATGGGGCAGGTTCCCAGTGAAACCCCACCTTCAAGCCAAATCAGTCCGAAGGCTGAAAGACCAGACTGCTGGTCCTGGATGAAACCTGTGATCCAGAGTGGGAACTTCTGTTCCTCTTTGCTCGCCCTTTCCCAATTGATACTTTCTGAATAATGCCTTTTAACCAATCGAATGTTGCCTTTTCTAATACTACCTACAGCCTACCCCTCCCTTATTCTGAGCCCATAAAAAGCCCTGGACTCAGCCATATTAGGGGGACTTCCCCACCTTAAGGTAGGGGGACCACCCTCGCATCCCCTCTCTGCTGATAGCTGTTTCATCACTCAATAAAATTCTTCTCCACCCTCCTCACCCTTCAACATCCAGCGTATCCTTATTCTTCTTGGGCAAGGTCCGAGAGCTCAGAAACTGCTGAACGTGGGTACAAGCTATAACACAAGTGAGCTGGGGCACACCAGCATGGCTGAGCGAGGCCTGGGTGGGGCATGGCCAGCCAGAGGTCCCTGGCTTGCAAAGTGACTGAGAAGTAAATCCTACATCACTGGCATGGAGGACCCCTAAATTATCACATGATAAAAACTCAAATGTCCAGTTTGAAAACAAAAACAAAAAACCACAAGACATAAAAAATAAGTATGGACCATTCAAAGGAAAAAAACAAAAGAAATCAATAGAAATTGTCCCTAAGATCAGATGGCAGACTTATTAGAAAATGATGTGGCCGGGCACGGTGACTCACGCCTGTAATTACAGGACTCTGGGAGGCTGAGGCAGGCAGATTGCTTGAGGCCAGGAGTTTGAGAGTGGCCTGGGTAACATGGCGAAACCCCGTCTCTACAAAATGTACAAAAAAAATAGCTGGGTGTGGTGGCATGCTCCTACAGTCCTGGCAACCTGGGAGGCTGAGGTGGGAGGATGACCTGAGCCCAGGCTGCAGTGAGCCATGACTATTCCATTGCCCTCTAGCCTGAGCGACAGAGCGAGACTCTGTCTCAGAAAAAGAAAGTTATGTAATTATGTGGCCAGGCATGGTGGCTCACACCTGAAATCTAAGTACTTTGGGAAGTCAAGGCAGGAGGATTAGTTGAGACCAGGTGTTTGAGACCAGCCTGGGCAACATAATGAGACCCTGTCTCTACAAAAAAATTTTAAAATTAGCTAAGTATGGTGGCATGTGCCTGTAGTTCCAGCCACTTGAGAAGCTAAGGCGGGAGGATCACTTGTGCCCAGGAGTTTGAGGCTGCAGGGAGCTATCACTGCACCACTGCACTCCAGATAGAATGAGACCCTGTCTCAAAATAAAATAAAATGATGTATAAATAAAACAAATATCAGTAAAGAGAAAGACATAAAAAGAAAAAAAGAATTTTTTTTTTGAGATGGAGTCTTGCTCCATCACCCAGGCTGAAGGGCAGTAGAACCTGTGACCTCCATCTCCCGGGTTCAAGCGATTCTCGTGTCTCAGCCTCCTGAGTAGCTGGAATTACAGGTGCATGCCACCGTGCCTAATTGTTGTACTTTTAGTGTAGACGGGGTTTTACCATGTTGGTCAGGCTGGTCGAACTCCTGACCTTAAGTCATCTGCCTGGCTCAGCCTCCCAAAGTGCTGGGATTACAGGCATGAGCCACCATGCCCGGTCTGAAAAAAAGAAATTCTGAAGATGAAAAGTACAATAACTGCAATGAAAAAGCAGATCTGAGCAAGGACAAGAAAGAAATAGTGAACTTGAAGATAGGATAATTAAAAGTATCAAGTCTGAAGAACAGGAAGAAAAAAGACTACAGAAAGTGAACAGAGCTTAAAGGACCTATAGAACACCATCAAGCAGCCCAACGTAAGCAATGTGGGAGTCCCAGAGAAAGAGGAGAGAGAGGGGATCAGATAAATGATCTGAAGAAATAATAGCTGAAAAATTCACAAGTTTGATGAAAGACAAATATTTAAAAGACAAAATAAATATAAACATCCAAGAGGCTCAACAAACTCCAAGTAGGATGAACTCAAGAGTCTACACTGAAATACATTATAATCAAACTGTAAAAAGACACAGCCAGGCTTAGTGGCTCACACCTGCTATCCTAGCATTTTGGGAGGCCACGGCGGGTGGATCACTTGAGGTCAGGAGTTCAAGACCAACCTGGATGACATGGTGAAACCCTGTCTCTACTAAAAATACTAAAATTAGCCCCATGTGATGCCACATGCCTGTGATCCCAGCTACACAGGAGGCTGAGTCACAAAAATTGCTTGAACCCGGGAGACAGAGGTTGCAGTGAGCCAAGATGGCGCCACCGCACTCCACCCTGGGGACAGTGAGACTTTGTCTTAAAACACACACACACACACACACACACACACACAAAACTGTCAAAAGACAAAGACAAAGAGAGAATCCTGAAAACAGCATGAGAGAAGCAACTTATCACATACAAAGGATAAGATTACCAACGGGTTTTTTCATCAGGAACTGTGGAGGCCAGAAAGCAGTGGGCTAATATATTCAAAATGCTAAAAGAAAAAATACCAAGAATACTGTATCTGGCAAAAATGCCCTTCAAAAGTGAGGGAGAAATCAAGACATTTCCAGATAAATCTGATTAACACTAGATCTTCCCTATCAGAAATATTCAAGGGAATTCTGTGGGTTGAAATTATGACAATAAATAACTTGAAGCTTTATGAAGAAAGAAAAATCTCTAAAAACAGTCAGATTAATCAAATTAATAGGAACAGACAGGAGAATGGTGTTTACCAGAGGCGAAGGGTGGGGAGAATGGGCAGGTGTTGGTCAAAGGGTACAAGGTTCAGTTATACAGCAGGAGTTAAGTATTTTGAGATACATTGCACAACATGGTGACTACATTTAATAATAATGTATTACATATTTCAAAATTGCTAAGAGAATTTCAAATGTCCTCATCACAAGAAAATGATAAATACTTGAGGTGACAGATATGTTGATTAGCTTGATTTAATCAAAACACATTGTATACATATATCAGAACATCACATTGTACTCTATAAATATGTACAATTATGATTTGTTGATTAACAATAAAAAATATATTTGTAAAAGAAATACCTTTGGTAAAGATAAACAGATGGGCAACTATAAAAGCTAGTATTATTGTAACAATTATTTGTAATTTCTTTTTTTTGTTTTCTACAAGATTTAAGAGGCTAATACATTACAAAACAATTAGACTAAAAGCTAATATTACTGTAACTTTGGTTTGCAATTTCACGTTTTGTTTTCCATATAATTTAAGAGACTAATGCATTTTAAAAACCAATTTTTAGATCCTGTTTTTAAACATATAATGTACAGGCCGGGCGCTGCGGCTCACGCCTGTAATCCCAGCACTTTGGGAGGCTGAGGCGGGTGGATCACGAGGTCAGGAGATCGAGACCATCCTGGCTAACACGGTGAAACCCCGTCTCTACTAAAAATACAAAAAAAAAATTAGCCAGGCATGGTGGCGGGCACCTGTAGTCCCAGCTACTCGGGAGGCTGAGGCAGGAGAATGGAGTGAACCCGGGAGGCGGAGCTTGCAGTGAGCTGAGACTGTGCCACTGCACTCCAGCCTGGGCAACAGAGCAAGACTCTGTCTCAAAAAACAAAACAAAACAAAAAAAAAACATATAATGTACAAAGATATACTTTTGTGACATCAATAACTAGAAGGATTTGGGGCAGAGCTGTTAAAAGGGTAGAGTTTTTGTATGTTATTGAAGTTAAGCTGGCATAAATTCAAACTAGAGTATTATAATTTTAGGACATTAAATATAATCTCCATGGTAACCACAGAGAAAACAGTTACAGGACATGTTACATATTATGTTAAAATTTTTCACTACAAAAAAAATCAACTAAACACAAAAGAAGACAGTAATGCAGGAAATAAGCAATTAAAAAACTATAATGCATACAGAACATAAATTAGTAAAATAACATAAGTCCCTCCTTATCAATAATTACTTTAAATGTAAATGGATTAAACTCTCCAAAGATAGAAATTGGCAGAATGGATTTAAAAAAACCCAGAATCCACCTATATGCTATCTATAAGAGACTCTATATCTAAAGACACAAAAAAATTGCAATTAAAAATTTTGAAAAAAATATTCCACATAAATTGTAACCAAAGGAGATTAGGGATGGCCTTACAAATATCAGACAAAATGTCTTTAAATTAAAAAAAGGTTACAAGAGACAAAAAAGGAGACATATACAGCAAGAAGATTAGAACAATTATTAACATTTATGCACCTAAATGTACAAATGAGGATATTGATGGTTTGTTTTTAGGTGTAAAAAACAAACCATGACTAATAGTTGCAGACTTCAATACCCCACTCTCAATAATGGATAGAACAACCTGGCAGAAGATAATTAAGAAAATAGAGGACTTGGGGCTGGGCGCAGTGGCTCACGCCTATAATCCCAGCACTTTAGGAGGCTGAGGCAGGTGAATCACGAGCTCAGGAGATTGACACCATCCTGGCTAACACGGTGAAACCCTGTCTCTTCTAAAAATACAAAAAAATTAGCTGGGCATGGTGGCGGGCACCTGTAGTCCCAGCTACTCGGGAGGCTGAGGCAGGAGAATGCTGTGAATCCGGGAGGCAGAGCTTGCAGTGAGCTGAGATCACACCACTGCACTCCAGCCTGGGCAACAGAGCAAGACTCCGTCTCAAAAAAAAAAAAAAAAATTCAGGACTTGGCTGGGCACAGTGGCTCACACCTGTAATCCCAGAACTTTGGGAGGCTGAGGCGGGTGGATCACAAGGTCAGGAGTTCAAGACCTGCCTGGCCAAGATGGTGAAACCCCGTCTCTACTAAAAATACAAAAATTATCTGGGCGTGGTGGCAGGTGCCTGTAGTCCCAGCTACTCGAAGGCTGAGGCAGAGAACTGCTTGTACCTGGGAGGCGGAGGTTGCAGTGAGCTGAGATGGCGCCATTGCACTCCAGCCTGGGTGACAGAGCGAGACTCCGTCTCAAATAAATAAATAAGAGGACTTGAACAATGCAGTAAACCAACTAGATCTAACAGGCATCTAAAACTTTTTTTTTTTTTTTTTTTTCCTGAGACAGAGTTTCACTCTTGTTGCCCAGGCTAGAATGCAATGGCTCAATCTTAGCTCACCACAACCTCTGCCTCCCGGGTTCAAGCGATTCTCCTGCCTCAGCCTCTCTGGTAGCTGAGATTACAGATGTGTACCACCATGCCCAGCTAATTTTGTATTTTTAGTAGAGACAGAGTTTCACCATGTTGGTCAGGCTGGTCTCGAATTCCTGACCTTGGGTGATCCACCAGCCTCAGCCTCCCAAAATGCTGGGATTACAGGCGTGAGCCACTGCGCCTGACCTACATCTAAAATTCTTTACCTAACAACAGAATATGCATTCTTCTCAAGTGCACATGGGTCATTCTCCAGGACAGACCATACTATAGACCACAAATTGTCTCAATAGATTTTAAAGAAAAGATAGCACACAGAATATCTTCTCCAACCACAGTGGGATGAAGTTAGAAATCAGTAACAAGGAAAACTAAAATTCCCAAATTTGTGGGAACCAAATAACACTTTTTGTTTTTGAGATGGAGTCACCCAGGCTGGAGTGTGGTAGTGTGACCTCGGCTCACTCCGACCTCCACCTCCCAGGTTCAAGCAATTCCGCCTCAGCCTCTTGAGTAGCTGGGATCACAGGTGCCCAACACCACAACTGGCTAATTTTTGTATTTTTAGTAGAGACAGGGTTTCACAGGTTGGACGGGCTGGTGTGAACTCCTGACCTCAAGTGATCCACCCACTTCGGCCTCCCGAAGTGCTGGGATTACAGGCATAAGCCACTGTGCCCAGTCTAAATAACACACTCTTAAATCACCAATGGATCAAAGAAGAAATCAAAAGGAAAATTAGAAAATACTTAGAGACAAATGAAAATAAAAAACAATATACTGAAACTTTTGGAATTCAGCAAAAGCAGTGCTAAGGGGGGAATTTATAGCTGTAAACACTTACATTAAAAAAGAAAGATCTTGGGCTGGGCACAATGGCCAATGACTGTAATCTCAGCACTTTGGGAGACATAGATGAGAGGATTGCATGAGGTCAGGAGTTCCAGACCAGCCTGGGCAATATAGACAGACCTTGTTTCTACAAAAAATTTAAAAAATTAAGGTGCCAGGCATGGTAGCTCACACCTGTAACCCCAGTACTTTAGGAGGCTTACACAGGCGGATCACTTGAGCCCAAGGGTTCAAGACCAGCCTAGGGAACACAGTGAAAGCCCATCTCTACAAAAAGTACAAAAATAATTAGCTGCACGTGGTGCCCCACACCTGTAGTCCCAGCTATTCTAGAGGCTGAGGTGGGAGGATCACTTGAGCCTTAGAGGTAGAGGTTACAGAGAGCCAAAACTGCGCCACTGCACTGTTGCAGGAAGTCAGGGACTCTGAACAGAGGGACTGACTGGAGCCATGGCAGAGGAACATAAATTGTGAAGATTTCATGGACATTTATCAGTTCCCAAATAATACTTTTATAATTTCTTACCCCTGTTTTACTTTAATCTCTTAATCCTGTTATCTTCATAAGATGAGGATGTACGTCACCTCAGGACTACCATGATAATTGTGTTAACTGTACAAATTGATTGTAAAACATGTGTGTTTGAACAATATGAAGTCAGTGCACCTTGAAAAAGAACAGAATAACAGCGATTTTCAGGGAACAAGGGAAGACAACCATAAGGTCTGACTGCCTGAGGGGTCGGGCAAAATAGAGCCATATTTTTCTTCTTGCAGAGAGCCTATAAACAGACATGCAAGTAGGGAAGATATCACTAAATTCTTTTCCTAGCAAGGAATATTAATAATTAATACCCTGGGGAAGGAATGCATCCCTGGGGGGAGGTCTATAAACGGCTGCTCTGGGAGTGTCTGTCTTATGTGGTTGAGATAAGGACTGAAATATGCCCTGGTCTCCTGCAGTACCCTCAGGCTTGTTAGGGTGGGGAAAAAACTCCACCCTGGTAAATTTGTGGTCAGACCGGTTCTCTGCTCTCGAACTGTGATTTCTGTTGTTTAAGATGTTTATCAAGACAATATGTGCACAGCTGAACATAGACCCTTATCAGTAGTTCTGATTTTGCCTTTGTCCTGTTTCCTCAGAAGCATGTGATATTTGTTCTGCCTTTTGCCCTTTGAAGCATGTGATCTTTGTGACCTACTCCCTGCTTGTACACCCCCTCCCCTTTTGAAATCCTTAATAAAAACTTGCTGGTTTTAAGGCTCAGGTGGGCATCACGGTCCTACTGATATGTGATGTCACCCCCAGAGGCCCAGTACAAAAATTCCTCTCTTTGTACTCTTTCTCTTTATTTCTCAGCTGGCCGACATTTATGGAAAATAGAAAGAACCTACGTTGAAATATTGGGGGTGGGTTCCCCCAATACTGCACTCCAGCCTGGGGGATGGAGCGAAAGCCTGTTTCAAATATTTTAAATTAAAAAAAAAGGGCGGGCACGGTGGCTCACACCTGTAATCCTAGCACTTTGGAAGGCCAAGGTGGGTGGATCACCTGAGGTCAGGAGTTCAAGACCAGACTGGCCAACATGGTGAAACCCCATCTCTACTAAAATACAAAAATTAGCCAGGCATGATGGCAGTTGCCTGTAATCCCAGCTACTTGGGAGGCTGAGATGGGAGAATCGCTTGAACCCGGGAGACGGTGGTTGCAGTGAGCCGAGATCATGCCACTGCACTCTAGCCTGGGCGGCTGAGCAAGACTCTGTGTCTCAAAAAAAAAAAAAAGATTGCTTCACTTGACTAGCCAAAAAAAAAAAAAAGACTCAAATTACCAAAATAAGAAATTAAAATGGATACATTACTACCAGCTCTACAGAAATAAAAAGAATTGGGTGGGCATGGTGGCTCATGCCTGTAATCCCAACACTTTGGGAAGCCGAGGTAGGTGGATCACGAGGTCAGGAGATCAAGACCTCCTGGCCAACACGGTGAAACCCCATCTCTACTAAAAATGCAAAAATTAGCTGGGTGTGGTGGCGTGTGCCTGTAATCCCAGCTACTCGGGAGCCTGAGGCAGGAGAATCCCTTGAAACCGGGAGGCAGAGATTGCAGCAAGCTGAAATTGCGCCATGGCACTCTAGCTTGGTGACAGAGCGAGACTCTATCTCAAAAATAAATAAATAAAATAAAAAAGAATTGTAAGAGAACTATGAACAATTGTATGCCAACAAGTTGCATAAACCTAGATGAAATGGACACATTCCTAGAAACATAAAACCTACTGAGACTGAATCACAAAGAAATAGAAAATCTGAATAGACCCATAACTAGTGTAAGGAGAATGAATCAATCATCAACAAACTCCCAAAAAGGAAAGTTCCTAGACCTGATGGCTTTGCTGGTGATTCTACCACACTTTGGAGAGGAAATGATGCCAATCCTTCTCAAACTTTTCCAGAGAGTTGAGGAGGAAGGGGTAATTCCTGGTTCATTTTATGAGGCTGACGACAATGCCCTGGTGCTGGGGCCAGACAGGGACACTACAGGAAAAGAGAAATGCATATGAATATCCCTTATGAACATTCATTCGAAAATCTTTAACAAAATCCAGATGATTAAAGTATTTTTTCACCTCTGTTCATGAGAGATATTGATCTGATATTTTTTCACGTAGTGTCCTTGTTGAGTCTTGATGTCAGAGTTGTGCTGGTTTTGTGGATAAGGTGGGAAGTATCCCCTCTTAAAGTATTCTGGAAGACTTTATGCAGGATTGGTGTTCTTTCTTTCTTAGATGGTTGGAAGAATTCACCAGTAAAGCATCTGAGCATGGAGCTTTCTTTGTGGGCCAGTTTAACATTTTATGTCTCAGCTTTGTGCAAATGCTTAGGATAGTCAAACTCAGAGAGACAGAAAGTAGATGGGTGGTTGCCAGGGGCTGGTGGGGGCAGGAAATGGGGAACTATTGTTAAATGGGTGTAGAGTTTCAGTTTTGCAACATGAAAAAAGTTCTGATGATAGATGGTGGTGAATGTTGTACAACAATGTGAATGTACTTAATACCACTGAACTGTATGCTTTAAAATGGCTAAAATGGTATATTTTATCTCCATTTTATTACAATTTAAAAAAATGTATATATTGTTGAGCCTATAACATATAGAAATGTAATATATTTGCCAATAACAAAACAAAGGAGGTAAGTGGGAGCAAAGCTGTATTAGGCTACGGAAATGACTCCACATGGAAAGTTGAATCCAAAGGAACAAATAAAGAGATCCAGAAATGATAGAGTTACAACAACAAAATTTACAAACATACTTTTCTTTCTTCTCTCAATTTCTTTAAGACAGCTGGCTTCTTTGTGGAAATTGACAAACAAATTCTAAAATTCATATGTAATTGCAAGGGACCCAGAATAACCAAAACAATCTTGAGAAAGAATAATAGTGGAGGACTCATCCTTCCTGATTTCAAACCTTACTCCAAAGTAACAGTAAGCAAAGTGTGGTAGTGGCATAAGGATAGATATATAGATCAGCGGAATAGAAATGAGAGTCCAGAAATAAGCCCATGTGTCTCTAGTCAACTGATTTTTAACAAGGTGAGAAAATAGTCTTTGCAACACATGGTGACGGGACAACAGGAGAGCCACATACATAATGAAGTTGGAGCTTTACTTCATCATGCCATACGCAAGAATTAACTCAAAATGTGTCCAATGAGACCTGGAAGTGGATCACGTGGAGTGAAGGTCATGCCGCAGCACACACAGGAGTCTTGCCATGTTGCCCAGGCCCGTCTCAAACTTCTGAGTTCAGGCAATCTGCCCACCTCGTCCTCCGAAAGTATGGTTTAGCTGTGTCTCCACCCAAATCTCATCTTGAATTGTATCTCCCATAATCCCCACGTGTCGTGGGAGGGACCCGGCGGGAGGTAAGTGAATCATGGGGACGGGTTTTCCCATGCGGTTCTCATGATAGTGAGTAAGTCTCACGAGATCTGACGGTTTTATGAAGGGCAGTCCCCCTGCACACACTCTCTTGCCTGCTGCCACGTAAGACGTGTCTTGCTTCCCCTTCACCATCTGCTATGATTGTTAAGGCCTCCCCAGCCATATGGAACCATGAGTCAATTAATCCTCTTTTCTTTATAAACTACCCAATCTCAAGTATGTCTTTATTAGCAGTGTGAGAACAGACTAACACATGCTGGGATTACAGGCATGAGCCACCCAGCGCCCAGCCTCACAGATTGATTTCTTTTTTTTTCTTTTTGAGACACAGTCTCTCTCAGTTGCCCAGGCTGAGTGCAGTGGCGCGATCTTGGCTCACTGCAAGCTCCGCCTCCTGGGTTCATGCCATTCTCCTGCCTCAGCCTCCCAAGTAGTTGGGACTACAGATGCCCGCCACTGCGCCCGGCTAATTTTTTTGTATTTTTAGTAGAGACGGGGTTTCACCGTGTTAAGTCAGGATGGTCTCAATCTCCTGACCTCATGATCCGCCCATCTCGGCCTCCCAAGGTGTTGGGATTACAGGCGTGAGCCACCACACCCGGCCACAGATTGATTTCTTATGAGTCAGGCTGTGTGATGAAGAAGCCCAGAAGAGAAAGAAGCGGAAAGAAAAGGAATCAGGAAAGACTCTTACTCAGCGTCACTTGACATTCATGGATGTGGCTACAGAATTCTCTCAGGAGGAGTGGAAATAACTGGACCCTGCACAGAGGGCTTTATACAGGGAAGTGATGTAGGAGAACTACAGGAACCTGGTCTTTCTGGGAATCTGTCTTCCTGACCTGAGCATTATCTCCATGTTGGAGACAAAGCGAGAGCTCTGGACTCTGCAGGGTGAAGATAGCAAACAATCCAGATGGCAGGGAATGCATCAAAGGTGTGAACACAGGGAGAAGCTGTACATTGGGAAGTAATACAGAAAATGAGCCTATTAAAAATCAACTTGGATTAACCTTCAGTCACATCTGCCTGAATTGCAGCTATTTTAAGCTGGAAGGAAAATTTATGGAAGTAATCAAATTGAAAAGTTTACAAACCATAGTTCCTCAGTTCCACCACTTCAAAAAAATTCTTCTAGTGTTAAATAAATACAGAAATGATTTCATTGATTTCCCATCACTCCCACAAGACGACAAAGCACACATTAGAGGAAAAATCTTATGGACGTAGTTAAGATGGCAAAGTTTTTAGAGTGTCTGCAAGTCTTACTAATCATCAAGTAATCCATACTGCAGATAAACTTTACAAATGCAGTAATGTGGCAAGGTCTTTAGTTGCAATCCACACCTTGCAGATCACTGGAGAATTCATACTGGACAGAAGCCTTACAAACGTAGTGACTGTCACAAGGTGTTTAACAGCAATTCAAACCTTGCACAACATCAAAGAATTCATCCTGGAGAGAGGCCTCGCAAATGTAACGAATGTGGTAAAGCATTTAAAGAGTGTTCAGGACTTAGCGCCCATCTTGTAATCCATTCTGGAGAAAAACCTTACAAATGTAATGAGTGTACAAGAACTTCAGGCACAAATTTTCCCTCACTCAACAGAGAAGTCATACTGCAGAAAAACCTTACACACGTAATGAATGTGGCAAGGTCTTTGGTCAATTGCACGGCATCAAATAATTCATAGTACAGAGAAGCCTTACAAATGTAACAAACGTTGAAAGCATTTAGCAAGCATTCAGGACTTATGGCCCATCTTCTAATCCATACTGGAGAGAAACTTTACAAATATAGTGAATGCGGCAAGGTCTTCGGACACAAGTTATACCTAATCAACCATCAGATAATTCATACTGGAGAGAGACCTTACAAGTGTAATTCATGTGGCAAGGTGAATCAAAATTTACACCTTGCATGACATTGGAAGATTCATACTGAAGAGAATTCACTGCACACCTTACAGATGCAAAAATGTGGCAAAGTCTTCAGTCGTACTTCATAGCTAACACAACATTGGAAGACTCACATAGGTCACAAACGTTATAAATGTAATAAATGTGGCAAAGAATTCAGTTTGCATTCAAGCCTCAGTACTCATCTACTGATCCACACACGGAAAGGTAACCTTACAAATGTAAAGATAATATATATAAAAATAATATATAAAGAGAGAACAGTTGGCCAGGCATAGTGGTTCACACCTGTAATCCCAGCACTTGAGGAGGCCAAGGCATGTGGATCATAAGGTCAAGAGATCGAGACCACAGGCCAGGCGCGGTGGCTCATGCCTGTAATCCCAGCATTTTGGGAGGCCGAGGCGGGTGGATCACGAGGTCAGGAGTTCAAGACCAGCCTGGCCAAAATGGTGAAACCCCGTCTCTACTCTACTAAATATACAACAATTAGCCAGGTGTGGTGGCGGGTGCCTGTAATCCCAGCTGCTCGGGAGGCTGAGGCAGGAGAATTGCTTGAACCCAGGAGGCGGAGGTTGCGGTGAGCCAATATCATGCCACTGCACTCCAGCCTGCTAGGTAACAGAGTGAGACTCCAACTCAAAAAAAAAAAAAAGATCGAGACCATCCTGGCCAACATGGTGAAACCCTGTCCCTACTAAAAATACAAAAATTAGCCATGTGTGGTGGCACACACCTGTAGTCCCAGCTACTAGGGAGGCTGAGGCAGAAGAATCGCTTGAACCTGGGAGGTGGAGGTGAGCTGAGATCGCACCACTGCACCCCAGCCTGGGTGACACAGCGAGACTCCGTCTCAAAAAAAAAAAAAAAAAAAAAAGAACAGTTATATCGGAGTAGAGAGTTTAATCAAAACTACCAGTACAATTCATCCCACCAGTGGCCAAGTCTACAACATTGAATTCAACCCTCCCAAAACTGTTGGCATTGATGATCTGACTGGGGAGCCTCTCATTCAGCAAGAGGATGATAAACCAGAGATGGATATCAAGAGACTAAAGGCTTGTGAACTGAAACAAAGCCAGTCTTAGAATATTACCAAAAAAAAAGGGGTAATGGAAACATTCTCCAGAACAGAAACCAAGAGGATTTGGCCCTGTGTATATGCTTTCCTACCAACTAAAATTCCACAAACAAGCCAGAAAGCTCTTCAGTTACTCCATGAGGAGAAATACATGTAACGAGTAAGATGAGCAAACCTCCTAGGCCTTCCATTTAGAAGCTGCTTTTCCTAAGACTTCCAGTATATATGAATTCTTTGAAAAGTATACTACTTTTATTTCTACTAATTTTATTCTGAATACAAAGGAAGTGTCAAATGAGATAGATACTAAGATTCATCTTTTGAAATCACCTAGTGTGTTTTATCCAGTTATCTTCAAAAACATCAGAGATGTCTAAACTTTTAAAACATTTGTTAGAGCGAAATTTATTTTGGTGTTAAACACACTTTCAGTTTACTCAGAATTTCCAATTTGCTATAAAAATGTAACAATTAGCATAGATAAAAATATTACTTTAAGATCACTTGTTTTCTTTTGAAAATACATATGTACTGAGGGTTATTATTTATGTCAGAAATGGACATTATAAGTTCTTGGATAAGCACCAAAGTTGAATGAATTTTTCAACAAAATGTAGTTAAAGTCTGTGTTTACAGATGTTACTCAGGTTAAGAAATGTGTTTTACGATCTACTTACCAGTTTCTCTTTTTGATCCAATGTATGAGATCTGCCCTGATAAATAACAAGGTATTGTACAACCCTCCCAAAAATAAGAGAAAAAGAGAAAACCCATGGCACTATGTAAAGTAAGCACACTTTGTCATTAGTAAATAGCTCAGGCATGCCTGGGGAATGTTCCTTTGCCAAAAATAGCAATCAATCATAATTAGTAAACAGGTGTGCCAATAAAAAGAATTTACATGATAAGTTAACAAGGATCAGGAAAGTAAGTTAATTTCCTGAAGGAGTTGTTTGTTTCTGATCAAATAAATTGATACCTGTTAGCATTCACTGCCACCTTATCTTAAGGGGAAAGAACTCTACTGGTGTCATCTGACCAGCCATTTAAAAATTGGAATCTAAAGTGATTCCTTAGTGGGGCAACAAGGATGGTTGCTGATGTACTGTGTGGTCTAGTAGGAGAAGTGGGGCAATATGAGAAGTGGAGGAAAAACCCGACTATGTCTTCCGTGGCATATTTACTCTTATTTTACTTGGTGCTAAATCAAATGAAACAAGCCCTTGTAACAGCTGTTATTAATTGCCTTTAAAAATCTGTCCTGTTTTTTCCCAGGTACTTAAAATACAAGTGCCAGTAAGTGGTTCTTATGTATTTTTGGCGGGGGGGAATTTATTTTCCTTTTCTTCTGATATTTTAAAAATCCATTGATCTTTCAAGATGAACCAAGGTTTTTAAAAATAATTATAGCAGGCCGGGCCTGGTGGCTCACGCCTGTAATCCCAGCACTTTGGGAGGCCGAGGTGGGCAGATCATGAGGTCAGGAGATCGAGACCATCCTGGCTGACACAGTGAAACCCAGCCTCTACTAAAAATACAAAACATTAGCCAAGCGTGGTGGTGGGCACCTGTAGTCCCAGCTACTCGGGAGGCTGAGGCAGGAGAATGGCGTGAACCAGGGAGGCAGAGCTTACAGTGAGCTGAGATCGCACCACTGCACTCCAGCCTAGGTGACAGAGCGAGACTCCGTCTCATAAAAAAAAAAAAAAAAAGAATTATAGTAAACACTTCATTCTTTTCTTTTTGTCCCACCCATCCCTGCCCAACTAGCACTTCATTCTTTATAAAACTTTCTATAATGCTTTATTTGAATGTTAATATTATGTGCTTTCTAAAAATGTTGTGAATTACCAAACTTATGGATTATCACTAGGTGATTAGGCATACATTAGTCTTTATCAGAATAAAATGAAATTTCATTTAAAAAAAAGAAAACTACCAATATAGAAATTCTTGAGTATGATTCACATTTAACTGCTGGCACTATAATTTCTAAATTTTTGATTTAGAATGTACATAGTTCTCATGTTTTAGGTAATAGGTAATAGAGTTTATTTTTTTTGAGACAGAGTCTTGCTCTGTCACCCAGGCTAGAGTGCAGTAGCGTAATCTCAGCTCACTGCAACCTCCGCCTCCTAGGTTCAAACAATTCTCCTGCCTCAGCCTCCCCTGCCGCTGGGATTACAGGTGCGTGGCACCATGCCCAGCTAATTTTTATATTTTTAGTAGAGATGAGTTTTCACCACTCACCACGTTGGCCAGGCTGGTCTGGTACTCCTGACCTCAGGTGATCCACCCACCTCAGCCTCCTAAAGTGCTGTGATTACAGGCGTGAGCCACCATGCCCAAGCTAAAGTTTAAATTTTCCTTAAAAAAAAAA